>NC_000014.9:42736713-43361713 GCF_000001405.40 Homo sapiens | reverse complement strand
GACCTCGAACTCTCAAATAGAATACAAAATTGTATTTACTTTCTTTATGTGATGTTCTGGAACAGGTAAAAAATAAAGGGATGTATAAAGAGATCCTTAATTGTCAGTGTTTGGAATGTAGAGGCAGGAACTGACTACAAAGTATCAACATGAGGAAAACTTGCTGTGAAGCAAATATAAAGTTCTGTAATTGTAGAGGTAGATGTATGGCTTTATGCATTTTTCAAAACACATATATCTTTACACCACAAAGAGTAAATTTTAATTGACACAATTCTTTTTAAGCAATCAAGATGTTGTAGTACTGAACATTGAGTGGAGAAAGAGACAAATAAATCTATATGTATTACAAATAAGCCACATACCACCCTTATGGGCCTTGGGAAGAAAAGAGCTGACCAAAGTAACTTCACAAATGTTTGTACAAGATTCTGAAGGCTAAGGACAAAAAGACATGTACCTAAGCACTATACTTAAAAAGTTAAATTTGTTTTCCAGAAGTGAGGATTAGTAATTTTAAAACTAATTTATATGTGTAACATGACTGAACAAACATATACATATATTATTGCAGGTAAGGAGACCTAGGTCTTTCTGCATAACAGAAGAAAGTTGTGAAATTATAAATAAGGAAAGGAATGCCACTGCACTCCAGCCTGAACAACAGAGTGAGACATTGTCTCAATAAATAAATATAAATAAGAAAGGGGAAGGCTAGCTCTGGATTCAAGTGGGAGGCACCAATATAATCATACACACATGCAAACACACACACATATGTACATATTATATATGTCTGTATGTGTGTGTATATGTACATGAAAAATTCTAATTTTCTAGGCCTGTGTGTTAAGAAAGTCTAGAAGTATCATGATTATAGCAATTGGTATACCCGGTGCCCAGATCTTGGTTTCTAAATATTCTTCTGTAAAAGAAACATAAGAGTTCCCTGAAAAGTCCTTACTTCTAGGGCAGGGGTAGAGATAAGTCAAGATAAATCTAGATCATCTGGTACTGCCAAAAAACAAGGAATTTCTCAAAAAAGAAAAAGAATGCAGGCATGTCAAAAGTACACAGGAAATTATCTGTGATGGCAGAACCTGCTGCTGCTGCCTGGCTTCTCTCCACTCATGGTGCCCTCTCTGATTTTGTAGCAAATTTGAGGACAAGCCTGGGCTCTGTCACCACGTGGCTGGGCGTGTATGTGCTCAGGGCAGCACTAACAGGCCAGCCCCCTGCTGCCTTGACCCCCTTCAGACTTTGGATTCCAACAAGCATGGGAGGGAGGCCAAAGTGGCACTGAGGGCTGCTTGGTGTGGGCCTGAAGGTGCCTTTCAGCACAAACAGCTTGGATGCTGTGGATGACATGATTGATGGTGGCAGGAGGCAGACAGGCTCCTGGGTGGAAATGGGCGGGTCCCTGGTAAAGATCCACCATCAAGCCAGGGACAGCCTGAAGCATGGGGGCTAGTCTGTCAGTTCCCGGTGGAGACTGCAGCCCAGAGTGAGAACTTATGGTGCTTTTTCTAGGCCCATCCATGGCTGCCCATGGACCAATTAGCATTCATTTCCTCCTTTCAGAAGACCATAAAAACCCTGGACTCAGCCAGACACACAGAGACATTGGGACAACCTGTATGTGGACAGGAGCTATCCACAATGGGTCTCTTCTCAGCTAAGAGCTCACTCGTCAGGGCTACTTGCCTATAGAAAGGAGCTACTAGGCTCGGGTCTCCTGAAAGCTGTACTTTTGCTCAATAAAGCACCTCTTCACTCTGCTCACCCTCCAGTTGTCTAAGTACCTCATTTTTCCTGGACACATGACAAGAACTTGGATCCGCCAAACGTCAGAACTGAAAGAGCTATAACATACATAGAGATGAAATACGCACCCCTGCTCCCACTCCCCTTCATAATGTTGTGGACAAGGAGGAGAGAAGAGCTGCAGCCCTTCTGGGAGTCCAGACCAAGGGGCTCCCCAAGCCAGGGCTGTGACACCCTCTTTGGGGCCGGTGGCTTCTGGCATTTGAAAGCTTTCGGCCACTGCATTCCCCTCAGCCAGATGTGGGTTCCTGCAGCAGAAGTAGCATGCGGTACATCTGGTTCAGCTGCAGCCTTGCACAAACTTGGCACCTGTGCTGGAAACTGGGGCTGCCCTCCCTACTGCAGCAGCCAGGATGCCTGGTTTTGTGCAGTGGCCAGGCCCTGTGTGTGCTCACCCACACACCCCTCACCACTCCACAGCTGGCTCGCCCTTGGCAGGTGTGATATCTGGGCTGGTAGCACCTGCCAAGTGCAACCTTCCAGGCTGAGTGGGTGGAATGAGCCCAGTGGGTGCAAGCAATACTCAGGCAGAAGGTGCCACCAGCCATAGAAGTTTCTGGCTGATGAAGCAACACCCCAAGGATCCTGTGACATCTGAAGTTCTAAATGGTCAATCCTAGAACAATTTGTGTAGCAAAGTAAATAATCATAATATTGGATTATAGCTTAATGAGTGAAATGAGTATTTTAAATTCATTCTGATGCATTATGAATCATAATATTGGATCATAGCTTAATAAGTGAAATGAGTATTTTTAACTCATTCTGATGCATTATGAATGAGGAGAAGGGGCAACTCTTTTTTGCAGAATAATTCCAATTACCAAATGTAGAAGAAATTAGTAAAATAAAAAAATGTCCATGCTTAGAGCATCACAGTAATAATCTCTATAGGCAAGTTCCTGATAGTGGCTAAAAGCAATTGGTGCACAGTTCAAAACAAATAGAATCTTGCTGCTATGTATTTGATTGAGCAAATATAGAACAATTTCATCATTATCAGCTGAACAGTGTTTTTAAGTGATTGTCAATAAATGGATGATATATTTTTAAAAAATGAAATCTTTAAGTTTTGGCACATCACTATTGTCTAAGAAATTGGTAATTACTTTACATCTTTAAGTATAAATTACCTTATACTGAACCCAGTTTTGTTAGGTCATACATATCTCATTTTCTTATTAGACAATAATTGCTGCAATTTATAAATAATAGTGTGAAAAAAATCAATTAAATATAATCATAGAAAATACATAATTGCATGTGAGAAATATACTGTGTAAATGTTCTCCAAGAACTATAATGATTTGCAATTTATGAGCACATATACATATAGAGAAGTAGATAAAATGGTGAATCTATTAATATGCCATGGTTGAAGGCCCAAATATCTGTTTGTCATCATTTACTGAGTCTGAAAAATTTAGTCTTTCCACTGGATTATTTAGCTCATTTATGTTTAACATAATTATTGAACTATCTGATTATATATATATATTCCTATTTGTTTTCTATATGAAATACTTCTATGTTCCTTTTTTCTGATCTTTATTTGTATTACTTCAATATTGTTTTGTTAGCCCATTTTTTCTCTATTACTTGTTAATGAAGCATTCTTTCTGTTTTCTACTAAGTACTCTAGAGATCAAAAATGTAACCTTGACTTATTTCAATCTATTACAAAATATTGCTGTTATGATTTCCTTGATATTGCAAAAGGTTTATATTTTAAAGTCATTTATTTCCCTCTCTTTTTCTACATTATTCTATTCATGAATTTCAGTTAGACTTATATTTTAAACCCTATTACTCATTACTATTATTGTTTTATACAGTTAATGTTTGCCCAACATTTATTATATTTATCTAATATTTAGCTTTTTGATGCTCTTATGCCTTCCTACCTGTAATTTATCTCTCCCATTCTAGCAGAAGGAAGGGTAAATCGTCCCCTTTCTGAAGGAAGAAAACATTATCTGGAGTCTCATTTTTCAATAGACATGCCAGAAGGCAAAACCACATGTTAAAGAATCTAGAGGAGAGAACATAGCCCATGAAAGCAGAAACACTGTTATTCAGATAACAGAGATAACTGACATAGAACTTTAAATAATTCTTAACAATATAATACATAAAACACAAGATAAGGTGAATAAAATAGATAAGAACATGGAGTATCTCACTGAAAATTGAAATGTATAGAAGAATCCCACGTGTTTACATTTAGAAAGTAAAATATAATGCCTGAAAGTAACATCATTAGATAGACATTTTAGCAGAACTGAAAGAGAAGAAAGCATGATTAGAAAATTGGAAGGCAGGTTAAGAGACAATATATAAACATAACTGCAGGGAAAAAAGGTAATTTAAAAATACAGGAAATAATAAAGTTGAAATCTCTAACATTCATGTAATTGATTTGAGAGGAGAAGAGAGATGAAGTGCCAGCAGTTTATCTCAGTGCACATAGGGACTGCACTGTTTTGAGCCTGGGTGTCAGTCCAGGTAAGGCTGGGTCTACCTCAGCTTCACCCCTTATCCTTCAGGCTTGTCAACTGAAAAACTCATTTATTTCCTTTTCTGGCAAGAGTGCTGTTGCTCTTTGTTTTTCAAAAACTTTTTGATAAAATATTTGGTGTCCAATTTCCTCCATTCTCTGAGGACTAAACAAACATATGCTTGACACAGGCCCAGTCTCTGTCAACATTTCTGCTAGTCTGTTACACAGCAACAGCCCCCATGGCACAATGTGAATTTCCTCACTCTTGCTTGTGCAATGCATTAATTTTCCATTGATACCATAACAAATTACACAAATTTGCAGCTCAAAACAACACATGTGCATTATCTTCTGATTCTGCAGGATGAAATGCAACATTGATCTCACTAGGCTAAACTCAAGCTGTCTCAGGGCTGAATTTCCTTTTGGAGAATATAGGGGATAATCCAATTCCAAGATTTTTCCAGCTTCGAGAAGCCACTTGAATTCCTTAACTTGTTGTACTGTCCTGCATCTTCAGAACCAGCAACATCGCACCTTTTTTGACTCTCCTTGCATTTTCCCGTCCCTTGTGACTATATCTAAGATAGGCTGTCTGCTTTTAAGACTCAGGTGAAAAGATTGTGCCCACCCTATCTCAGGCCAGTTGATTACCAACCTTATTTGCATCTGCAAACTGAATTCCTTTTTACAGGATTTAAATACTGTTATTCTGCCTAAAACATGCCCAGAATTATGAAATGCATCCAAGGATAAAGTCTTTAAAAGTCAGTTCACCTCACTAAGTGTTGCCTTATCTGGAGTCTTACTTCGTCAAGGTCTCTTTGCCTTTTCAGCTCTCTATTTCCTTGAACTAGTTGATTTATTTGTTTTAAATACATTTTTTTCTAGTGGTTTTGGTGGGAGCACTGAGTATCCACTAGCTAATAAATCTCTCCTGGAAGTTGAAGTCTTCTTTCATCATTTCATGTTTCAACCTAAAGAATTATGTAACACAATCTTTTATATTTGCAGATTAAAAATGAACAAAGAAGCCAACAAAAAGCCCAGTAATCTTAGTAAATGATCTATTTATTCCTGCGGCATTTAGGTGATAAAACTGGTACACTAGTGTCATTATTTTTATTAGTTTTTTAAGTTTTATTTTGTTTTTAATTGGTATGTAACAACTGTACCTTTTTATGGGGTACAATGTGAATTTTCAATACATATATATGTTTTATAATAATTGAATTGGTCATTAGCATATTCAGCACCTAAAACACTTGTGATTTCTTGGTGATGAGAACACTAAAAATCCTCTCTTCAGCTATTTTGAATTATACAATACAATATTGTTGATTGTAGTCATCTTTTGTGCACTAGAGACTGTAGTCATCTTTTGTGCACTAGAATGACAGAATTTTTCTCCTATTTATCCATAATCATCAAGAAAATGCAAATCAAAACCAAAATGAGCTATCACCACACTCTAGCTAGGAATGACTATTATCAAAAAGAGAAAAAATAACAAATGGTGGTGAGAATGTATAGAAAGGAGAACTCACAATGTTGGTGGGAATGTATAGTACAGCCATTATTATCTATAGTATTGAGGTTCTTCAAAAAAATAAAAAATATAACTACCATATGATCCTGCAATCCTACTACTGGGTATATATCCAAAGAAAATGAAATCAGTACGTCAAAGAGAAATCCACACTGCCATGTTTATTGCAGCACTATTCACAACAGGCAATTAACAGAATCAACTTGTGTCCATCAACTCATGAATCTATTAAAAATGTAGTATATATACACTATAGAGTACTTTCAGCGATAAAAAAAGAAAATTATATCATTTCTAACAACATGAGGAACCTAGGGCATACTATGTTAATAAGCCAAGCAAAGAAGCACAAATACCACGTGATCTCACTCAAATATGGAATCTAAAAAAGTGAATCTCACAGTAGTAGAGTAGAATAGTGGATACCAGAGGCTGAGGGTGGGGGTAATGGGAAGAGATTGGTTAATGATATTCGCATAAATTTTAGGCTACAAATTCTTAAATTGCACCCTCTGATATAAAAAAAAAATCATTCAGTCTGCATATATAAAAAGTTCAGAAAACAAAGGGCACTTTACAAGTTAAGTAAATATTTCAAAAATTCAAAACAATATTCAATGACAAAAATGGCTTATCATGTAACAAATGCCTTAAAATATTTTATTTCTATTTTAAATATTTCGTAAGTGGAAATATTCTTTATTGGTAAGTTATCTGAAATATTATTAATTGTAGAAAAAATCTAAAATCCTTTAAAGGCTTACATTTGTTTGTGAGGCATATAATAGTAAAAATCACACTGGCTTGATAATCAAGTCTCTTAAAATTTCAGTAGTTAAAGGATAAGAGTCATGGAGAGTTTAACTCTTCACAAAAGCACAGTGTTGAATTGTCCAGAAAATGACCCTCAGGAAAGGTTTATTCTTGTAATTTAAGCATTAGAAATACCTTTTGGAATTCTCTAATTTCTCTAATCATGTCTATAAGCCCTTCAGATGATCAAAAGTAATTTAAAAGCCTCTATTTTATCTATAATAAAAATTTATTTTCCATTGCTTAAAGTTGGGCAAGTGTGACAGAAAGAGGTTTCTTAAGCAGCCATTTGGGATAAAAGCCGGGAAACTCAATTGTCCTTCTTTATGTTCTGAAATTATTCCTCAATTGTAGGTTGCTGAATGCCTTTTTAAAAGGGAAAATCAAGAGCATGTGGCCACAACATTTCTTTAACAATATTTACTAATTCTTTTCAAAACACTAATTTAGAGATGCACAATCTTTGTCTGCCATGTTTGTAAAAAGAATGCTGATGAAGCTGCTGAAAACCAGAGAGAGAGAGCATTTTTCTTATTCCTTCTGATATCATTTTGTGGGTTCAAAGTTCAAATTTTTCCATGAAAATCAATAAAGAATAACATCTAGGACCACAAATGCTGGAAGCCAGATAGCATGTAATGCAACCCCCGTACTTGACCTATTGATTAACTGCCCTATGTCTCAGTTTCTCTATTTATAAACAGAGACTAACAATAGTATTAGTGTGTTGATATTATTGAATTATTTAAATTTTAAATCTCTCAGAATCACACAGAGTAAGTGCTCAATAAGTGATAGGGTTGTTGCTTTCTAGCCTATGTTGCATGCAATCTCTCTCTCTCTCTCTCACACACACACAGACACACACACACCCCTCAGTATTCATGGTGTTGTTCCAGGACCCCCCTGCAAATACCAAAATCCTCAGATGCTTAAGTCCTGAGAAATAAAAATAAAATTCTAAGTCCCCAACTGACTGAATGAACCCTCCCTTGGCCAAGGGAACCCAAGAGACATCTTGGAAGCTGAATTCAAGGCCTTAAAGGGATAGAAGATGGTACATGCCTCATTATACATCTTTTACCCCAAAAACCTTCAGGCTTTCTTCCCTATGGGCTAAACAGAAACCAGCCCTTTCAAAAGACTACTTGCTTATCTTCCCATATACAGAACAAAGACAAGTTGAAATTCATCTTTCCCTCACTTCTCTCTGAGAAGTCGCTTCCTCTTTTGCCTTTTTCTTCAAATGTTCACCTTATGTTATATAAAATGTAGATTTACTGGGGACTAATTAAAGTCTCTCACAAGTATGTAACCTTTGTGTCACTGCTGCCTCTCCCAGTACTTGTAAGAAATAGGTATAAATACTTAATCTCCTGAAAACTTCTTTGGGAAAAACAGCCACAGATGCTTCTGTGACACGTTTTTCTTGGTCACACCCTCAAGCTGGCTCAATAAACTTCTACAATTTAAGATTTATGCCTCAAACACTCATTTTGCTTGTTAGTCCCCTATATTAAGAAGTCTAGTATTTGCACATAACCTGCACAATCCTTCCTTATACTTTAAATAATCTCTAGATTACTTATGGTACCTAATGCAATGTAAATGCAATGTATGTAGTTACACTGTATTGTTTAGGGAGTAATAACAAGAACAAAGCTCTATGTATGTTTGATACAGACTCAATTATTCCTTTTTTCCTCTTTTTCTGGTATATTTTCAATCCCTGTTGGGTTGAATTCGCAGATGAAGAACTCAACAAATATGAAATATGGAGAATCCACTGTATTGATACTTCTGTCTTGTGTCACTATTTTTTTGATAGATATATACACAGGGGAAGGGGATAGAGAGAGACAGCTATAGTGTGACTCATAAACATCCTCATTATATTCACCCTTGTGGGCATATGTTGAATGTTTACTATGCTTACCATTTGCTGGCACTGTGATAAAGCATTTGCATGAATATGTCTTTTTATTAAAGCAATTGTTATATGGGAACTATTATTATGTCTGTATTATTGAAAGTAAAGAAAGCTCAAGAAAATTACTTGTTATATATCTAGAAATAATAAGACAAATATTCAGACT
The DNA here is from genome assembly GCF_000001405.40 of Homo sapiens. Lineage (NCBI taxonomy): Eukaryota > Metazoa > Chordata > Mammalia > Primates > Hominidae > Homo > Homo sapiens. The sequence goes on along the minus strand of NC_000014.9, from coordinate 43,352,931 downwards.
GAGTCTTGCTTGACCCTAAATCCAGTGCTTATAACCATGTCACTGCCTAGGCAAGAGAAAAGTCAATTTATTACAAAAAAATAGTTGAAGTAATTAAGTAAAAAGAAAGGTAAAGTAATTGTTAATCTGGAAGTATGAAAAGACATCGTATTTCTTCACTGCCAATGAAAATTTGTAAATTTATAATGTTTAAAAAGCAGAAATATTTTTCTCCCTTCCTTTTGACCAATTTGAACAAAAAGTATTTGATAACTAGTCTCTACTTTTACATTTGTAAGCAGTTTGGCTTTTTACACTTCAACCCCCTTTTTCTATATTTAGAATTTTGGACAAATGTCTGATTTCTTTATACCATTTATTCTGTTTAAATCAGTTTCCAAAGTTTCCTAGGTAAAATAAATTGCTTTTTCTCTCACCCACGTTCTCTTCAGCTTTTCACAGCTACTGTCTTTTTTAACTGGTTTTTGTACTCTGAGCAGCATACTCGACATATATTAGAAAATCAATGTTTTTTTCTTTCTTAAGCAAAGAGACTTACTGGAAGTGGTCTTAAAGCCTGCAATTCACCGAAGCACTTTGAAATGTTATACTCTAAAGAGACAGGCTTTATTTACCCAGTTAATAAGATGATATTTTATGGCTCCAATTCCCGAGTAAGAATATTGGTTGGGTTGGATTGGATTACATTTTATTGACACCAGCACAAAAAAAGTAAATTTAAAAAAAGGAGATATCATATTTCATATTTCAAATCAGTATTTATAGAAAAAATGTAATCATGCATTTTCTTTATGAAATGACTTTTGTTAAAACTCATCACACAAGTACATTAACATTCTATACTTGAAGAATAAATGATACAGTATGATAAAATGACAGTGATATACGTATCTTAAATAGTAAAAGAAGGACTGATTTTGGATTCTTTTAATCATTCACTTACTCATGTATTAACTTATTATCTAATATTTAAAGTTACTTTGGAAAGGATCTAATTATCCTGGGCTCTGTTATTTTTTCTGTTAAAATAGACTGCCTTAGAATCTGACCAATACATTTTCTGACTTTTCTTATTCTTATTATTCATGAAACACAAGTGACATAACATTATGGTTAAGGAAGTATTATAAGGGAAAGAGACAAAGACATATTTAAGTCCATGCAGGGGAGAGGGACAAACTGACAAGAGGCTTTTTTTTTTTTTTTTTTGAGATGGAGTTACGCTCTTGTCGCCCAGGCTGGAGTGCAATAGCATGATCTTGGCTTACTGCAACCTCCACCTCCTGAGTTCAAGTGATTGTCCTGCCTCAGCCTCCCAAGTAGCTTGGATTATAGGTGCTTGCCACCACAACAGGCTATTTTTTTTTTTTTTTTTTTTTTTTTTTTAGGGAGAAGGGGTTTCACCGTGTTGGCCAGGCTGGACTCAAACTCCTCACATCAGGTAATCCACCTGCCTCTGCCTCCCAAAGAGCTGGGATTACAGAGGTGAGCCGCTGCTCCGAGCCTAAGCTTTTTTTTTTTTTTTTTTTTTTATAACATTACTACAATCTTAATATATTACTTACAAGAAGGAACACTCAGAATATGGAATTAAAGTAAACATTTGTGAGAAAAACAAAACTCAAAAGATTATTGATGGTAATAAGCATTTGCTTAAGACCATTCTAAGAAAAGTCTGGAGAATGTGTGGCAGATGAGGGTTTTAGAAACATTCAAGGTAGTCCACTAAGGTACTGGTTTAGGAATGAACTACAATTAATGGCCCTAAGAGATTAAGAAGGATGGACTTCGGCATCAAATAGGTTTGGATATAAAACTCAGCACTTTCGCCTTATACTTTCATGTAAGGTGAATTTTATCCTGCAGAGTTTTTGCTAGTAGGTTTTGTTTTATTTTTATTGAATTTAGGACATCAGTTTTTCACAAGTCCTATCACTCCTTGCTGGCACGTGCCTGGCCTGGTATACCCCATAAATACCACCTCACCTCCTTTCATGATCCATACATGCTCACTGCCTCACTTCTTAGTCTTCTTATTACTGATTTAAATTTAAGAACAAAAGAAAAATGACTGAAGTAAATATTGAGGTACATATTTAATATGGTTTTGATGTTTGTCCCTTTCAAATCTCATGCTGAAATGTTATCCCCAACATTGGAAGTAGGACTGAGTGGGAGATATTGGATCATTGTGACAAATCCTTCATGAGTGGCTTAGAGCCATCTCCATGGTGATGAGTGAGTTCTTATACAGTTCAGTTAATTCACCTGAAATCTGGTTGTTTAAGAGTCTTAGAGCCCCTTTTCTCTCTCTTGCTCCCACTCTTGCCTTTTGACATGTCTGCTGTGCTTCATCTTCTGATTGGAAGCTTTCTGAGGCCTCACCAGAAGCAGGTGCCAGCACCATGCTTCTTTCACAGGCTGAAGAACTATGAGCCAATTAAACCTCTTTTCTTTATAAATTACCCAACCTCAGGTATTTATGTCAATGCAAATGGACTAACACAATATTGTTCCCTTTTAACACTATTCTGAAAGATTCGTTAACAGACTGAAAGAAGATTTTTCTGCTTATGTCATTATGGAATATGCATTTTAGTAGGCCAAATGTATTTATAAGGTGTTAGAGAAGAAATATATTATTTGGAAAAAATTTAATTTTGCTTGAGCTTCTGGATGACATTTTGGGACTGGTAAGACCCTTGTAACAGAAACTGCACTTATATATCTTACCATCTTCAATAAGTGGCAAAATGCCACACACTAGTAGGTGCTCAAAAATAAAATAAAAGGTAAATAATTAGTAATATAATTAAATCGTTACCTAATTTTTATATTTCTAGTAAGTAACCACATTCCAAAATACTATTTCAGGGATCTATAAAAGTCATAGAACATAAATCTAAAACTCATATTTATAATTAGAGAAAAATCCCTGCAGCCTGAAATAGTTCTTTCAGGATATAAGTAGTTGATTTGCCTAAGAGTAGACCTGTGTTGTGAAGCACAACTCCTGGCTGAGGTGGGAGGTAAAAACAGAGACAGCATCTTTGAAATAAGTTAGCATTCCCTAAGGATTGCCTGAGAAAATGAACATAGGACCTAATAAAATGCATGGCCTCTTATAGCTAATTAGGATACAGCCATGGGCTACTGTAACAAAAAATAGATGGAAAGTGCAATGGTAATTAGTAAGGCTGAAGGGTGAGGTTTTAAAAATATATTGGTTAAAAGATGCAAAAAATTAAGTTAGAAATAAAGAGATTTATTGTACAACAGGCTAACTATAGTTACAAACAATATATTGTATACTTGGAAATTGCTAAGAGAGTAGATTATAAATACTTTCAGTACAAAAAATAAGTATGCAAGGTAATACATATGTTAGTTAGCTTTATTTAACCATTCCACATGTATATGTGCATCCAAATATCATATGCACCACAAATATAGACAATTTTATATGTAAATTTAAAAACAAATATAAATCAAAATGTTACATTGCTGGATAGAATAATTATAAAACAATATACTATAAAAGTATACCTCTTTGAAAATGATATAATCAGGAGAGAATATGTCAAAACATTTTCTTGTGTATTTTAAAATTCTATGTTATATAAAGAATTATAGAACAATCTTAGAGAAGATGAGGATGATGTTAAATAAATAACACACAATTACTACGTGCCAGAAACAGCTCTAAATATTTTCACCTATACTTTCTCATCGAATCCTCATAGAAACTTCATAAGGTAAATACTATTATCTCCCATTTTACAGAGGAGGAAGCAAAGACACAGTTAAAAATATACACAATGTCACAGATATTGGTAATGGTGAATGTCAGTATCTACTAAAACTGTGTCTACTAAAGGCAATATTTCCTGCAGCTATTTCACGCTCAAATATATACAATACATACATACACAATATATGATAAAGCAAAATAACAATGTCACACAGCAATGAAGGAGAAGCAACTGTTGTTACATGCAATAACATGGATTTGTTAAAGCTGGTCAGTGGGTACAAAAACTTTTCTTATGAAATTGCCTATATTTTTGTATGTTTTCTTTATTATAAGTGATATTAGACATCACTTAAATCACTTTAAATTGACAGACTAAGTACTAATACCTTTTCTTTTTCTTTGACTTTAAATCTTCCTATCAATTCTATCAGTTCTCTTTCATGTTCTCAAATTCTCAAAAATGTTTTGGAAGGTCTTTCATCTATGTAACTTATTCATAGGTGAATATTTACATAGCCAATAAACAACAAGAAATATTTCTAGGTAGAATGTTATAATATGTGTTTTTTTTTTATTGTGTCACATTGTTTTCCATGGATGTTGTACCATCCAACAGTAAAGCATGTGGGTAGACTGTGCTATACAGTAATGTATGAGAGAACTTAATTCCCAAATTAATGTGCTACCAAAAAATTAGATCTTTGGCTATGCTAATGGTTGAAAGTATTTCAGTTTAATTTTAATGTGTATTTCTCTCTTATAAGTGAAATGGAATATCATCATATATGAGAACCTCTTGTTTTCCTTGTAAGTTTACTACTTAAATTAATTTTCAATTGGACATTCACACATTGACCTATTTGTTTATCATTTAATAAAATTATCTATTTTAGTATATTGTGAATATTTTTCCAGTTTTTGTCTTTTAAGTATTGTGCATAATTTTTTAAGTTTTAAAAACTTACATATTGAGCTTTTTGATCTTAGACTTTCTGAAATTTTTATTTTATTTTAAATAAACGGACAAATTCCATTATATATTTTTATAACATACAACAGGATGTTCTGAAGTATTATATACATTGTGAATTGGTGAAATCTAGCTAATTAAAAATGCATTACTTCAAATAGCTATCAGTGGATGAATGGATAAAGAAAATGTAGTATAAATATACAGTAGAATCCTATTCAGTCATAAACAAAGAATAAAATTCTGGCATTTACTGCTACATGAATGAACCTGAAGAACTTTAGGTTTAATGAAACAAGCCAGGCATGAAAGAAAACTACCAAAGACCTATAAAGAAGTTGATCTCGGAGGACAGGCCAAGATGGCAGAGTAGAAACAGCTCCGGTCTGCAGCTCACAGTGAGACAAACATGATAAACAAAGTGATTTCTGCATTTCCAACTAAGGTACCCAGTTCACGTCACTGTGATTGACTAGGCAGTTGGCGAAACACACAGAGAGCAAGGAAAAGCAGGGTAGGGTGACAGTTCACCTGGGAGCTGCACAGGGCAAAGGGACCTCCCTCTCCCAGCCAATGGAGGCAGTGCGGGACTGGGCTCCCTGCCCGGGTACTGCATTTTTCCCCATGAATTTTTGCAATCCATGAATCAGGATATTTCCTTGTAAGTTTACACCACCAGGGCCTTGGGTCTCAAGCACAAAATTGAGCAAACCCATGACAGCTGTTCTGGTTATTCCTGCAGGGGCTGAGCTGCAGGAGTTTTTTTTTTTTTTTTTTTTTTTAAATTTCTTTTTTACTACAATTATACTTTAAGTTCTAGGGTACATGTGCACAATGTGCAGGTTTGTTACATATGTATACATATGCCATATTGGTGTGCTGCAGCCATTAACTCGTCATTTACATTAGGTATATCTCCTAATGCTATCCCTCCCCACTCCCCCCACCCCACGACAGGCCCTAGTGTGTGATGTTCCTCTTCCTGTGTCCAAGTGTTCTCGTTGTTCAATTCCTACCTATGAGTGAGAACATATGGTGTTTGGTTTTTTGTCCTTGCGACAGTTTGCTCAGAATGATGGTTTCCAGCTTCATCCATGTCCCTACAAAGGACATGAACTCATCCTTTTTTATGGCTGCATAGTATTTCATGGTGTATATGTGCCACATTTTCTGAATCCAGTCTATCATTGATGGACATTTGGGTTGGTTCCAAGTCTTTGCTATTGTGAATAGTGCCGCAATAAACATACGTGTGCATATGTCTTTATAACAGCATGATTTATAATCCTTTGGGTATATACCCAGTAATGGGATGGCTGGATCAAATGGTATTTCTAGTTCTAGATCTTTGAAGAATCGCCACACTGACTTCCACAATGGTTGAACTAGTTTACAGTCCCACCAACAGTGTAAAAGTGTTCCTATTTCTCCACATCCTCTCCAGCATCTGTTGTTTCCTGACTTCTTAATTATTGCTATGCTAACAGGTGTGAGATGGTATCTAATTGTAGTTTTGATTTGCATTTCTCTGATGGCCAGTGATGATGAGCATTTTTTCATGTGTCTGTTGGCTGCATAAATGTCTTCTTTTGAGAAGTGTCTTTTCATATCCTTCACCCACTTTTTGATGGGGTTGTTTGTTTTTTTTCTTGTAAATTTGTTTGAGTTCTTTGTAGATTCTGCATATTAGCCCTTTGTCAGATGGGTAGTTTGCAAAAATTTTCTCCCATTCTGTAGGTTGCCTATTCACTCTGATGGTAGTTTCTTTTGCAGTGCAGAAGCTCTTTAGTTTAATTAGATCCCATTTGTCAATTTTCACTTTTGTTGCCATTGCTTCTGGTGTTTTAGACATGAAGTCCTTGCCCATGCCTATGTCCTGAATGGTATTGCCTAGGTTTTCTTCTAGGGTTTTTATGGTTTTAGGTCTAACATGTAAGTCTTTAATCTATCTTGAATTAATTTTTGTATAAGGCATAAGGAAGGGATCCAGTTTCAGCTTTCTACATATGGCTAGGCAGTTTTCGAAGTAAAATTTACTAAATAGGGGATCCTTTCCCCATTTCTTGGTTTGGTCAGGTTTGTCAAAAAATCAGATGTTTGTAGATGTGTGGTATTATTTCTGAGGGCTCTGTTCTGTTCCATTGGTCTATATCTCTGTTTTGGTAGCAGTACCATGCTGTTTTGGTTACTGTAGCCTTGTAGTATAGTTTGAAGTCAGGTAGTGTGATGCCTCCAGCTTCCTTCTTTTGGCTTAGGATTGACTTGGCAATGCGGGCTCCTTTTTGGTTCCATATGAACTTTAAAGTAGTTTTTTCCAATTCTGTGAAGAAAGTCATTGGTAGCTTGATGGGGATGGCATTGAATATGTAAATTACCTTGGGCAATATGGCCATTTTCACGATATTGATTCTTCCTATCCATGAGCATGGAATTTTCTTCCATTTGTTTGTGTCCTCTTTTATTTCATGGAGCAGTGGTTTGTAGTTCTCCTTGAAGAGGTCCTTCACATCCCTTGTAAGTTGGATTCCAAGGTATTTTATTCTCTTTGAAGCAATTGTGAATGGGAGTTCACTCATGATTTGGCTCTCTGCTCGTCTTTTATTGTTGTATAAGAATGCTTGTGATTTTTGCACATTGATTTTGTGTCCGGAGACTTTGCTGAAGTTGCTTATCAGCTTATGGAGATTTTGGGCTGAGACGATGGAGTTTTCTAAATATACAATCATGTCATCTGCAAACAAGGACAATTTGACTTCCTCTTTTCTTAATTGAATACCCTTTATTTCTTTCTCCTGCCTGACTGCCCTGGCCAGAACTTCCAACACTATGTTGACTAGGAATGGTGAGACAGGGCATCCCTGTCTTTGCCAGTTTTCAAAGGGAATGCTTCCAGTTTTTGCCCATTCAGTATGGTATTGGATGTGGGTTTGTTGTAAATAGCTCTTATTATTTTGAGATACGTCCCATCAATACCTAATTTATTGAGAGTTTTTAGCATGAAGAGCTGTTGAATTTTGTCAAAGGCCTTTTCTGCATCTATTGAGGTAATCGTGGTTTTTGTCTTTGGTCCTTTTTATATGATGGATCTCTCAGCAGAAACTCTACAAGCCAGAAGAGAGTGGGGGCCAATATTCAACATTCTTAAAGAAAAGAATTTTCAACTCATAATTTCATACCCAGCCAAATTAAGCTTCATAAGTGAAGGAGAAATAAAATCCTTTACAGACAAGCAAATGCTGAGAGATTTTGTTACCACCAGGCCTGCCTTAGAAGAGCTCCTGAAGGAAGCACTAAAGATGGAAAGGAACAAACAGTACCAGCCACTCCAAAAACATGCCAAATTGTAAAGACCATTGATGCCAGGAAGAAACTATATCAACTAACAAGCAAAATAACCAGCTACCATCATAATGACAGGACCAAATTCACACATAAAAATATTAACCTTAAATGTAAATGGGCTAGGCTGGCAAATTGGATAAAGAGTCAAACTCATCAGTGTGCTGTATTCAGGAGACCCATCTCACTTGCAGAGACACACATAGGCTCAAAATAAAGGGATGAAGGAAGATCTACCAAGCAAATGGAAAACAAAAAAAAAGCAGGGGTTGCAATCCTAGTCTCTGATAAAACAGACTTTAAACCAACAAAGATCAGAAGAGACAAAGAAGGCCATTACATAACAGTAAAGAGATCAATTCAATAGGAAGAGGTAACTATCCTAAATATATATGCACCCAATACGGGAGCAACCAGATTCATAAAGCAAGTCCCTACAGACCTACAAAGAGATTTAGACTCCCACACAATAATAATGGGAGACTTTAATGCCCCACTGTCAACATTAGACAGATCCACAAGACAGAATGTTAACAAGGATATCTAGGAATTGAACTCAGCTCTGCACCAAGTGGACCTAATAGACATCTACAGAACTCTCCACCCCAAATCAACAGAACATACATTCTTCTCAGCACCACATCGTACTTATTCTAAAATTGACCACACAGTTGGAAGTAAAGCACTCCTCAGCAAATGTAAAAGAACAGAAATTATAACAAACTGTCTCTCATACCACAGTGCAATCAAACTAGAACTCAGGATTAAGAAACTCACTCAGAACCGCTCAACTACATGGAAACTGAACAACCTGCTCTTTTTTTTTTTTTTTTTTTTTTTGAGACGGAGTCTCGCTCTGTCGCCCAGGCTGGAGTGCAGTGGCGGGATCTCGGCTCACTGCAAGCTCCGCATCCGGGGTTCACGCCATTCTCCTGCCTCAGCCTCCCAAGTAGCTGGGACTACAGGCGCCCGCCACTACGCCCGGCTAATTTTTTTGTATTTTTAGTAGAGACGGGGTTTCACCGTTTTAGCCGGGATGGTCTCGATCTCCTGACCTTGTGATCCGCCCGCCTCGGCCTCCCAAAGTGCTGGGATTACAGGCGTGAGCCACCGCGCCCGGCCCAACAACCTGCTCTTGAATGACTACTGGGTACGTAATGAAATGAAGGCAGAAATAAAGATGTTCTTTGAAACCAATGAGAATGAAGACACAACATACCAGAATCTCTGGGACACATTTAATGCAGTGTGTAGAGGGAAATTTATAGTACTAAATGCCCACAAGAGAAAGCAGGAAAGATCTAAAATGGACACCCTAACATCACAATTAAAAGAACTAGAGAAGCAAGAGCAAACACATTCAAAAGCTAGCAGAAGGCAAGAAATAACTAAGATCAGAGCAGAACTGAAGGAGATAGAGACACAAAAAACCCTTGAAAAAATCAATGAATCCAGGAGCTTGTTTTTTGAAAACATCAACAAAATTGATAGACCACTACCAAGGCTAATAAAGAAGAAAAGAGAGAAGAATCAAATAGACACAATAAAAAATGATAAAGGGGATATCACCACTGATCCCACAGAGATAAAAACTACCATCAGAGAATACTATAAACACCTCTATGCAAATAAGCTAGAAAATCTAGAAGAAATGGATAAATTCCTGGACACATACACCCTCCCAAGACTAAACCAGGAAGAAGTTGAATTCCTGAATAGACCAATAACGGGCTCTGAAATTGAGGCAATAATTAATAGCCTATCAACCAAAAAAAGTCCAGGACCAGACGGATTCACAGCCAAATTCTACCAGAGGTACAAAGAGGGGCTGGTACCATTCCTTCTGAAACTATTCCAATCAATAGAAAAAGAGGGAATCCTCCCTAACTCATTTTATGAGGCCAGCATCATCCTGATACCAAAGCCTGACAGAGACGCAACAACAAAAAAAGAGAATTTTAGACCAATATTCCTGATGAACATCGATGCAAAAATCCTCAATAAAATACTGGCAAACTGAATCCAGCAGCATATCAAAAAGCTTATCCACCATGATCAAGTGGGCTTCATCCCTGGGATGCAAGGCTGGATCAACATACGCAAATCAATAAACGTAATCCATTACATAAGCTGCAGGAGTTTTCACAGACTCTGGTGGCACCCGGAGCTCCAGTGAGGCAGGAGAACTATCCACTCCAGTGGAATAGGGGCTGAAGCCAGGGAGCCAACAGCCTTGCTGACTCCCACAGAACCCCGCAAACTAACACCCCTGGCTTGGAATCTCCGCTGGCCAGCACAGCAGCCTGGAGTCTGCCTAAAACAACAAAGTTCCCAGGCGGGAGGGGCAACCGCCATTACTGTGGATCTAGTTGGTGGTTCTCCCCATCCAGTGCTAGGGATGATGGTCAGTTTCGACTGGGTGGTATTCCGCACATCACAGCACAGGGGCTGTGACAGGTCATGGCCAGACTGCTTCTTTAGGTGGGACCCAGATCCATCCCTCTCACCAGGCAAGGCCTCCCTATGGGAATTCCAGCAATGCCAGCCAGGGGCATAGAGACATAACTCTTATCTCCCTGGGACAGAGCACCTAGGGAGAGGGCTGGCTGTGGTCTTGGGTTCAGTGAACTTAATCTTTCCTGCTTGCTGGCTCTGAAGAGTCCAGGCAATCCAGATGAGGGGGATTCCCCCAGCACAGTGCACCAGCTCTGCTAAGGGACAGTCAGACTGCTTCCTTAAGCGGGTCCCTGACCTGGGTGCCTCCTGACTGGGTGAGACCTCCCAACAGCGGTTGCCAGACACCTCATACTGGAGAGTTCCATCTGGCATCAAGTTGGTGCCCTGCTGGGACAAAGCTTCTAGAGGAAGGAGCAGGCAGCAATCCTCGCTGTTCTGCAGCCTGGTGATCCCCAGATAAACAGCATCTGGAATCAACCACAAGAAAACTGCAGCAGACCTGCAGAAGAGGGGCCTGACCATTAGAAGAAAAACAGACAAACAGAAATCAACAACAACAACAACATCAACAAAAAAGACCCCACAAAAACCCTATCCAAAGGTCAACAGCCTCAAAGATCAAAGGCAGATAAATCCATGAAGATGAGGAAAATCCAGTGCAAAAATGTTGAAAATACCAAATGCCAGAATGCCTCTTCCCCTCCAAATGATTTCAGTACTTCTCCAGCAAGGGCATAGAACAGGGCTGAAACTGAGATGGATAAACTGACAGAAGTAGGCTTCAGAAAATGGGTAATAAGGAATTCACTGAGCTAAAGGGTTACTTTCTAACCCAATGCAAAAAAAAGCTAAGAACCATAATAAAATATAGGGGCCGTTAACTAGAACAACCGGTTTAGAGAGGAGCATAAATGACCTGATTGAGCTGAAAAACACAGCACAAGAACTTCATGATGCAAACACTAGTATCAATAGCTGAATCAACCAAGTGGAAGAGAGAATATTAGAACTTGAAGACTATCTTGCTGAAATAAGGCAGGGAGATAAGATTAGAGTAATGAGGATGAAAAAGAATGAATAAAACTCCAAGAACTATGGGACTATGTAAAAAAAAACCATAGTTACAACTGATTGTAGAACCTGAAAGAGTTAGGGAGAGTGGAATCAAGTTGTAAAACACACTTCAGGGTATCATCCAGAACCTCTGCAACCTAGTGAGAAAGGCCAACATTCAAATTAAGACATTCCAGAGAACCCCTTAAGATACTCCCCAAGAACATCTACCCCAAGACACAAAATCATCAGATTCTCCAAGGTTGAAATGAGGGAAAAAAAAGTTAAGGGCAATCAGAGAGAAAGGCCTAATCATCTACAAAGGGAAGCTTATCAGACTAACAGTGGACCTTTCAGTGGAAACCCTGCAAGCCAGAAGAGTTTGGGGGCCAATATTTAACATTCTTAAAAGAATTTCCAGCTCAGAATTTTATATCTGGCCAAACTAAGGTTCATAAGCGAAGGAGAAATAAAATCATTTTCAGACAAGCATATGCTGAGGGATTTCATCACCACCAGGCCTGCTTTGCCAGAGCCCTTGAAGGAAGCACTAAACATGGAAAGGAAAAACCATTCCCAGAAAGGAAAAACCTTTCCCAGCTACTACAAAAACACAATGAAGTACACAGACCAATGACACTACGAAGCAACCACATAAACAACCTGGAAGCCATTATCCTCAGCAAACTAATGCAGGAACAGAAAACCAAACGCTGCGTGTTCTCACTTATAAGGGGGAGCTGAACAGTGAGAACACGTGGACACCGGGAGGGGAGCAACACACATTGGGGCCTCTCATGGGAGGGCAGAGGGACAGAGATAATTAGGGAAAAGAGCTAATGCATGCTAGGCTTAATACCTAGGTGACGGGTTGATAGGTGCAGCAAACCACCATGGCACACGTTTACCTGTGTAACAAATCTACACATCCTGCACATGTACCCTGCAATGAAAAAAAAAAAAAGTTGATCTCATAAAATAAAAGAGTAAGATGGTGGTTACTAGAAGCTGGGGTTTTCAAGGGCAAATAAGTTGGTGTGAATTTGGTTAATGGAATTTTTATTCATTTTTGTCATAGAAAAGACTCACTAATTCTGAAATTAATTTTCCCATGGCTCCTTAAAAAAAAATCCTCACCTTTCTTCTTCTCTTTCTCCTACTTTACTTCTCCTCCTTTTGTTCCCCCTCATCTTTCTTCTCTTTCCTCCTCCTCCTCCTCCTCCTCTTCTTTTTCCCCCTTCTGGCTCCTCTTCTGGCTCTTCTTCCTCATCCTCCTTCTTTATTTTCTCTTTCTCTCATTTATTTATTTATTTATTTTTAAAATACACTGCTTTAGTTTAATTAGAATGTGTCTTAGTTGGGGTTCATGCATAGATCCACATTTTTTTTTTTGTTAGATGAATACTTAGATGAGCTTACATCATTTTTTAACATCCTATCATTTTCTAGTGATCATAAACATGGGAAACACTTCATTAGATATTAAATGTGTTCATGCATCTGCAGATACTTTAAAACTTTCATTTGCAGTTATTTTGCCATCTGTTCATATACCAATACCATATGATTTATTTTTATGGCATCATAATATATTTTGTTGTCTGTTAGCAGTACTGTTGCTTTATTATTCTTAATTTTCAAAATTTCTTTGGGTATTTTCCCTGTAAAATGTAGAATCAGCTTTGCTAGTTAAAAATTCCTTTTGTCATCTGTATTAAGAGTACATTAGATATATTAATTAACATAAGAATAATTGGCATTTTGTGACTTTAAATATTTTTGTCTATCAATCTATTTTTTGTTTGCCTTTGTTCATCTCAACTTAGGGAAATTTTAAGTGTTAAAAGTGATTGAAATAATGTATAATTCTAGTTATATTTATTAATATGTCTTTCATGCTTTTTGTTGTTTTACTGTTATAAATCAACGTATCTTCTAACTGGTGATTATTTCTATATGAAGAAGTTATTGATTCCTGAATATTATTTTTTTTTAACCAGCCAGTTTCCTATAGCCTCCTGCTTTTTCTTGTAGTGTTATACTTAATCTCCTTGGATTTTCTAATCATCAAGAAATTATCATTAAATAATTTTTATAACTCTTCTTTTCCAATTTTTATATCTCTAAGTTCCCTTCCCAGTGATACTAGCTGTGACTTCCAAGACATTGTTGAATAATAATGACAATGACCAAAAATAAATCTAAATTCTGAACTCAATAACACTGCTCCTAGTATTTCTGCTTAAAAATCATTCTAGCATTTCTTTTGTTAAACTAAACACGGTTTTTATTGTTAAAAAGTATCCTTATGTTATTACTTTATTTAGGATTTTCTTATTATTAACATAATTATGAACATTATCACAAGTCTTTTGCATTATAGAGAGAGATCAGTATGTGCTCTTTTTGTCTTCTCAGATTATTTGCCATGTCAGGTTTTCTGATGACTCATTACTTATTGATGTCCTTGTTTGAGCAAATTCCCATTTTTGTGATATCTATGTCCCACAATGTTAACATCTAAAAAATGCAGTCATTTAGTGTGGACCCATTATAGGCCTAGATCTAGGACTAGGTCATGGACCATGGATTCAGCAATACACTTAGTCCTAGAGACTTTCATTCAGAGTATTTAGAATTTCTATGGAATTCATTTTGCCAGCAAATACGCCCAGATTTCAGTAACAACAGAAGCAAAAGGTTGAATTGTAACACTCAAGTTGCATTGGTGGGGCAGTGTCAGTGAGGGGGTGATAATGCCTTTGTCGAGTGATTGAGTGACTTCAGTGGTTGCGATTATCTTCTCAAGAAGCCAAATTGATAGCATTGTTTTGAACATTGTAGTTGGAAGCTTAACTTCCTGTTTAATTTGCTAGAACCTATATGTTTTTATTAAAATTAATTACCTAAAACCTCTATGAAATGGGGGAAGATATAAATAAAAGAAGGTGACCCTCAGGGTACTGTTGGACATCTGGGAATGGCTTTATTAAAATAAAAAAACCATAGACAAATTTAATTTAACAGAATTTAATTGAGCAAACAATAATTCATGAATCAATTAGTCCATAGAACAAGAAAAGGTTCAAAAAGCTGTGCTGCACAGCTGTGGGCAAGAAGCATTTATAGACAAAAAATGGAAGTGAACTACATAAAAAGCTTGATTGGTTACAGTTCAGAGTTTTCCTTATTTGGACTTGGTCTGCTCAGTTGGTAGCTTGTGATTGGCTGAAGCTCAGATGTTGTGAAGCTCAGATGTTGTAATAAATATTTATTACAAAATTATGCTCTTGTTAGATTGTAGTGGTTTTCATACTAAGGTCGAAGTTTACTATGGAGGAATTCAAGGTTCTGAGGTAAACTTAGGCAAAATTTAATTTATTTTAACAGTTTTCCGGCCTGGTTGGAATTCTGTCATTTAACAGTATAATTAAAATATGTAACTCATGGCAGCCTATGGCATGCTTTGGCTAAGTAACTAAATTACCATGTGTGGATAACTGGAATAAAGTTCAAGTGACAACATTTTAATAGAAAAAATATATATTAAAAAAACATGAAAAATCGAAGCAATGTATAATGAGCTGTTTCCTTTATTTATACTGGTCATCTTAAAGAGAATAAAAAGCTTAGAGTGCTAACTTTTTAAGTTCCAAGTAAAAGACAACAAGTCATATCATTTCTGTGACTGAATTTAAAGAATTTCTCATCAATTACATTTTTAGGGATAATATACCTAAAAGCTTGAATTAAAATTTGGTCCTGTGGGTTTATGAATTACAACATTCACTGATCTCTCGGCCTCAGTATAGTTAAATGTAAGGGTTATAAAACTAGACTATTTTGGTTCAGGTTCTAGTTCAGCTATTTCTAGCTTTGTAATTTGGGGCAAATTTCCATCTCTGTAATGCAATTTTCTCATTTAAATAATAATGCCTGCTTTATAAGGTATTGTGAGGAGTAAATTTGTTAATATATGTGAATGCTCAAAACAGTCTCTGAAATGTACTTAAGTTTCATCATTATGAATTATAAAAGTTATCTCATGCTAAATTTAAATACTTAATAAGGTGTATGAAGGGATATGAACATGACAATAAAAGTGGTTGCAAGAGGAGGTAACAAGATTGCTGAAGTTTTCCCTAAACTCTGACCACATACATCCCTAGTCTACAGATGCAACCTCTCTTCCACACGGTCTCAGGAGGCCATTTCTGCCTTGCTAGGAAACTATAAAAACCTCTAGAGCTGTCAGTTCTTCTCATGAACACCTCCACTAACTTTAAATTTATCATTTTATCCAGATCTATAATGGGACTAAGAATCTAGCATCCCCCAGGGGGCCAATTATAAAGTTACCCTGGGAGAAAAAAATGAAAGCATTGGAAAGCTTTGCTAATTTATATTGGAAAAAATCCATGAATGATATTTGTGAGTATAGATTCTGAGAGTATTTGACCAAGTACAAAGAAATGTAATTTTAGTAAGGTGATTTTTAAAGAGCACATTGATTAAAGATTGTGGATTTAATATTCTAACTAGATAAAACAGAAATAGTTCTAGTTGTTTGTTGACTAAGTTTTGGACTCAGAGTTCTCTCTCACGAAATAAGGATAAAATGCTGGAAATGTCTTGGTCTAATGTAGCGGAAGAAATGGAAAAAAATGATACTTATGAATGTTTAAGTTGATTTAAGATGTGCAATTTACTTTCACTGAGTTCCTCTCTGATGTCCCCAGAGATGATTCATAAGCATCATGAAAGCATCAGGAACTGCATTTTTGATGAGAATGAAACCATTGTTGAAATATATTCTGGTGATGTTTCTCTTAAAGTCAGAGATGTTGCTATCAGATTCTACTATTTAAATGGACTCCCTTAATTTCGTTTGGGATGATGTAACCACAGGGTCCACAGCAGCCAAACTTCCCTTAAATGTGAAAATGATTAACTGACTATGCAGTTCCTGGTACTGAAGAATCACTAAAATCCAAGTTGGATTGTAAAAGGGTAAAGAGTTATACAAAATGACCAGGCACAGTGGCTCATGCCTGTAATCCCAGCAATTTAAGAGGCTGAGGAGGGCAGATCATAGGTCAGGAGATCAAGACCGTCCTGCCTAACATGGTGAAACCCCATCTCCACTAAAAATACAAAAATTAGCCGGGCGTGGTGGCACCGCCTGTAGTCCCAGCTACTTGGGAAGCTGAGGCAGAATAATCGCTGGAATCTGGGAGGCAAAGGTTGCAGTGAGCCAAGATCGTGCCACTGCACTCCAGCCTGGGCACAGAGCCAGACTTCGTCTCAAAAAACTAAAAAATAAATAAATAAATAAATAAATTAAATAAATAAAAATAAACACAATAAAAAAGACATACAAAATAAAACAAAAATTACAGATATGACAAGCACAGTGCAATCTTAAATCAATATGATGGAAACTTTAAGCATCTCACTCAGTTCTTAGAAATGAACTGGAAATAAAGCATCTCACCCACTTCTTAGAAATGAACTCACCCAGTTCACAATCACAGGTCTTCTTTATGAAGTAGCATCTAGGAGACTGACAAAAACAAAAGATTCAATAATCATATCATAAGTGCATATTATACATACTTATTTTTGCCTTTCCCAAAGATACCTGTCAAATGTACACCATGATAATTGTTAGAAATTTCAGGGTTTGTTTGCCATAGATCCAAGTGAATGCAAATTCCTGGGGACACATTATGTTTCATGGGTCAGGGTAAAGAGTTAGCATGTAATGATTGAGTCTTCATTCACGATTGCCACACAGTTGGTTCATAG
Organism: Homo sapiens; assembly: GCF_000001405.40. Lineage (NCBI taxonomy): Eukaryota > Metazoa > Chordata > Mammalia > Primates > Hominidae > Homo > Homo sapiens. The sequence continues at coordinate 43,335,550 of NC_000014.9, read as the reverse complement.
GAACTCAGATTCATCCTTTCATTAGTTTCTCTGTTCATGAATACAGAATTTTAACACTTCACTTAGTAGTTGGTATATTGTTCATATTAGCTTTCTGATTTATGAAATAAGGGCTACTGTGCAAGAAAAGATCTTATGCTATGTACGTTACTTGATCCCTAGAAGATCTCCACTTAGTTTACTTTTACACTGTGTAGAATAGTGATATAACTTGGGAAATAACAGTGGATTATAATTCATTTAATCAAGTGATGTTTAGCTGAAGCTTCTATTCTGGATGTATTCTTTATTGCAGCCAATCAACACAACTCATGGTATTTTATTTATTGTTCATGAAGTTGCCTTATAGATCTGTACCCAAATAAAGTAAGAATGAGATTGATGGATTAATATTTTAGAAACTGAAGCGTGTATAAACTAGGGGACATGTTATTTTATTTTATTTTATTTTTGAGATGGAGTCTCACTCTGTCGCCCAGGCTGGAGTGCAGTGGTGCGATCTTCGCTCACTGCAAGCCTCTGCCTCCCAGGTTCATGCCATTCTCCTGCCTCAGCCTCCTGAGTAGCTGGGACTACAGGCGCCTGCCACCAGGCCCGGGTAATCTTTTTGTATTTTTAATAGAGACGGGGTTTCACCGTGTTAGCCAGGATGGTCTTGATCTCCTAACCTTGTGATCCGCACGCCTTGGCCTCTCAAAGTGCTCGGATTACAGGCGTGAGCCACCAGGCCCAGCCTGTTTTTGTTTGTTTGTTTGTTTGTTTTTTGAGACGGAGTCTCACTGTTTTGCCCAGGCTGGAGTGCAGTGGCGCAATCTCGGCTCACTCCAAGCTCCGCCTCCCAGGTTCATGCCATTCTCCTGCCTCAGACTCCCGAGTAGCTGGGATTACAAGTGCCCGCCACCATGCTCGGCTAATTTTTGTGTTTTTAGTAGAGACGGGGTTTCACCCTCTTAGCCAGGATGGTCTTGATCTCCTGACCTCGTGATCCGCCCACCTCGGCCTCCCCAAGTGTTGGGATTATAGGTGTGAGCCACTGCGCCAGGCTGACAAACACACACAGTTTGTCTCTCAGGTAGGGCTAGGTAGGGAGCTTTCCAAATTAGAGGTCCTGAAATTTAAACTACATTAGCCTCATGAGTAATCTGTTTCAGAGTACATCATCACAACTCTTCTTTAAAATGCTACAAACGCTGATAAGCTATATCGAAATTTAGTCTAAAAGGACCTTTCTAATCTGAATATTCAATAAAACATGATGGTGGTCTAGTAAAAGTTCACTTGATTCCACTTTTCTTGATAGGTCCTGAAGAAAATGAAGTTGATGTTTCAGTGAGACACCTGTATGCCAGAGAGTAAAAGGTAATTCCCAAGCAAATATTGTGTTTTGGTTTGACATCTTATTTAAATTCTGGAATTCTGTGGTCTATGCATTTTAAGTATTCCCTCTAGAGGACATTTTAACACAACTATAGATACAAAGTTACTATGAATAGTAGGCATGAGTAAAGAGAAAAACAACAAACTTTTCTCTTCTTCCATCCATTTTGAACACATATTTAAAGGATGGATATGGTAATTACCCTGATTTAATTATTGTATAATGTACACATGCATTGCAACACTGTACTCCATAAATACGTATAATTATAGGTCAATAATTTAAAGTGATAAAACATACACACTATCAGGAAAAACACATAAACCTTGAATTTGCCTTCTAGTTGCTAGCAATCTGATAAAGGTAGAATGTCAGCTGTGTTCTCAGGCAACATTGGTTTTAGCAGGAAAAATAAAACAACAATAACAACACTGATTACTAAGCCACTTCTGGACTGGAGATACTATTAAAAAAGAATCACACCATAAAAACCTGGGTAAAGCCATAGCTTTGGATTTTCCTGAGCTTGGTAAATCTTGTAGTTGAGCATGCTCCTTTTTTGGTAACCTGGAAGCTGTTGTGAAACTGCTAGAAGAGATATTGATTCCTGTATGAAGCTTGGGGCCTCTCAAGAGCTCAGAGATACATGCTTGCCTTAGGATTTTTGTTTTAGCTGGTTTCATTGCCAGGATGCTTTTCTTGTGGTTATTTGCTTGGCAAATTCACTAATTCTCTTGACATCTGCATGCAAATCTTGCCTTAATGATACTTCAATCACACTGCCAGCTCCTCATCCTTATCCTGATATACTGACTCTTCCATTTTACTTTGGATATTCTTATATAATATAATATATAAATACAATAACAATTTATGTGATTAGCATGTTTACTTTTCTATCCAGTCCACCTTCCTTCCATCATATAAAGTCCATGACAATAGGGGTATTTGTCTGTTTTGTTTCCTAATATAACACATTTCTCAAATAGTGCCTATCATACATTAGCTTCTCAAAAGTTTTATAATAAATAACATATTTGTTGACAGAATGAAATTCAATTTGTCCTGAGCTCATTCTGTCACATTGTTTTTTCTGTCTCTGTCATTTTACTATTTTTTCTTAAGTTCTTATATTTCTATTTTGTTCTATTGATTCATAGAGGTGATTACTGCATTCAGTATATTATTTTATTTGCATTTCACCAAGATGTAACAAAACATTTCTAATAACTGCTTTGTTGTCTAATTAAAAAGATGTTTATTTTCCTTGTAGTATCTTTGCACTGTCTTTCATTTTTTAGGTTATCTGTTTGTAGGAGTTTCATGTTGGAAAACGCTTAGTTCCAGATGCTAGTTACTTATAATTTTTTTCTTTTGCTCCTTGGTTTTGAGGGTAAATTTGTTTATTCCTAGTTCTCACTTGTTCTAGAGGATAACAACTCTTCATTCCCTCCTGATGTAGAGATGGCTTCATCCTGAATATATGACCTGCTTGTATGATTCCTTTATTTGCCATTTCTGGGAAGAAAACTGGTTCCAGAGAAGCCATGCTCACTATATGCTATGCTTTTTCATTACTAAATAAAAGAGATTTACTGGAGGCATGGCCAAATCAAGGAGCCTATTTTCTCGCGACTTCTGAGACTAATTGCCCTAGTCTTTTCAAGTTCTTAGAGCAATTACTAATATTTGAGCCCCATTGCATCGGGCTGCAGTTTTACCTAATTTTTAATGTGTTTTTCAGGGGTTGTTTAGCTGTGTCATAATTTTTCTAAAAATGCAAGTTGCGTTTCAATTTCTCAGCTTTCTTGTCATCTTTATGTAATTTCCAATAGAGGAAAAGGAAATGCTGCCTTCTTCAAATCATAGTTTATCTAATTTTTGTGTTGATAAATGTAATGCATTTAATCTCTACCTTTTAACTCTTTTTTAAACCACATTTAATCATTTTTACCTAAGTACTGCTTTGGTATCATTAATAATATTGATATATGACAAACTGATTTAAAGTCATTTCAAAAGTTTATTAATTTTCCATTTTCTTCACTTACAAGTTACACAAACTTGGTGGCTTAAATAATACACATTTATTATCTCACAGATCTGGAGGTCAGAAACCCAACAGCTTTCTCACCAAGTTGAGAGCAAAGAATCTACAAAGCTATGTTTCTTTCTGGAGGCTGTAGGGGAGATTCTATTTCATTGCTTTCTTTGGTTTTGAGAAGCTGTCCACATCCATTGGCTTTTGGCTCCTTTTTCCATTTCAAAACCAGACAAACATCTTTCTGACTTCCTTTCATTTTTACCTGTCTTTCACTGATTCTCACTTCTCTTGTGCCTCTCTTCCACTTTTACCTGTTATGACGGCATTGAGGCCACATAGATAATTCAGGATAATCTCTGTATTTTCAATTGTTTGGAAAAAATTCCACCTGCAAACTTAATTCTGCATTGCATATAAATTAATAAATTCACAAAGCTTCAAGCATTAGGACTTGGGCATCTTCTTGGAGAGGGGACAAGAAAGCTGTTTATCTTAACTACAAAAGTTTCTTGTTTTAATTGAAATTTGCATATTATGCATGCCTTTCTTCAGGCATGAACTTCCTGATTTGTGAGCATACACAGTAGTGTTTATTTTTAATTGTTCTAATATTAAACATCCAACTGAAAATGACCCATATATTCATTTTAAGTTAGAAAGTGGTCATTTTTTGTGAAAATTACTTGATACCTTAGAAGTAATACATATCCTCTATGTAAAAGATACATAGTTTTCTATATGTTCATAAAATAAATCCATGTATTTTTCCGCTTAAATCCTCTATTTTTTTAAATAATATGTTAGCCTCTTTATCTCACAGATACTTAGTTTATGTTGAAAATTTAATCTTCTATCTTTTTAGTATCATCTAATATTTTTTAGTGTTTCTTACACAATATTTTATATTTATATAACTCAATTTTTAACATTTTTATTAATTACTTGCTCAAAATTTGTGGCAGAGATTAATGATTGCTCTACAGATCTAGTATGTCTTTTATACAGCAATACAATTCCTACATTGTGGTTGGGCATATGGTCAGCTGGAATGTAGACTACATGTGGCCACATAGCCTGTAGGTAGTTGTGATCTTACCTATATACTCTACCCAGTGGGATATGAGGATTGTATCTTTAATGGAAGAAGAACGGCAAATGCCTCTTCTTCCTTTTCTTATTCTGCTACTTGGAACATTGATGTGATATCTAGAAAACTGTTTTGTATAATGATAATCAGAGCCATATACTAGTCCAAGAGATTGAAAAACTAGAAGTACCCTAGTTCTCAGAAGCCATGCAACTATAATACTAAACTTGATCTGCCTGTAGTTGCACTGTGGAGATCCATAAGGTCATGGAAAGGTCATTTCTGAGCTCCTGTCTCAGAACTGATTGAAGATTTCTCTACCTCAACCATTACTGGTTGAAATGCGTCTATGTTCCGCTAATGCGCTAATATTAGGACTAGTAGAAGACTTTGAGGCATGCTCCTTGAATCTAAAATTTAAGAAAGTGCCAAAAACTCAGTACTCCAGAAAAATATTTAATGCAGCATTGCAAAACTTAAAGTTAATGCAAAATATTTATGAAGAAAATATAAAAATTGTAAATAATGGCAGGGTATTGTTTACTTGTTTTAGTACCTGCAATTATTGCGCATTGGAACAGTCTGTCCATTAGTCTCATAATTCTAAATTTATAAGGGCTGACGGTGACTAGAGAATGGATTGAGCAACAAGGGACTTTATATGTAATAATGTTTTCTTTTTCTTTTTCTTTTTTTTTGAGACGGCGTCTTGCTCTGTCGCGCAGGCTGGAGTGCAGTGGTGCAATCTTGGCTCGCTGCAACCTCTGCCTCCCGGGTTCAAGCGATTCTCCTGCCTCAGCCTCCTGAGTAGCTGGGACTACAGGCACGCACCACCACACCTGGCTAATTTTTTGTATTTTTTAGTAGTGACGGGGTTTCACCATATTGGCCAGGTTGGTCTCGAACTCCTGACCTCATGATCTACCCGCCTCACCCTCCTAAAGTGCTGGGATTGCAGGCGTGAGCCACCACACCCGGCCTAATAATGTTTTTTAATTGTTAGATATTAATTCACTTTTTCATCTGGTCCAAAATATAGGACAACGTTTTGCTAAGTGCACATATGGGCACACATTTTCCTTTTGCCTCAGGTTCTAATGTAGCACTGCAGGACACGGTCCTTCAGCCCCACCCCAGGCCTGCGGGAGTATGGGGCTTTGCGATATCTGCTTGGTTTTTGGTCCTCTTTCAGAAATGGGAACTTTTTTTTCATCTCACTCCCCACCACTTGTTTTCAAATAGTGAGATGAGGTTTTATTCCTCATTCTCATTAAATTCCTGCATGCCTTTGCTTCTAGAATGACAGCAAAGCAGACATGGCTTCAGCTCTAATCAATGTGAGGTGTTCTGATTCCGCATATTATCTGGGATTGTTCATGTTATATTGTGCCCATGTCTGTCTTTTTATTTTTGTGTATTTTGTTAATCATTTATTTGTGTTTAGAAGAGAAGGGGTGCATAAAAAGTGAGGACTTTCTGAGTTACTTTGATCAATGTTCCATATTTCAAGCGAAGGGTGAAACTAAAGTCTAGAGAGATGACTTTTATAATGAATCAGCCATTGATGATGCTATGTCACATCTGGTACTTGAATATGTGCTTTTCTTTAAGGCTTCTACTGGAGAATTACTTAGAACTAATTAGAAATTACTAAGAAATAATACTGGGGCACATATATCTAGGGCAATTTACTACACCTCTGGCTGTTCTTCTATTATCAAGAATTGAATAACTTTTGCCAAGTTATTTTTCCCTTGTGGTGGTTGATCTAATTACACAAACCTATAAGAGAAAATGTTATTTATTAGGTGTACATTTTTTTTTACTTTCCTCCTGCAGTGTGATTCCTTCAGTAAAGCTACACTAGCATAAAATTTCTATTATAAGAAACTATTCATTTCTCTGATTCTTTTATCATTTGCTATAAAATACTGAAAATAGCTGCTTCCATTTCTAATATTTTCTCTAAGTTGCAAAAAACTGCAAAAGCTTAAAATGCCAGTGATTATCTTAGATAAGTCTTAAATTAATAATCAACAGCTCATTAGATAAAACATAGTTTGGAGCATATATCATGCATATTCAAAAATCTTTTAGTATAATTTCATGGTAAATTGATTTACTTTCATGGTTTTTAAATTTAAAAAAATACTTTGAAGAAATCAGGAAATTTTTAAGTAATGCAATATATAGTCTGGATATATTATCATGTCCATTTAAGTAAGTATAGCTTGTTGTTCAAACGTTTTTTTAAGACAAGAAGATTTTCTAATTTTATGTAGAATAAGAATAGCCATTGCCTATAAAAAGAACAGACCTAAAGTTACAAAAGAGTTAATAAGAACAAAACAAAATATGATTAATGTTAGGTTAATATTAATTTTCCCGCCATATTATGACGTCTGTGATTTTCTTGAAAACACGTCAGCATAGATTATGATATTGCATGTTCCTTAGGTTAAGCTATAAGCAAAGAGCAGTAAGTATTCCAAAGAATACACTTTCCCATCAGATACTTCATATTGCACAAGGTGTGATTAAAAAGGGATTTTGACTACCTTGTTCAGCACTTTCTTAATCAACATGGTAAGTATGAGAAATGGGTTTTATTGGTACAAATAGTAACAGATTAATAGGTGTTTTCTGTATTAAAAATGGGTTCTTACTGATAAAGTCAATAAAAAATGCAGATTGGGTAAATTATTTTAGAGATTTTCACTGCCCTTGGCTGAATAGATTATACAACAGCAAGACCTATAGATACTACCTTTATAGACAATGGCTTAGGCTAATCCTCTAAGAGGTCCTGTGCCAGCCTTGATCCTGGGGATTGACTAATTTTTTTTCTTTTAAAACTGTGTTTATTTAATGCATATGTCATGCTGTTATATACATATATGTGTAATAAAATGATTACTACAATTAAGCAAATTAACGTATTCATCACCTTCCTAGTTACCTTTTTCGTGTGGTAAGAGCACCTCAAATCTACTTCCTTGGAAAATGTTTAGAATAAATTACAGTATTATTAACTGTAGTCTTCAAAATGTACATTTGATCTCTAGACTTATTTGTCCTACACAACTGCAAGTTTTCATCCTTTTGTGTCCGGAATTTGGTGGGTTCTTGGTCTCACTGACTTCAAGAATGAAGCTGCGAAACCTCGCAGTGACTGTTAGAGTTCTTAAAGGTGATGTGTCTGGGGTTTGTTCCTTCTGATGTCTGGACGTGTTCAGAGTTTCTTCCTTCTGGTGGGCTCGTGGTCTCGCTGGCTTCAGGAGTGAAGCTGCAGACCTTCGCGGTGGGTGTTACAGCTCTTAAGGCGGCGAGTCTGGAGTTGTTCGTTCCTGCTGTCCGGAGTTGTTCATTCCTCCTGGTGGGTTTGTGGTCTCGCTGGCCTCAGGAGTGAAGCTGCAGACCTTCTCAGTGAGTGTTGCAGCTCATAAAGGCAGTGTGGACCCAAAGGGTGAGCAGCAGCAAGATTTATTGCAAAGAGTGAAAGAACAATGCTTCCACATTATGGAAGGAGACCTGAGCAGGTTGCCACTGCTAGCTAGGGCAGCCTGCTTTTATTCCCTTATCTGGCCCCACCCACATCCTGCTGATTGGTTCATTTTACAGAGAACTGATTGGTCTGTTTTACAGAGAGCTGATAGGTCTGTTTTGACAGGGTGCTGATTGGTGTGTTTATAATCTCTGAGCTAGACACAAAAGTTCTCCAAGTTCCCACTAGATTAGCTAGATACAGAGTGCTGATTGGTGTGTTTACAAACCTTGAGCTAGACATAGAGTGCTGATTGGTGTATTTATAATCCCTTAGCTAGACATAAAGGTTCTCCAAGTCCCCACCAGATTAGCCAGATACAGAGTGCTGGTTGGTGAATTTACAAACCTTGAGCTAGACATAGAGTGCTCATTGGTGCATCTACAATCCCTTAGCTAGACATAAAGGTTCTCCAAGTCCCCACTAGACTCAGGAGCCCAGCTGGCTTCACCTAGTGGATCCTGCACAGGGGCCGCAGGTGGAGCTGCTCGCCAGTCCTGCACCATGCACCTGCACTCCTCAGCCCTTGGGCGATCGATGGGACAGGGCGCCGTGGAGCAGGGGGTGGTGCTCCTTGGGGAGGCTTGGGACGTGCAGGAGCCCATGGTGGTGGGGAGGCTCGGGCATGGTGGGCTGCAGGTCCGGAGCCCTGTCCCATGGGGAGGCAGCTGAGGCCCAGCGAGAATTCAAGCACAGTGCTGGCAGGCTGGCACTGCTGGGAGACCCAGCGCACCCTCTGCAGCTGCTGGCCCAGGTGCTAAGCCCCTCACTGCCCAGGGCCGGTGGCGGCGGCCGGCCACTCCAAGTGTGGGGCCCGCGGAGCCCACGCCCACCCAGGACTCACGCTGGCCCATGAGAGCAGTGCACAGCCCCGGTTCCCGCCTGCGCCTCTCCCTCCACACCTCCCCACAAGCAGAGGGAGCCAGCTCTGGCCTCGGCCAGCCCAGAGAGGGGCTCCCTCAGAGCAGTGGCGGGCTGAAGGGCTCCTCAAGTGCAGCTAGAGTGGGTGCCAGGCTGAGGAGGCGCTGAGAGTGAGCGAGGGCTGCCAGCACACTGTCACCTCTCACTTTGACCTACATTTCCCCATTTTCTCCCCCTCTCCCACCCTAGATGCCCTCGTAACCACAGTTCTACTCTCTGATTCCATGTTTTTGACTTATTTACATTCTCAAAAACAAGTGAGATCACTTATATGTGTTTTTCTTTCTATTTCTGAATTACTTCACTTAGCATAATGTGTTCCAGGTTCATCCATGTTGTCACAAATAGAAGTTATCTCTTTTTCAAGGATAAATATTTCATTATGTGTGTGTGTCTGTGTGCATGCATGTATGCACCACAATTTCTTTAGCTATTCTCCTGAGATGAACACTGAACACCTAGGTTGTTTTCATACCTTTGCCATTGTGAATACTGCTATAGTGAACATGAGAGTGCAGGTATCTGTTTAATATATTGATTTTATTTTATGGCTGGGTACATGCCCAAAAGTGAGAATTTGGGGTCATATTATAATTCTATTTTTAATTTTTCAAGGACTCACCATACTGTTTTTATAATCACTGTACCAATTTACATCCACCAGTGTACACTGTTCCTTTTTCGCCACACCCTCACCAACATTTGTTGTCTTTTGCTGCTATCTTAAAAGGTATGGAAAAGAAACAAAATTCTTAGAGGTAAATTTAACCAAGTAATTGAATGATCTGTTCACTGAAAACTATAAAACATTGATGAAGGACATTGAAGATTGCAAAAGAAAATGGAAATGTATCCCATATTCATAAATTAAAAGATTTAATATTGTCAAAATGTTTCTATTACCCAGTGATACACAGATTCAATAAAACTCCTATCAAAATTCTAATGGTACTCTTCACATAAATAGAAAAATCTTCTAATATTTGTATGAAACTACAAAAGGACCCCTAATAGCCAAAACAATCTTGAAAAAGAAAATACAAAATTGGAGTATCACAATTACTGATCTCAAATTATATTGCAATGCTATAGGCTATAGTAATTAAAACAATATGGTACTTACATAAAAATAGCCACATACACAAATGGAACACAATAGAGAGCCAAGAAATAGAGAGACAAATAGACAAATGCACAAATGGAGCAGAATAGAGAGCCAAGAAATAAACTCAAGTGTGTACAGACCTAAGTTTCCACAAGGGTACCAAGAAGACAGAATGGGGAAAGGATAGCCTTTTCAGATGATGGGAAACCTGCATATATGCATGCAAAAGAATAAAACTAAACCCTTATATATATAATTGAAGTCAAAATGGATTAAAGACCCAAACATAAGACTTGAAACTGGAAAACTACCAGAAGCAAACATAGTAGAAAAGATCCTTAATATTGGTCTTTGTAATTATATTTTCGATATTACACAAAAAGCTCAGGAAACAAAATTTAAAATAGACAAATTGGATTGCATCAAATAAAAAAGCTTCTGCACAGTAAAGGAAACAATCAAATGAAAAGGCAGTTAATATTCAAAGTACATAAAGAACTCACACAACTCAGTGGCAAAACAAAAACAAGACAAAAAACAAATAATCTAATCACAATATCAGCAAAGGGCATTAATAGACACTTTTCCAAAAAGATATAAAAATGGCAACTAGTATATGAAATGGTGCTCAACATCATTAATCATGAGGGAAATGTAAATAAAAATCACAGTAAGCTTCACTTCACACCTGTTAGATGTCTGATTCTTGTTAGGAAGAGTAGCCAAAGTCTGCCTTGGGAAATTGGGTTGGTGTGGAGTAACCATTTACATAAGTGGTAGTATATCACCTGAATGGACAAGGAGCTGGCATTTGCTTGAGGTTAGTGAAGAGGCTGCATGAAGTATTGTGCTTGCCTGCTAGTAAATTTAGTTAATTAAATGTATGATAATGTCAGAATACTCTGAGACTCATTTTTACTATAATTAGGAAAACATTTAGAGGAAAGTAGCTAATTATTAATGTCTTCAAAATTTTCTGTTGCTATAATTTTTAGGAAAAATACAAAGTTGTTCAAGACTGTAATAGCTTAGGTCACTTTGCTACCCTACAGTATTTATTTATTTGACAAATGTTTTTTATTTTTATTTTTTATTTTAGTTTATTTTTTGAGATGGAGTCTCGCTCTGTTGCCCAGGCTGGAGTGCAGTGGCACAATCTTGGCTTACTGCAAACTCTGCCTGCAGGGTTCATGCCATTCTCCTGCCTCAGCCTCCTGAGTAGCTGGGACTACAGGCACCTACCACCATGCCCAGCTAATTTTTTTGTATTTTTAGTAGAGATGGCGTTTCACCATGTTAGCCAGGATGATCTCGATCTCCTGACCTCGTCATCCACCTGCCTCGGCCTCCCAAAGTGCAGGGATTACAGGCGTGAGCCACCACGCCCAGCCACGTTTTTTATTTTTTATCATATGTATGATAGGCTGAGAAAATGTCAATGTAGATGATTTCTTTAATGTTTAGTAAAGGAAGATATAAACATTATAAAATATTAGTCATGAAAATAAATGTATTTCATTTATCTCCAGGCATGTGTATAAATTTTATTTTAGTATCTATTTAATACTAAATAAAACTTAACAGTAGTTACTAATGAAAATGAAGATATGTAAAACTTACATTCCAACGTCATAAACTTCATTTAATAATAGTAATTTGTAATGATAACCTTGACTTCTCATGGCCAATCTTGCATGCTTTTAATTATACTGTAAGCATATGTTTACAAACAATGAATAACAAATCCTGATCTTTCAGAAAAAAATAGCTTCTGATATGTTAAAAATAAAATTTGGAAATTTAAATTATTGATCCACTTATAGTGTCTGCCAGTGTTTCATTTGAATATATGTGCTTCCGTTATTCTTGCAATTTGATTTGCTCTATCCTCTCTACTTCACCCTCATTATTCAAGAGCGTATCAACTTGACATATTATTATTACCCTAATCTAACTGATAAGTGCAAAATCTTTGCACGTGCTTTGCATTAGTGAACCGTTGGAAATATTGTGTGAATTCCATTAAAAGCCAACATTGATCACACTGCAAAATCTTATTTTTTTACACACAAAATATAAGTACATACTTAATCCATGATGTTAATTATTCTCTCTTCTGTTTTTCATATTAAGACAATTTCAAAAATTTATTTGAGGCCTTGTTCTAACAGTTTATTTATGAACACAATTTTAATGGAGTCCTCCCAAATTAAAAGATCATTTCATTCTGTCTTTCAACTATCAGGTACAACATGCAAGATATTTTCTGAAAATGTGCTATGTAAAGGAGATAAAAACCAGGCTGTCAGTAAGGCTGGAATCAGTCTCTGTCTTGCCACTGTCTAACCCTTGACGGTATAAAGTTACTTTAACCTATTTAAGATGTCAGTTTCTTACCAGGAAAATAGCTACAGTTCTGTTTTAATAATACAATATGTAAGGAGCATAAAGGCAATATTTGGCATACAGCTGAGCCTTCAGTACCCGTATCTGTTTTTCTATAGTAACTTTTCTATATATGGTACCTTTCCCTATATAAGTATTTATTTATATTTATGCCTGAGTGAAAGATCCCAGGAGACAACACCATGAGCAGATTAATTTTGATTGTGTATGCAAACTAGTATTTTTATTGACCTTAAATGTACATCTTTTACTAAAATATTATGAGTTCTGACAACTTCACACATTTGTGTAACAGTCACCATAATCGAGATAGGAACTACTGCATTATCCCCAGAAATTCTCTATATCTCACTGTAGTCAACACCTCCTCATCCAGTTGCAGCTCCTAAAAACTCTTTTTGTTTTTTGCCTCCATAGTTTTGACTTTCAAGAGGCCACATAAATATAAACGTACAGTTTGTAGCCTTTTATTTGAGACTATTTTGTTGAGGTATTAATGATTTTTTAAAAAGTTGTACATATTTAATGTATACAAAATGATTAATTGGGTGATAAGTATATACCTATGAAACCACCACCACAATCTATGCCGTAAACCTATCACTTTCAAAAGTTTTCTCCGACCCTATTTATTAAATTTATTATCATTATTATTGATTTATGATACTGTAAACCACAAAGAAAATACTAAGCCAGTGAACAACTAATTGGACATCCTCCCCCTTACCTTAACTCAAGCTGATTTCAACACTTCAGGCAGAGATAAAGTCTTTCAACCAATTGCCAATATTCACCTATGACCTGGAAGCCCACCCCTGCCAGACAAATAATACACCATACATGTGTTGATTTTATGTCTTTGTGCATAAGTTCTGTCTCTCTAAAATGTATAGAATCAAGCTGTAACCAAACCAACTTGAGCACATGTTCTCAGGATCTACTGAGGCTGTGTCACAGGCCATGGTCTTTAACCTTGGCAGAAAAACATCGAAATTGATTGAGAGCTGCATCAGATACTTTTTGGTTTATGATAGGAGCACCTAACATAAGATATACCCTCTTAGTAAATTTTAAGAATATAAAATAATATTATTAACTATAGGCTTTATGGTATACAGTAGATCTCTAGGACTTAATTCATCTTGTACAACCAAAATCTCATACCCTGTGACTAATCCCTCCATTTCTGTCTTTCACGAGATCCTGGCAAGTAACATTTCCCTCTCTGCTTCTATGAGTTTGACTATTTTATATTGCACATATAAATGGCATCATGTGGTTGTTCTACTGGATTTAGCTTATTTCACTTAGTATAAGGTCATCCAGGTTCATCCACATTGTCACAAATGGCAAGATTGTCTTCTTCTTGTAAGGTTCAATAGTATTCCATTGTATGTAAATACCACAATTTCTTCATCCATTCATCCATTGGTGAACATTTAGATTGCTTCTATGTTTTGGCTATTGTAAATCACACCACAATGAACATGGGAGTATAGGTATTTCTTTGATGTACTGATTTTATTTCCTTTGGGTTAATACGGAGAAATGGAATTGCTGAATCATATGATAGTTCTAGTTTTTTTTTTTTTAATTTTAAGACTCTCCATCATAATAGTTATAGCAATTTACATCCCAACTAATGGTAAATAAAGGTTTCTTTTTCTCCATAAGGGAGTTGCAGGAGGATCCCTGGAGACCAGGAGTTTGAGCAACATAGAAAATATTTTGTCTCTATAAAAAAAAAACAAAAAACTAAAAGTTAGCCAGGCATAGTGTTGTGCACCTGTGGTCTCAGCTACTCGAAAGGCTGAGGTGGGATGTTTGCTTGAGCCTGGGAAGTAAAGGCTGCAGTAAGCTGTGATTGTGCCACTGCACTCCAGCCTGGGTACAGATTAAGACGTTACCTCAAAAAAAAAAAAATTAAAAAATCTACTACATATATCTATCTATCTATTTATCTGTCGATCTACACATATATTTGTGTGTGCAATTGTGTAAACACAGTTTTAATGATCATGACAGTAGTTTGGGGAAAAAAAAAAGCAGTAGGTGTTTCATTCTACTTTTTATTATATTTGGTATCTAAAAACCCTGAGAATTTTTTAGTAGTTATCAACATAATAAGGAAGAGAACCAACTCAATATTGAGGGGTCACAATCAATGTATCTATTTCTTTCTATTCAAATGCTTGAATAATAAGGAGGGCAGAAATAATTTTATATTAGATAAATTTTGAACCAAATAAAATTAAAAGCACAAAATTATCTTTCTATACATTTAATAATTCATTACTACTGATTTTAGTAGAAAGCATATGTTGACAAAAGTTTTTAAAAACCATACTCTTGAAGATCATTACTTGGTATTTTTAACAGGAAGATTCAGCATTTAAATAAAATGTTTACATATAATGGCTACTACTTATATTACTGTAATGCATATTGATATTTATAGTAATAATGTAGATATGTGTCAACATTTATCAAATAATAATTATGCATGCCATTTTGATTTCATTTCTTTGTATTGTTAGACTTTCTAAATAATTGCATAACTGTAAAATAATGAAGAGGTAAAAGTAAAAGATAAAACAGACAAAAAGCAAAAAAAATCTTTATTCTAGTTATAAAATTCAGGCAAAATCATAATTATGATATACATTCTCTAAGAAGTAATAACTACCCATGAATAGCATAATATTTAAATACTAGGCTAGGAAACCAATGGGATTATACTGTTAGATAGCGAATTTTTTCATTCGATGAAAGACAATCTAAAAATCTTACCCCTGTTATAAAACTTCACATTCCATTAGATTTCTTCTGGTTCAGGTTTTATGATAGGAAAAATAATATAAACCTTACTATATTTTCACCTTTGAAGAAGAAAAAAGATGGAATATAGCAGAAAGCATAAAAGTGCCTTTCTTATTTTCAGAGCAGTCATGCACTATAAAAATCTGTGATATATAAGACTTCATAATAAAGAACCCAATGTTTATTAAAAAGAAGTATAATTTTTTTCAGAAGTCTAAAGCTTTTCAAAAAATATATTAAATTTTGTTTTATTTTGTTTTGTTTCCTCATTTTCTTTCCATGCTACACTTTACCATTTTTTTAATAGCTGGAAATAGACATTTTTGTCTGTTTTTTTTTTAATTGATGAGGTTACTCTCATCAATGAAGAAGTTTGTAGAACTTCTTGTCGAAGTTGTAGCCATGACACTCTCAAAGGAAGGGCAAGAATTAACAAGAATTAAACACTAACTGAGCTGCTCCTTTTCTCCATATGGAGATGGCTCTGGTAATTGAACCATGCCTGGGGACTGACCTCCCAGAAGTTTAGAGTCGTTGGAGTTATGTGTTTTCTTTTCCTATAAAACCTGCAATCAAAATGCAAATTGAAAACTAAATTTTCCTTAAAAGTCACTATCAATTTAAAAGCTGTTTTAAATATTCTTTTCAAATTCTATAAATTACCATAAAGCTCTAAGTCTCATATTTCTGGAATATTTAGCAAAAGTGAAATTGCTTTGTCCAGAATAGCTTTTTTTTAGTTTCTTCTGATGAAAAAATTGCAAGATGAAATTCTAAGTAGACAATAAGTTATATCGTAATCTGCATTGAAGCTTCACTGGCTCCTTATTAGTTTCATCTGAAGGTATGGGGTTATTTAGGGTGCAGTAAGGTATGGTGAAATTGCCCATGAAATTGTTTCTAACCCTAAATGATAAAGTATAGGAAGAGGAATATTAATTTAGTTTTACCAGAATTAGAAAGTTTAACATGCTGAACATTGAACTTCATCATTTAAGTATTAAAAAAGGCATGACAATATTACATGAAATCTTTTAATCTGTTATGCAAATATATGTTCAAATTTAGTGTTATACTTAACATGTAGACCTTAGGAATTTAAGGAAGGAAGTAGATGTATCATATCTAAGGGATAGTTAAAATTGTTTTACAAGTATACACATTGAAAATCAGAGTTCTATTATTTTATAGGAATTATTCCCTTGTCACTAGTTCATGAATCTGTAAGGTTCTCCTGATATATTTATGTAGGTTCCAACACTTTTAGGGATATATTTTCATGTCATCATGTTTTTCTCCTATTAAAGGAAAACACTAGCTAAATTAAATTTAAAAGGGTTAAGTGGAGCAAAGAAAATTTTGTGAATCGGGCAGCCTCACAAGCCAGATTAGACTTAGAGACTTCAGCACAGCCACATGGTGGAAGATATATGGACAGAACAAGGAAAGTGACATACAGAAAATGGAAATGAGGAACAGAAACAGCTGGATTGGTTACAGCTTGATGTCTGCCTTATTTTAACACAGTTTGAACAGTTGGCCACCTTTGATTGGACAAAACTCAGTGATTAGCACAAGAGTAGGCTGCAGTGTGCTTATAACTCCATTTAGGTTATAGTTCACGATGCAAAGAGAAACATTTAGGCTGAACTTAAAATATGTAAGGAGGCAGCTTTAGGCTATACTTGATTTAATAATTCCCCCCCTTTGGTCAATTTTTTCAACTATGAGAGATTGACCAAAATTTTAATCAGTAATGTCACTCTCGCCATTGTAAATGCACTTATTCAATCTTGAAACCCACTGAGAAATAGCAAACAGATCAGTGGGTTTGGTAAGGGGAACAAGGACTTCAGGTTATTTTTTTGTAAGGGTTACAGTAAAGGGTAGCTGATTATGCTGGAATGGACTGTTCACAGGAGAAAACAAAACCTAGTTTGTTCTAGGATCTACATGTTTCCTTAAAGTTTCAGTTTGATTTTGTCACATTTAGCATGAATGACTCCATTTTGGTTTGGTCTGGTCTGTTGGGGTCTAGTGCATGTGCTTAGTCCAAAACAATGGGCTCCCACTATTTTGTTTAAAAATTTTCCCCTTTTGGTTAGGTTCTCACTTATGTGAGAGTGTGATTCAAACTTAGGGCCTTAGCACCACTCTCAGTTACCATCATTTTGGATTTCTCATCTCAGCATGTCATTCATAGGTTACAGTGCCCTCATGATCACACATCTTTTTCAGCTCTTGTCATTCCCATTAAAGAGAGACCATTTGACCTTCTAGAGATGTCTGTATGCAAACATTTAATACTTTTGAGGGAATATAGTGCGCCAAGAAGATTATTATTATGACTATCAGGAGGATAATACCAAGAGCTTGGGGTATGCTCCTTATGGTGGGTCCCCATAAACCAAACCAACTAAAATCAAATAGATCAAAGAATAAGCTAAAGAATCTACTCACTTTAATTAAACAGTCTCTTCAATAATCCCGTACAACTGAATCTCTATAATATGCACTATGATGTAGTTCTCCATGGGCAACAAGTGCCACCAGCTGCACAGATACTTCTGTTTAGCCAGTAAGTAATCTAGAACAATAGAGCAATTCTATTATTTAGCATAACTTTCACAAGATAATTTAAAGTCTGTTGTGTAACCATAACCTTTAGAGTAAAATCTGCTTTAAAGCCTATCATCAGTGGTAAATTTTCAATCATTGCCTCATTTACTCCTAACCATGGGGGAAAAAAAAAAGAAAACCTAACAAATGATGCCCTTCTAGAATAGTGAAGACCTCCTGACAATGTTCTCCTTAACCCATGATATAGGTTAAGACAAGTGGAACAATGTTCTGTTTCTCACTAATTATCAGGCAACATATGTACTATTAAAGCTTTTCACCTACATTGGGCCTTCATCTTCCATCTGTCAAGGTATAAAGTTATCCATGCATAATGCTGGCTGCAAACTCCTTCACAAAAAATATATATATATATGCCATGAGTGCACCCAACAGCACCCTTTCCACTTCTATTGTTCATAGATGAATAAAAAAGGGGAAAAAAAAGAAAGATAAAGAGTCTCATGATAGTAGAGAAGTCTTGATTTCTTGATCTTGGGAAAAAGCTATTCACTTCAAGGATGCCACCTTCTTTTGGGGAGAAACTTCCCTGGCTAGCTTTACCTTAAGGTTTTCCAGTGGGTGTACAGTTCCAAGAGTGTGGAGGGACCCTTCTCAGTTGTGAGATTATGAATCCAAGGTTCAAGTTCCCGAAGTTTTGCTGCAGTGTGAATAGCAAGGGCAGTGATTCTCTGATGTTCTCCAAAGATTCAGTCTTTGCGTTCTAGATTGTGAAGGGGACAATTGTCCTCAGACAGTAAACCATGAAAAGCTCTCTTTACCTGGTGAAAATACACTGTGGAATAGTGAGCTGCTATTATAACATCAGTCTTCTTGCATGAGAAAGCTCTAATACAACCGGAAGACATGCATTAAAAATGACAATGGAATGAAACCCCTCTATAATTGTTTAAATGGCCCATCAGGTAGCAGAATGCACATGAAATTTTGATTGTCTTCCCAGGAATATGAGTTTGACAAACCAAACGTTGGTCATAAACTATGTAAACTATTTTAGCCATTTATAAGTCACTATATATATATATTTATATATATATATTTAATTTGGATCATTTTACTTATTCCATGATGAGTCATGAAATGCAGAACTTTTAATAACAAAAGCTTTAAGGACTCAGGAAGGACAAGGCAGCCATCCTGGTCCTCCATGAGTCCATGCTTAACATTGTACTTAGTCCTCTTGAATACCAGTTGTTTTTCCGGTTTAGGGGTGTAACACTGATAACTGATGGGTTATCATAAGTAATCTGACTTAGACCATGGAGTTCATTCAGATTGTATATCTACACAATTTCAATACTGGCTGATTCAGCATGAAAATTTGCCAAAGCATTTTCTCGGTATTCAATTAATTTGATTCTACTTGAGTTAGCAGTTTTATAAACCAGTCAGTCTCGTCATTAAAGTACTAGGAATTCTTAACCCAATCCAAATGATATGATTCTAAAGTTATTAGAAACCTGCATTCAAGAGTGTTTTTCAGGGTTGTTTTCATTCTTTCATGAACTCCTTAAAGACTCTATATTCTAAAATTTTGTATGCTTGTGAAGTTTTCAGAAATTGCATCAAAATTAAGCAATTAACTGTGGAAATGACTTTAAACAAGCATTTTAAAGACACAGTTGATAAAAAAATTTCTTTATTTCTGTGGTCTACAATAACAACATTATAACCATAAGTGTGATTTATAGTGCATACTCAGACATATTAGAATTTTAGAAATCCCATACAATTTTGGAACATATATTAATGACATTCATTAAATATAACCTGAAGAAGGTTAAACATTATTCCTTGACAATGCTTCCCATGTAACTTAACATGTCAAATAATCCTGCTTACCTCCCTACAGAGGGCTTCAGTGGCCCTCTTTAGCATCTCAAAGTTAGAGGCCAAAGAAGACTTAATTTTGATGCTGAAATATGATTTTGGGAAGCCTATCAAATACATTAAAGGTTTAAAACACTTGAACAAAATAGGATCACTGGTCACCATAAAACAATAGTTGTTCATTTAACCAAAGTGATAATTTTAAAAGATTTTTAAAGGCCAAAACCTGTACTCTGATAAAAAAAGACCCAGTTTTCCAAACAAAAGACCTAAGACAGCATGAGACAGAATCTGTCTCTTCTTTCCTCTGTCTTTTTCACTCTTTTGGCAGTTTACTCAAAAGGTGAATGAAAATACTTTACCATGTGTTATTAAAACTACAAAAAAATTTTGTTCAAAAGAGAAAACCAAGTTTTCTTTTTGTATTAGTGTATTATCAAAACTAAAATTAATTTTAATAAAACCTTATAAATAAATGTACCAAATCTGTCATCTTTTAACCACACAAGATTTCCATAAACCTTTTGTTTTACATTTTTCCCCAACTTTCTTTGTTTATTGTGTTGTATCTATTTTATTACTCTTTCAACTTGAAACTTTTAAGTAACTTTAAACCAGACAACATTTTAAACACACATTTTTATGCCTTTATAACTTTCCCCATTGAACACATATCTTGGTTTTGTTTATACACTCTGTATACAGAATTGTCTCATATCTAGTAGTTTTTAACTTTTATTATCTCTATTTTTTAGTGAAAAACCTAGAAAGTAATTTTGAACTGTTTTATATCAGTATTTGTAGATAAAAACCATTTTATATTTTTTAAGAAAAATAGTTCTTCAAATTATTGTTTATTGACAGATCTATTTAGCTTTTCTATATCATGTAAAAATAACATGTGAAGGTATATAGACTTAAACTCATGTTTAATATCTACATTTCAATATCAACTTACAGATGACTCAGACATTTTATAATTATCTATTACTTAATTTTACATAACATGACTCTAAAATTTTAAATTACTGAAAATAATTTTGAAATTGACACAGGTAGCCTTTCTAATGTCTTCCCCTAGGCATTCTAGGTCTTAGGTAGCCACAGGGGACCCAAGAGGATTATGAAATTCAAGGCCTTTCTGAATCCATAAGGACAGAGAACAGAGCCATGAAGACTATATCTGGAGAATCCAACCCATCCCAAAATAGCCAGGAGGCAAACAGGAAAAGCAGAGGAGGAAGCAGCCATGTTGGACTTGATTCTGGCTGGTATAGGCGTAGAAAATGGTATAGAAAATGTCTTCATACCTCATCATGACTACCCATTTAGATCCCGGAATCCGGAGACTCTAAACCAAAGACATAAGCTCACAGTCAAATGAAGCAAGTATCTGTATTTAACTGATAATTTTGAAGCCATTTTTATTTTACCAACATTTTAAAAACTAGCTTTATTTACTAAATATTATCACGTATAGACACACAACATATAGAAACACAACATATAGCATAACACATATAGACACACACACATAACTCATATAGACATACAAACACGCAGAAGCTTTCATAAAGGATTTTCATTTGGTGGCTTTTAAATAATTCCCACTCTTACACCCCATTTGGTCTATCAGTCTTCTAATTACCTGTTTCTTTGCCTTAAGGTATTGTTAACTAGGCAACAATTTGCATTTCTAAAGGGACAACTCTTAGGTGAAACAAATACATATATATGTAATTTCATAAGCATAGAGCTAAGATTTTAGGCCTAAATATTTTATTATCATTTGCACAAACCAAAGGAAAAAATGACTCAAACAAAATGTCACTTAAGATGGCCAGATAAGCGCCTTAAACAAAGGTATGACTTATTATGTAAATCTAAAAGAATTTTACAAGTTTCTAATATACATAGGCAGACATCCTTAAAAATGGAGATTTCCTTTATAGATGTAAATTTCTTTTACAAAAGTGTTTCAAGATAACAAATTAAATTTCAGAAAGGTGTATTTTAGTTTAACAGGGTGTTCCTTTAAACTTAGCTACTGTTTTTTATCTAAAATTACTGAGTTCAGGGTGGAGTCCACTAAGGACTAGGGCCAAGAAAGCATTTTCTATGCCTGGACTCAGCATGGATAGATCTGAAAAAAAGTCAAGCCTTCTTTACCTGAGGGACTACATTTTATTATCACTTAGGATAGCTTTCTTTCCACCTTTGTGGTGGGATAGTAATAAGCCAAAAGTTTAGCAGGTTTAATTTTTCTTATCAATTAGTCTCTTTAGCTTTTTATTTGCCTTTTATAAAGTCTTTGCTTGAAAATACTGGTATATTTTTAGAAGTTTCTGCATATCAGTAGTCATTCTTACATGAGACTAATTTGGGAGCCCTCATTTTCAAATGCATTTCTTTAGTGCAGTACTGTTCATTTGGAATGTTCCACTGTAACTAATCTTTAGTAAGATTTTGTCATCTCTATGAGACCTTGCTGTTTCCAGGGCCTAATACCTATGCATGTATAAGCTGAAAGGAACTCAGTTCTTTAGAAATTAAGGATCCTATTTTTACCACAAATGTTTTCCAATGATCAATTAGCCAAAGATCAACTTTTCCCTACCCAAGTGTGCAAGAAAAATGAAACAAAGTGGATAGAACACAAAAATTCCTACAAATTTCCAAAAGACAAATTTTACACCCCCTGCAACATTGCCATTTACTACCAGTTTCTTTCTAATCCAGTGAGACATAAGAGGCTTCTAACTGGATCCAAGCCAGTTAATTATCAGGTCTAATCTGATCCTGGACCCAGTCCAGTTTCTGTTATGACTTCCAAACCCAGTTTGGATGAGAATTTTGCTCAAAGAAACTCAGAGAACTCAAAACACAATCAATTCAGCTTCAGAATCTGAGAGAGAACTTACCATAGTCCCCAGCTGCTCCAAGAGACCAAAGGACACAGTAAGACTGGCAGGTACCTCGGATGGTCACTCAGTGCTCATGGGGATCATTAGAAGCTCTACTTTGGATCCCAATTCTGACACCATCTGTTAAAAGAAAAACTTTAGCTGAATTAAATTTTAAAAAGTTTAATTGAGCAAAGCAATATTCATAAATCTGGAAACCCCCTGAGCCAGAGTAGGCTCAGAGACTCCAGCACAGCCATGTGGTAGAAAAATATTTATAGACAGAAAAGGAAAGTGGTGTACAGAAAATGGAAGTGAGGTATAGAAACAGCTAGATTGATTACAGCTTGGCATTTGACTTATTTGAATACGGTTTGAATTGTTGGTCACCTTTGATTGGTCAATGTTCAGTGATTGGTACAAAATTAATCTACGGTGTGTTTGGAACTCCATTTAGCTTTTAGTTCACAATGTACAAAGAAACCTTTAGTCTGAACTTAAAATATGTAATGATACAGCTTTAGGCTAAGCTCTATTTAACACTGCTTACTTTTTAAGTGCCCTTAGACTGTATCATTTTGGACAAAATGTCTCTACTGTTGATGAAAAGAGTCAAACTGTAAAATATTCGAAGAGATTTATTCTGAGCCAAATATGACTGGCCCATGGCCCATGACATAGCCATCAGGAGATTCTGAGAACATCTGCCCAAGGTGGATGGGGCACAGCTTGGCTTTATACATTTTCGGGAGACATGAGACATTAAATAATATGTGTAAGGTGTATATTGGTTCAGTCAAGAAAGGCAGGACAACTCAAAGTGGGGCTTCCAGGGAATGGGTATATAAGAGACAAATGATTGCATTCTTTTGGCTATTTGATTAGCCTTTCAATGAATACACAATTTACATGTGACTTCGGGTGGGGGGTAAAGGAATAGTCATTGATGCCTTAATCTGGGTCAGTGAATCTGCATTTTTACATAAACTATAGGGCTGAGAAAGCAATTAGATATGCATTTGTCTCAGGTGAGCAGAGGGATGACTTTCTGTCCTACACCTGTGAAGATAAGCTATCAATTTACTTTGCCAGGGTGAAATTCAGCAAAATTATTTTTAGAGTAAAAGTCTTGAGGCTCACAAGAAATTTCCTTAATAAAATGGGAGGAATGATTGCCTGATGCAGTTCCCAGCTTGACTTTTCTCTGGTTTAGTGATTTTGGGGTCCCAAGATGTATTATCCTTTCATACTACTATTTTGCATATTGCATTAAAAATACCATTTACCAATGTTAAGTACTGGGTAGATTTTCTCCCTAAAATTTGATTCAAGAAAACTTGGGACAACTAGACCTCAATATAAGGTTACCATATTTTTATGATTATCTCAAGCTCTGCACCCCAGTGATAATCCTCATTTCTCTGTTCTTATCTAAAACCTATATGCTCCTTAAACATTACTTTTGTTCACTTAAGTTCTCCTGCATTGTGGATTTGTAATGCAACATTCTTTTCAATTGATTTTCCTGTACATGATAGCTTAACTACATATACCTGTGTTGTTTGTTCAGCTCTCTCCTCCAGGGCTGTTAGGTTTTTCCTGGGTAATTTTGTTTTATTTTAAGCACACTCTCTAGTGACAGCAGATGGCAATGTCAGAGGAAGATTGTGGAGAAAATATGAAACAATTAATTTACAGTGTTTGGAATTATGCTTAATTCAGCTCAGTGTCCCCAAACTTAGGTGATCAAAAAGTATAATTACAGTTGATTTATTGAGATTTATGTACAATAACAGTAACAATTAAGATATTTGTTTGGCCGGGCACAGTGGCTCACGCCTGTAATCCCAGCACTTTGGGAGGCCGAGGCGGGCGTATCATGAGGTCAGGAGATCGAGACCATCCTGGCTAAGACGGTGAAACCCCGTCACTACTAAAAATACAAAAAAAAATTAGTCAGGCGTGGTGGCGGGCGCCTGTAGTCCCAGCTACTCGGGAGGCTGAGGCAGGAGAATGGCGTGAACCCGGAAGGCGGAGCTTGCAGTGAGCCGAGATCATGCCACTGTACTCCAGCCTGGGCGACAGAGTGAAACTGCGTCTCAAAAAAAAAAAAAAAAAAAAAAGATACTTGTTTTTTGATCGGTTGAGAAATATGTGTTGTTTTTTAAAAAGATAGATTAAAGTATATTCTAGCTGTTATAAACCTGCGTTCTGAAAATTCTACTCAGATTTATACTTTGTTATTAATATAATACCCAGAATGTTTCCCTAAAGTAGTACCTGAGCGATATTTTATGTACAGGTCTGTCAATTAAACTAGTACACATAAATTAAAAACTAAATACTTAGAACATACTTTGCCTTTTTGATAGTCTCTATTTTGTTCATTGTTTTAATAACATAAATTGATTTGAAATTAGTTGATTTTTTGGAAAAGTTATTAGATAAAATATTTAGGTAGAGTACAAACAAAATAAGGCAATGGTTTTATAAAATTGCTAAAGCTATATGTCTAATGAAACAACTGTAATATATGACTTATAGGTTGCAATACTATAACACTAACATAAAATATCTACAAATCCTAGATCAATGTATTACATTTTTTTCTACTTCATGCACAATTTAATCACAATAAGGACATATTAGGGCAGCTTGGAGCTATAGGAATGTCAAATAAAACTAATAAAATTGATATTTCAGAAAGATTAATTTGTAACAATTTGCTGGGCAAGATAAATAGAAACTAAGAGAAACAGGGAAGCAAGAGAAAAGATATGACTTTATTATATAAATTCAGGAATAAATTGATAACACTATAATTTTGACCTCCCTTCCAATATTTTCACATCAAAATATACTACCTCTGCATATTTTTCTCCAGTCATAGTTTTCATGAATCTGATTACTGTTTAAGATCTCCCTAAATTGTCTTGCTCACTATAAAGTTCAGAAGTGCTTACAGGTTATATTTTCTTCCACTACTTTAAAATTCTCCCCCAAGCTATCACCTTATTTTTAAAAATTCAAGACCACTTATAACTGTACTCCACAATTCCCAGATTTTAGTACAGTTGACATATGGCAGTTTGTTCTTAAATCACAAAACAAATTATTCAAATATTGCACTTCTTGTTGACATGGGTAATTATGTCCAACACCAAATCCTCAAAACTAAAGCCCAAAGCAGGCTATTTCAACAGCATAATGGAAAGATATATAGAACAATATTCACTTACATTATATTTAGATTGGGAATTTGATTATGGTTTATAGTGGTACCAAAATGTTAAAGGATTCATGTGAGACAAGGCGTATTTATCTACATACAAATAAAAGAATAGGAAAGAGATCACTAGTGTAATGGCTTATTGGTTAACATCAAATGTATTCACTAAAAAAGAAAAGACTCTACACATCATACATTGAAAGAAATAAAACATAATCTAAATGTAACAAATCATAAGAAAAAGCCATACTGGGAAACAAACCATGTTATTTAAAGTAAATCCAAACTTAATTTATTTTTATGTACATTTGGTTGAACTGCTCACTTCATACAGACATAGTATCAAATTAGTGAATACTAGAGCAAATTCTAGTAAGAGTTAATATGGAAAGATTTTAGGTGCTTGACTTGACATAAGCACAATTACACCAACAAATACAAACTTATTTTTAAAATAAAATAGTCAAGTATAGTGTTTTCCCTGAATACGGTTTACATGACTTTAGTTTATCAAAGTAGTGACTGACACATTTCTCAATGGAAAGGTAGAAAATCTCATCACTGTTATGAAAATATTCCCAGCAAAATGTGTTCCCAATTTCTTTTCAGCAAAATATGTATTGATGTATGATTTTAAATGTAATGAAGTGTTGAAATTCTTTACCATTGACATCACAGTGCTGCATTTTATCATTTACTAGCTCCAGGCACAAAAGCAATACCTGAGACCCAATTGTCCATTCTTGGCTAACACTGCCTTATGTAACTAACAGCACAAATATGTGCACTTAATATACTTACCTTAAACCAGAACTCCCAATATAAAAATCAACTTTAAATTTGTCAATATTTTTTTAAAGCAGTGACAAGGTAGACTTTCATTTAAAAATAATAAATAAAACTCTTCTTGTTATGCCGATTTTTGAGATAGTACAGGTCTACTGTCTTTCAGTGTGAATTACTGCGTCCTTCTCTCAGTAGATCTGGTAACACCTCAAGATGTAGTCAGCTCTCATTACTCATGGTAGTTATGCTTTATGAAGTCACCATGAACACGGAATTTAAAAATATTGAATGACTGCTTCTGGGAAAAAGCAGGGTTAAGTTTATGCAAGCCTTGAGTCACAACATGTTCCTCAACCAAAATGTCATTTGTGTTATATAGGTTAATTTGCCTATGTCCTTATTAAACAAGGCAATATTTAATCATCAGAACTGAAAACCTGCTCTTCCACCTAATCTTCCTCCTGTATAATATTTATCAGGCATTCTAAATTATTTTATGAAGTCTCCAGATCTGTAGAAACCACCCTGTCTGTTAAACCTTCAAGTTTAACATTTTTCAGACCATGCTGCTTTCAAAACACGTAAGACAGTCAGCATTGGCCAAGAAGGATTTAGCGTTTTCTTGACCCTGATTAACATGACTGTATATACATATATATATATTTGGCTTTAAGAATGACAACAATGCTGTTCATTACACATTTTTATATGTGTCATCTCATGAATTTACAAATTTGGCAGGTTTTCCATCTTTTCCATGTCTTTCTCATGCATTGTAGATGTTATTTTAGCACTTTGTGGAGCAGCCTCATGTACAGATCAGCAAATTTCCGCTTTATTTTTCTGGGTATACATGGTGTTGATTTACTAACATTGAGATAACTGTCAACAGCTTATAACTCATGCCTGAATGAAAATTATCTAACATATATTTTCTCCATATGGCACACATGGATATACATGAACATTAAATAACACTTTAGCACTATGCTTGGGGACCATTTTAAACAGCAAAATCACCAACAAAAAGCACAAAATGTAGCACCAAATAGACTGTAGAAAGGACACTTGTTTAAAGTATGAAAACTAAAACAAGAAGGCAGAGTGTTGCCTTGTTCAATTTCAGTTGCGAATAAGCACATTTACTGATTCAAAATTTTTGAGGTTTTGAGCATGTCTGCAAAGGACGGAGAAAATTCGTGAGTATTGATTTTGAAGTTACACATAACTTTTAGTGAGTGGGCCAATTCACAGAATCCATGAATAATGAGGTTTGACTGTATACAGGTAAAGTAATGTCTATACTAACTAGAACGTCTAATACTCCAATGGAATTATCTTGGGAGGAAAGTGTTTATAGTGAATAATAAATATAACATTTATATTATAATTGTCTCTGTGTTAAGCATTTTAAATTTAGCTTTTAATTAAATCTTTATAACAACCCTATATGTAGGCAATATTGCATCCATATTTTTTGAAGAAACTGAGTCATAAAAGTTAACGTTTATAAGACCACCTGGCTCATGAGTGATGGTGCTAGTATTTAAACACATGTGGTATGATTTTAAAGCCTACAGTATTTGCCACACAGGTACAGTGCATTAAGATTCCTTGAAAATATAAGGGCTGATAGAAACATTTAAAGGCAAAATAATAATAGTGATAATAAACATATATTAAATATATATCTATTTAATTACATAACATAAAGGGAACTAGGCCCCATAATGGAAGCAGAGCTGGTCACAGATCAAATTCAATAACCTAATTAATAGGAGATGTCATTAAATAAAATGAGAAGAAAGCATGGACACTTTCTTCAAAGTCAAAGAGCTAGTCTGAGGTCGTGGCTTGTGGGACTAACAAAATAGGTCAGGCCAGGGAGTATGAAACACAATTGTTCTGATGTACCATGTTGTGTTCAGACAAATCATAGTGTTTGCCCTGCAGGAAGGAGTTTTTCTTTTGGTACATAGCCTCATATCTGATCAATGTGGCTTTGCTAGACTGGCCCAAGTACTTTATAAACCTTTATGACACAAACCATGTTACTTTAATTATACATCAAAGAATCAAATGTACTCATTTTTCATTGCCTCTAGCAAAGAATTAACTCAGTGGTATTACCATCAAAACTGTCAAGATACCACAACCTGGCATCTGCAGCACCAGATGGTTTTTTGTATTAGGATAAGATATTGCTCTTCCAGAGTTGACAAGAAGAGTGTTATCATAAATACTGAACAAGAGATACCCATGCGGTATGTGCTATGATTTAATTATGGTCATGGAAATCCTTAGAAGAATTCTAAAATTAGTACACATTTTAAAAGTACGGTCATGGTTATAGATGTGTATATCCTAAACACCAATTATAACAGCAAAGGGATGGTTACTGTTAACTTGCTTACCAAAGGTCTATTCTGTAGATGACACTGCTCTTGCATAATACATGATTGGTTTATCATTACCATCTGGAATAATCTCTTTAACAGATTCAAAGTAGGTTCTATGTTATCATGAACTCCTATACATATATTTTAGCATAGATGAATAATGTTTCTATAGCAAAATTTGTCAGCATATAAAACATAAAGATTTTGCAAGAGTGGCCAATTTTCTGTATCCTTGTCAAACAAAAAAGTAATGATTTTTCTTTTTGTCAAACTAATTATCATTCCAAAATAGTGACTCACAGAATTTGTATACCCTTTTTTATGAATGTGGTGGCACATCATCTTTTCATGTTTCATGTTTATTGGGACTTTGTCTTCTTACGGTTCTATTTGTCGTGTTTTTCCTAAGCAGATTTTTTTTTTTGCTTCCCTTATTGATTTGTAAGGACACTTTATATAATATATTCTAAATATAAGCCATTTTTCTGTTAATTATAAGCCACAGGTTAAAGCAAAGTTCTGGAAGTTCATGCACTTTGCGGTGGGGAGGAGCCTGGCCCCTCCTCTTCCTGTGTGGAACTGGGGATTTGAATGGCCAGGTGGGAAGCTCTCTTGCAGGGACTGTGGCCTAGCGAGAGTCCCTGTTTCCCCCTTTTCTTTCTTTTCACTCAATAAAACCCTGCTTTACTCACCTTTCAAACCGTCTGTGAGTCTAAATTTTTGTGGTTGCAGGACTTTTCCTTAGTTCAGCTAAATGCAACCATGGCATACAAAAAAGTTTGGTAATACCTAAGGAGACTATGACGAAAACTAGCATAATAATGACCTAGTAGCTTACCACTACCCACTTCTATTTATTTTCAACCCATTAACAAATATATTCTGTTTGGAAAGTTTCATGTTCTAAACTCTCTCTGTAAAAAGTTTTCCAGATGAATTAATCCTTTCAGTTTATTCCTCATTCTGTAATATTGGAGCAGTTTTGTAGTATTAATTATAACATATATCTTGATTGGTTTTTACAAATTATAAGAATTCTAGTGTGAAGACTTTACTATGTCTAAATATAGCTAAAAATATGTGGTTTCATGGAATGAGAACAAGAGAAAGCACACACATGAGCTTCTCTTTCCTATGCATGAGATTAATCTTTGGTGTCTCCACTACAGAGGAGACGATATATAGATAAGAAAAAAAAATCAAGATAGGGAAGAGGCTACAAGAAAAATATAAATTATTGCTGGTATGTCTCTTGAGCCCAGCCAAATGACAATAATTTTTGGAGTGAGAAAGTGTTGAAAGAGATGTAGAATACTATGTTTTTATACAGAGATGTAGAGACTTACAGCTGTGGGTTTAAACTGATAAGACCTGAGTTCTTAGATCTGAAGCAGATATGTGCCAACATAAGATAAAAAAAGAATGTTCACAGTAATTAATCTTTATTTAAATCACAGAAAGGATTTGAAAGATTCTGAGGTGAACAGAGGAGAAATCACAAGTATTAGGCATTATGGCTATTCTGTGTGTAATAAAAAAACATGACAGATAATGAAAACTTACCCTTATCTCATTTTAGCCCATGGATTCATCTGGCATGGAGATTAAACCACTGCTTTTTTATATCTTACTTCTTTAGAAAAGTACAACCAAAGTGAACTTAATTTTGAAAAGGTCATACTACAACCAAAATGCAATAATCTGGATAACTCAGTTTAAGCATAAGATAATGGTACACTTTAGTTCCTATGACCCTACATAATAAATGTAACAAAAGTCAGGCTTGGCATACTTGTGAAAGAATGAAACTAAAATTTTGATTTAGAAGAGTACAGCTCCAAGCACAATATCTGATCCTTGAACCATATATCTATTTTAAAAGATCCACAAAAGATAGATAAAACAGTCCTAGACAAAATAAGTTTTGACCCCAAACTTTTCCTATTACTTTATTGGAGTTCCAAACATGCTTAGTACATCACTTTTATAGTATTGTATTTCCTGTATTTTGAAGAAAGCAGAGTTTGAAATTGTACTTGCTGGATTTCTGACCCAGTCAATGTACAGACTACTCTAAAAATCTTGAGAATTGTAAGTCTTTATCTTCATAGCTTTTATGTAATATATGTATACAGTTGGCCCTTGAACAACATAGATTTGGACTTGCCAAGTATATTTATATAGAGAGTTTCTTCCACCTCTGCTATCCCCAAGACCTGAAACAGCAGGAACAGCCCCTCCACTTCCTTCTTCTCAGCCTGCTGAATGTGAAGATGAGATGAAGATCTTTATGATAATCCACATCTACTTATTCAATAGTAAATGTATTTTGTCTTCCATATGATTTTCTTAGTAGCAGTTTCTTTTCTCTAGATTATTTTATTATAAGAATATAGTTTAAAAACATATACAACATATGTGTTAATTTACTATTTATGTTATCGGTAAGTCTTCTGGTCAACAGTAGGTTATTAGTAGTTAGGTATTGGAGGAGTTAAATGTTCTACACAGAGATTAGACTGCGTTGGGATTGGCGTTCCTTAACCCTGTATTGTTCAAGAGTCAACTGTAGTTTTTTCTCTGGAATATATTAACATAGAAAAAAACTAATACGTTATTTTCATAATTTAATTCTATTCTGTGGTCTTAAACTGACTGTGTTAGTTTTAAAAAGTCACTTAAATTGTCTGAAACTTTTTTTACCTATAAAAGTAAATTAATAATCCTCCTATTGCTCTTTAACATTTATTAAAAATTTACTGTTTGCTAGACATTGTGTTAAGTGTTATATACAGATGAATTCATTTAATACTCACATTAAGTCTGTGAAATTAAAAACTACCTTTTTTACAGATGGAGTAGCTGAGGTGCAGAGTTGAAATACTAAACAAAAGTCACATACTAATAAATGGTTGAACAGTATTTGAAATAAAAATATGACTTCTTTTAGATTCTTAGATTTTTATCACTATTTTTACACTTCTTAGTATTGGACTATTGTAAGAATCAAGAAATGAAAAATGTTTTGTAAGCTTCGAAAATAGTTATCTGCTATGTATACTGAGGTTGTTGTTATAAAGGCATCAGCTATTAGCCAATTCCTCTAGAAAAATAAGAGGAAATTTTATAAAATAATGACATCCTTTTGCAAAGCATTAGCAAAGAATATGGGATGGAAATATTTAAACTTACAATATAGATGGAGAATATATGTGTTTGTGTGTGTGTGTACGTGTGTGTGTATAAAAGTTACTGAGTTAGTTGCTAATTACATTTTGGAGTTATTATTATGAAAAATATATTAATGTCCTTGTGATCATGAAATCTGCATTCTAGTGTATAAAGAGCAAACACAAATGACCAAAAGTGAAAGGCAGATATAGTAAATATGTGAATCAGAATATGTGAAAGACCATCAATTGTTATACATCTATAGAGAAATGGAAGAAGAGGTTTGTTAAAATTTGTTCATATTCACTAAGTCAACATTAATAAGAATAGATTCTTGACCAATAAATATAACACATCTATCATCCTAGATTGGCAGTGTAAAGCTTCTGGGCTACCTTAAAAGAGTCCGTGTCTTATAAATCTGTTAAAATAAATAACATATAAGTTTAAAATATCTTAACCTAGGAAATTGTTGATGCCACAAAAATTAACGCATAGTTTAAAAAGAATTTTTTACCTGAAGAATGCAGTTTAATTTTTCTTTTTCAGAAATAATAGTTTATTTGAAAATATGACACACTTGAGAATCACTGTACCAGAATTTCATATACATTTTAAAATTCGTAACAATTAAAATCAACTATTGAAAAGCGTGCATATAGGAGAATAATTATTTTTTACTGATTATACTTTTAAGACTATTAGCTTATATAAAATGTGCTTTTTATGAGAAGTTATAAAGAAGAGATAATATTCAGCCTAGTGAACCAATCACAAGTCTTTCAAAAGAATATAACCCCTATCCCAATAAAAATAGTTTAAGACATTTACTTCTTGATTTAAAAAATACTTAAATGCTTATTTGGCATGAAAGAATAAAGTTCCAACAGTCAAAACGAATAAGGTAAAAACATTATTGAGAATAATATCAAAGCCCTAAATGATCAAAGAAGACAATAAGTATACCATATGATTTTAAGAAATAGAATAAACATGATTACAGATACTGGCAAGTGATTTCAAACCCTTTATTCTATGCATTATGATATAAAAATTTACTCAGGAATATTTTGGAGCTTGTAGCAATGAACACACAAACAGTAATTTTTTTTGAAATATCATTGCCCTGAATTTATTCCATATGGCTCCTGTTGTTATACCATATTTCCTTTACTATCTCTGAAAAGTAAATCTTTACATTTAATCTTCACATTTTGTTATCAATTCTTACACCATAAAAATTATATAATTAATTATCCTCATTGTCTTTCCAACTGATCCACCCTGGTATCCCAGTTGGTCATTATGTATTTCTTTAAATACATAAATAAAGTGTTAGCTCAAGTTGCTAACACTTTATTAGGAATGATTTCATCTCTGCCAATGAGGCATAATGGTCTGCAGTTCTTTTTAAATCTGATATAGTTTTCTAGATTTGATATTACTGTAACACTGGTCTTATGAATTGAGTTGGCAAATGTTCCAACCTACATTATTTTCTGAAAATACAAAGTATATGGTTGGTATTTTTTCTTCCCTAAATATTTGACAATTCACCAGTGAAGCCATCTGGGCCTAGAGTTGTCTTTGAAAGTTTCTTATTGTTGATTCAATTCCTTTTGAGTAATAGAAGGTATTCATATTTCTTCTAGAGTATGTTTGTGTAATTTGTGTGTATGTGTGTGTGTTTTACAGATAGAAGAGGTATTAGTGCAATTTTATTACATGAGGATATTTTCCGTAGTGGTGAAGTCTGGGATTTTGGTGTAATCATCACCCAAATAGTGTACTTTGTACCCATTAGATAATTTCTTATTCTTTCTCCCCTCTCCCACCCTACCACCTTTCAGACTCGCCAGTGTCTATTATGCCACTCTCTATGTCCATGTACACATTATTTAGCTCTCACTTATAACTGAGAACATGTAGTATTTGACTTTTTGTTTCTGAGTTATTTCACTTAAGGTAATTGTCTCCAGTTTCATCAACATTTCTGCAGAAGGCATGATTTCATTTTTTTTATGCCCCTGAGTGGTATTCCGTGGTGTATGTGTGTTTGTGTATGTGTTTATGTATGTGCTATATTACATTTCCTTTTTCCAATAATCCATTGAGGGATATTTAGGTTGAATCCATATTTTTGGTTAAATGTATACCAAGGTATTTTTGTGAATGTGGTTATTGTAAATGGGATTTACGTGTGATTTGGTTTTCAGTGTGATTGTTACTGTTGTATTAAATACTACTGATTTTTATATGTTGATATTGTAACCTGAAACTGTACTGAAGTCATTTGTCAAATCTAGGCGTCTTTTGGAGGAGTCTTTCTCATCAGCAGAGACAATCTGACTTTCTTTTTTCTTTCTTTTTTTTTTTTTTACAAAGCAACATTTTATTTCTGATTTAAAAAAAAAAGTCAAATTTTACAGATAAAATGTAGAAC
Organism: Homo sapiens; assembly: GCF_000001405.40. Lineage (NCBI taxonomy): Eukaryota > Metazoa > Chordata > Mammalia > Primates > Hominidae > Homo > Homo sapiens. Next base: position 43,300,844 of record NC_000014.9, on the reverse strand, counting down.
CCTGAAATACTGACACATTCTCTTATTGTGCACAATGCTGAGGTTCTCTTACGATTCACTTTTAAACTGCAATTAAAAATGTACAAAAAAGAAAAGAAAAAAAAATCAACCCACAAAGCTTCTAAAAAAGGAACCCGCAGGCAATTCCTCTTGAGGAATGTTTAAAAAGTTAGCTTACTAAAGAAAACAGTCGACTTCTTGTGAAGGTTTTGGAGTAATATGTATCAATTCGTTTTATTTGGGTATTCAATAATATCCTTGGGGATAATGCTGACTCCATGGCTTCCGACCCCAGAATTGACCCTGCTGCCACTGGTTGTAGCCCTGAGATTGATTTTTGTAGCCACGATTGTTTCCTCGTCCTCTGAAGTTCTGGCTGTAGTTCCCTCTGTTGGGCATTCCACCTCTGTTGTAGTTCCCTCTGTTTGAATAACTACCACAGCCAGGAAAAACAGGGGCACGAGGGTATGGATAGCCGATTCCACCACTTCCGCCGCCACCACCACCTCTCTGTGGCATGTTGTCCCTCCTATTATATCCGCCACGGTTCCCAGGGGCTCCTCTGAAATTTCCACCATGGAGGATTCAATTTGACTTTCTTTTGTCCAATTTGGATGGCTTTAATTTCTTCTCTTGCCTGATTGCTCTGGCTAGGACTACCAATACTACGTTGAACAAGAGTAAAAAAATTGGGCGTCCTTGTCTTGATACATTACTTGAAGGAATACTTTCAACTTTCCATTGTTACATATGATGTTGGCTGTGAGCTCATCATATATGACTCCTATGATTTTGAGATGTTCCTTTCATGCTTTGTTGATAGTTTTTATCATGAAGAAATGTTAAATTTTATGAAATTTTTTTTCTGTATTTATTGAGATAATCATATTGTTTTGTTTTTAATTATGCTTATTTGGTGAATCACATTTATTGATTTGTGTATGGGGAACTCTCCTTGCCTCTCTAGAATAAAACTCTCTGGATCATGGTGAATTACCTTATCAATCTGCTGTTATAATCAGTTTGCTGGTATTTTGTTGAGGATTTTGCATCTTTGTTAATCAAGAATATTTGTAATTTTCTTTTTGTTTCATTTTGCCTGGCTTTTGTATCAGGGTGATGCTGGCATTTTAGAGTGCGTCAGGGAGAATTCCCTCCCCTTGATTTTTGTCGGATAGTTTCAACAGGATCGATACTAGCTCTTCTTTTTATGTTTGGTAGAATTATCCTGTGAGTTCATCCAGTTCTCGGCTTATTTTTTGTTGAGATATTTTTATTACTTATTCAATATCACTTCTCATTACTGTCTGTTCAGGATTTTGATTTCTTCTTGGTTGACTCTTGGGAGCTTTTATGTTTCCAGTAATTTATACATTTCCTCAAGCTTTTCTAGTTTGTAAGTGTGGAGATGCTCATAGTAGTGTCTTATAATCTTTTATATTTTTGTGGTATCATTTGAAATGTCTCGGTTTTTATTTCTTCTTGGGCTTATTTGGATCTTCCCTCTTCTCAGTTATTCTAGCTCGTGGTATATCACTTTTATTTATCTTTTCAAAAAACCAACAGTTCGTTTCACTGATCCTTCATATCCTTTTCTTTTGCGGGAGGGAGGTCACAATTTTATTTAAGTCTAGTCTGATCTTTGTTATTTCTCTTCTGCTAGCTTTGGAATTGATTTCCCATTAGATAATTTCTTCTTTTTCAAATTTCTTGAGGTGCAACATTATGTTGCTAATTTATAATCTTTTTTTATATAGGCACTTAACAGTATAAATTTCCCTCTGTATACCACAGGTTTTGATATGTTGTTTTACCTTTTTAATTGTCTCAAACATTTATTTTTAAATTTCTATTTTAAATTAATTGATCCAAAGATCATTCAGGAGGAGATTGCTTAATTTCCATGTACTTGTATAGTTTTAAAGAAAGTTTTGACTGCATTTTGACTGAAACCCATCATATGAGGTCAGCTGTGAAATTTTTCACTTGTGGCATGACATTAGCACTGAAAAAGGTTCTATTTTGGAGTATTTCAGATTTATGATTTTCTGATTATGGATGGCCAATCTGTATTGCTCATCCCAGAAGACAGTATTTTAATCTTCACTTTAATAAGTTATGTGTTTTAAAAGCAATTAAGACAGCAGTAAGGAAATAATTTTTTTAAATTTACCTAGATATTTACAATGTCTGATACTCTTTTATTCTTATGTAAGAATTTACATTTTTATTTAGTGTTATTTCCATGTAGCCTGAAAAAATGCTTTTAGCATTTCCCACAATAAAAGTTCTCTATCAGAAAGTTCTGTTAGTTCTTCATTTAAAATGTTGTATGTCTATATTCTTGAATTATTAAAAAAAATTTAACTGAAATTTATAAATGTTTGGTAAGATAACATTTTTAAAAACATTTTAAAACATCTTAGTCATTTTTAAATGTATGATTCCACTAATTGAGTATAGAATTTTGGATCAACTTTTTTTTTTTCTCTTTCGGCATTATAAATGTGTTGCCACACTTTGTTTCTGGCCTCCATGGTTTCTGCCAAAAATCAACTTATCATTCAGATGGTAATTTAACTGGAATGTTAATATGTTATTTTTCACATGTTCCTTTTAAAATTTATTCTTACTTTTAGATTTCCACAGTGTATTATAATGTATTTCAGGGTGGGCCTCTTTGGTCTTATTCTGATTGATGTTTAGTACTTTGTATTATTTCATTTCTTTTTTATGAAGTCTGGAGAACTGTGAGTCATTATTTCTTCTAATTTTTTCTTTTTATTTTTCATTCTTTATTTTCTGTCTTCCTGAGATTCTAATCACACTGATTTTAGGCCACATATTATCTAACAATTCTCTGTGTCTCTGTTCATTTTTTTCAGTCTTTTCTCTTTTTATTCTTCACTGTGGACAATTTCTAATTATCTGTCTTCAAGTTCGTTTTCTCTCTCTCTCTTTTTTTTTTCTTGTCTTCTCCTTGGATGTTATCCAGATAGTGTTTACATTTGTTTTTAAATTTGAAATATTTTTCAGTTCTAGAATTTTCACTTGATTCCTTTAAATCTTTTCTGTTCCATGACTAAAATTTCTTATTCATTGTGGAATCTTATTCATTGCGCATCACTTTTAAATTAATTAGAGTTACTAAAATAATACTTAAAATTTTTTTAATACTTTAAAATTTTTGAATGCCACTTCTAACACCTAGTTTATTTCTGATTAAACCAAGCTTTTGTCTTTAATCTACGACATGCATTCCATTTTCTTCATTTTTTGTACTGAGTAAATCAGATTGATTCCTGAACATTATAAGTGCAAATGATTCCTGAATTCATCGTTCATGCGTCAGTCAGAAATGTTGGGGGTATTCCTTCTCTGAATTCCAAGATTTCCTGACTTTCTTCAGCATGCTCAGTTTCTTCAGTACTCTTTTCCTCTTTTCTTTTCTTTTTGTCTGTGTGTGTGTGTGTGTGTGTGTTTTGTTTTTTGATTCCTAGAGTAGAATTACTTTTTTTTTTTTGATTTATTGTCACCCGAATTGCCTAATGCACACAGTATACCAATTGTCCTTAGCCCAAGGCTAAAAGACAAAAAAATTCATATTTTACAGCCCCTTTTTGCTTCCTCCAGTGTGTACCTCCAATGACTGTGTGTCTGTTTCTACTTTGTTTACTCTTCAGTGCCTCTAGGAGGTTTTTTCATTCTGTTCAACATTTATTATCATTTTACTGGAGGACATTTTCTAGCAGTCTTAGTTTCCCAATAACAGAGTATAAATCTAACTGAGTATGGTAAAATCAGAACTTCTTTAATGTAATAAGTTAGATTCATTTGAAAACATCTGTAATTTTTAAAATTTTGTAAATTGTCATACACGTGTAAAATTATATAAAGGTACTTAATGCTATAGAGTAGTATCATAAATTTAATTTTAATAATTTTCTTTCAGCCACACTCCTTAATTTTAAAATGCTAAACTTTATTTCAAGTTGAACTGTCATTATAAAACTAGTATGTAAAATGTTTTTAAAAATTATAATTTTTTATATTGAGGAAGATTAAATACTCCCACCTACATATGAATGAAGTGCAAATGTTTAGTATTAACACTTAAGAACATTCACTAAAAACTTCAAAAATAAATGTCCTGAAGGCTATATTATTGAAAAAGTGATTGTACCTTCTATGTTTTCTTGTCCTTTGATTGGGGCTTGAAACTACTTCTATCTCAATCTTTTTTATAACCTTTTATTTATGATTTCTTTTTTTATTATTATTATACTTTAAGTTTTAGGGTACATGTGCACAACTTGCAGGTTTGTTACTTATGTATACATGTGCCATGTTGGTGTGCTGCACCCATTAACTCGTCATTTAGCATTAGGTATATCTCCTAATGCTATCCCTCCCCTCTTCCCCCACCCCACAACAGTCCCCGGTGTGTGATGTTCCCCTTCCTGTGTCCATGTGTTCTCACTGTTCAATTCCCACCTATGAGTGAGAACATGCAGTGTTCAGTTTTTTGTCCCTGCGATAGTTTGCTGAGAATGATGGTTTCCAGCTTCATCTATGTCCCTACAGAGGACATGAACTCATCCTTTTTTATGGCTGCATAGTATTCCATGGTGTATATGTGCCACATTTTCTTAATCCAGTCCATCATTGTTGGACATTTGGGTTGGTTCCAAGTCTTTGCTATTGTGAATAGTGCCGCAGTAAACATACGTGTGCATGTGTCTTTATAGCAGCATGATTTATAATCCTTTGGGTATATACCCAGTAATGGGATGGCTGGGTCAAACGGTATTTCTAGTTCTAGATCCCTGAGGAATCGCCACACTGACTTGCACAATGGTTGAACTAGTTTACAGTCCCACCAACAGTGTAAAAGTGTTCCTATTTCTCCACATCCTCTCCAGCACCTGTTGTTTCCTGACTTTTTAATGATTGCCATTCTAACTGGTGTGAGATGGTATCTCATTGTGGTTTTGATTTGCATTTCTCTGATGGCCAGTGATGATGAGCATTTTTTATGTGTCTTTTGGCTGCATAAATGTCTTCTTTTGAGAAGTGTCTGTTCATATCCTTTGCCCACTTTTTGATGGGGTTGTTTGTTTTTTTCTTGTAAATTTGTTTGAGTTCACTGTAGATTCTGGATATTGGCCCTTTGTCAGATGAGTAGATTGCAAAAATTTTCTCCCATTCTGTAGGTTGCCTGTTCACTCTAGTGGTAGTTTCTTTTGCCATGCAGAAGCTCTTTAGTTTAATTAGATCCCATTTGCCAATTTTGGCTTTTGTTGCCATTGCTTTTGGTGTTTTAGACATGAAGTCCTTGCCCATGCCTATGTTCTGAATGGTATTGCCTAGGTTTTCTTCTAGGGTTTTTATGGTTTAAGGTCTAATATGTAAGTCTTTAATCCATCTTGAATTAATTTTTGTATAAAGTGTAAGGAAGGGATCCAGTTTCAGCTTTCTATATATGGCTAGCCAGTTTTCCCAGCACAATTTATTAAATAGGGAATCTTTTCCCCATTGCTTGTTTTTGTCAGGTTTGTCAAAGATCAGATAGTTGTAGATATGTGGCATTATTTCTTTCCAAAGGGTTTTACCTCATATTATCCATATTAAAAACTTACAGATTATAGGGTCATTACATTGATATTTTTCATTCCTGCTCAAGATTGATGTTGTGAAAATTGGCTTATGTTTTCATACATGAAAATACCAAACATCAATAAAAGTTGTAATTTTTTAAAAAATTAGTATTTTCTTTGGTCAAGCTTCCTACATTTACAATTCTGCTTTTTAATTTGTAAGTATCTTAGTCTTTGCTTTTAATTTTTTTGCAAATAGAAACTCATTATCAGTTTTTATTTTGAATATTGTTTTATTTTAGAAGTGTTTACATTAAGACTGCTATGTTATTAACCAGCCCACTTCATATTAACCTCCTGAGGTAAGAATATTTCTCATTTGTCTTTGTGTATTTTTGCTTTTAACTAAACCTATTTTTTTATTATTTAATTTTTTATTGAGTGTTCACAGGCATACTTTCACATCAGGACATCAAGATTTACTTTATACTTAAGTCCTATAAAGTGTTGCTGAATTTCCCAATGTTTATACTCCTTTATCCATTTTATCACTGATAAAAATCTGGAATAGTTTCAGTTTTCGTTTCTAAAAATACAAATACTTTATTGACCGTCCGTTACAAAATCTGAAGCATTTTTGTTAACACTGGTGTATGTATAGAATCTCCATGTTACAAAATTATTCTCACCAATTATCAGGAAAATACATTAAAGTTGAACAATTATCTTTTTCTGAAATACTCAACTTCTTTTCCATGTATTAGAAGACCTTGTTTTTGTATTTTTTCTGCTGTTGCCATTTCTCAGTAACTTTTGCTTTTTTCTCCTCATCTATTCTACCAAATATGGGCAAATCCCAGCATTTAGTCTCTAAATGTTTTATTATTTATTGCTTAGTGACCAACTTTTCTCAGTGATGTCTGATACTGAAATCTTTCAGTATTGCTCTAGCTATGTGTTTTTCACTGAACCCAAATCAAAAGTCTCAATTACCTATTTCACATCTTCTCTTGGAAGCCTAATATGTTTTTCAAATTTTAACTCGCACATCTACACTCTACCCTCTAATCCTATCCTCAATATACTCATTCTTTCATCTTCGCTATTTTTCCTTCATGTTCCATAGGTTAAGAGCTTTGAAATTACCACCAATCCTTGTTTTCTTACACAGCAGCCAATCCTGTCAGTATTACAAAACAAACAACAACAATAAAAAATAACTCACAACAAAACAAGAAACAACAACAATAAAAAATCAAGAATCCTATATTTTTAGTAGAAAATTATTTGGGTCTATGCTTTCATAATCACTGAGTTATTGCAATATTCTTATATACAATTTTTCCTTTTCTGCCCTTTCATCCCTGCAGCCAATTGCCTAAACTACCGCTAAAATATATATTTTTTAAACAACTCTTTTAATTCAACTATGTTAAACTAATTTAGCTTAAAGCTGTCTCCATACATAATAAGGACAAACTAACTTGGTATGTAAACAAACTGTTACCTAATTTAAGAGTATATTGTTTGTAACAATCAGAGCAATGGAGATTCAACCTGTCTCAGGCAGCCAATTGATCAGATCATTTCCATACAAGACAAATCCTGAGCTGGAGCTGTAACCAGTGATGCTGTTTCTGTATGTCAGTTTCTTTTTCTGTTGGGTGAAGATCTCTGAACCTCTCCTGGGTGTTTTGTTTGTTTGTTTGCTCGTTTGTTTTTTGACACATTTCACTGTGTTGATCAGGCTAAAGTGCAGTGGTGCAATCTCGGCTCACCACAATCTCCACTTCCCGGGTTCAAGCGATTCTCCTGCCTCATTCTCCTGAGTAGTTCGGACTACAGGTGCACACCACCATGCCTGGCTAATTTTTGTATTATTAATAGAGACAGGGTTTCGCCATGTTGGCCAGGCTGGTTTTGAATTCCTAACCTTAGGGGATCTGCCCACCTCAGCCTCCCAAAGTGCTGGGATTACAGGTGTGAGCTACCCCACCTGGCCCACTCCTGGTTCTAAGTGTGGCCTGACCCATGAATCATTATTTCCTCACATAAACTGCTAAATTTTATTTGTCTAAAATTTTCCTTTTAACCATTACTTCTTCCAATTTCCAATAGCATCTCACTTCAATCAGAAAAAAAAAGCCAAAACCTTACAGTAGTCTCCAAGTTTTATATAATCTAGCTCTCTATGTCTGTACTAATATGATGTAACTTTCCTATTTTCTCACTCTGCACCAATAACACTGATGTGTTCTCTAACCCTTTCACCTTGAGGAATTTGCAATTGTTTTTCTCTCTACCCAGAATAATACCCAACATCTACAGTCAGATATTTATTTAGCTGTCTACATTATTTGTAAATTATATTCTCAGAGATGACTTTCCAGCTCATAGTTTTTAAATTGCAAATATACTTCCTTTGACAAACGGAAACACATATTCACTTGCGTACAAAATCGTTTAATCCACCTCATTTTTCTGAAACATTTATAATAGTCTGGCATAAATTATATTTCACTCATTCGCTTGTATGTATTGAGGGGTAGCACTTTTATTATTTATTTATTTATTTTGAGATGGCGTCTCACTCTGTAGCCCAGCCTGGAGTGCAATGGCTCAATCTAGGCTCACTGCAACCTCTGCCTCCCAGGTTCAGGCAATTCTCCTGCCTCAGACTCTTGAGTAGCTGGGATTACAGGTGCCCACCACCACCCCCAGCTAATGTTTTTGGTATTTTTTTAGTAGAGATGGGGTTTCACCATGTTGGCCAGACTGGTTTCAAACTCCTGACCTTAAGTGATCCGCCTGCCTAGGCCTCCTGAAGTGCTGGGATTACAGATGTGAGCCACCGCACCCGAACCTTGGAACATCTTTTTAAAGTCAGATTTATGGAGGCATAAATTGCATACTTTGTATCTGTACTGTACACTGATTTTTGATGAGGTACATAATCATGTAACAATCATCACCACTGTCCAACATTTGGATAATTTCAAAACTTCCCTTTTGGAACTATTAACTCACACCAAGCTCCTAACAGCCACTTTTTGGAAGTATTTGTATACATTTGTCTTTCAATGAATGGAATTCAATAGAATAATTCAGCATTTAGACTTCTTGTTTCTGTACCTTTTCGTTTAGATTAACAAATGTTCTTGCTCATATATATAGTTCATTTGATTTTGTTGCAGAAAACAATTTCATCACAGAGATACATCACAATATATTTATCAGTTGAACATTTGGGCTGATACCACTTTTGTAAATAAAACTCCTATAATCTTTCTTGTACAGATCTTCATGTGACAAACAATTTCTATTTTTAATTAATAAATATCTAGGAGTGAGATGACTAAGGCCAATGGGAAATATAGGTTTAACTTAGTAAAAAACTGCCAAAATACCTTTTAAAGTGGCCCTACAATTTTGCATCCCACCATATACATATAGAAATTTTAGTTGCTTCATAATTATCCCTATACTTGATAATTTTCATAACTTAAAGTGTAGCTATCTGGGAGAAGAATGTACCTGTATTTCCCTATGATTTAAATTTGTCTTTTCCTAAAGATGAAATTTTTGAGCATTTTTATATGCTAATTTACCATCCTTGTTTTGTAGTAAATTTCCTGTTTCAATCTTTCACCCACTTATTGATTTTTATGTTTGAATTAGCATTCAAAATATATTCATATAATCTATATATAATTAATGGAAGTATAATTTCCATACAATAAATTTAACTGTATATAAAAGTATACAGTTTTATGACCTTTCACAGATCTATAAAGTCATGTATCCACCACTATGTTTAACTTGTAGATTATGTCCTACAAAAATATCCCCATTCCATTTTGCAATCTGTTCCCTTTTCCCAGCTCTAGTCTCTGGCAACAACTAATCTTATTTATCTTTGTAAAGTTTGCTTTTAGAGAATATTATAAAATGGTATACAAATGAGGTTATATTGGCTTTTCTAGCCATTATATTTTACTCAGCATAAAGCTTTGAGATTTATATTTTTGTACATATGAATAATCCTTTCATTTTTATTGTTGGTATGAAGGTAACATAGCTTTTAGCCTATTAGCCAATTAATAGATATTTGGTTTTTGTTTTTATTATCATTTAGAAACTTGTGATAAACACTGACTAAGGTATTTGTGAGAAAATGTGCTTTCAATTCTCTTGGGTAAACATCTAGATGGGGGATTGTTGGGTCATATGATAAGCATGTATACATTTTTACAAGAAATTTATAATTTGTTGTACAAAATGGCTATACCATTTAGCCTTCCCACCAACAAAAAATGCAGGTTTTTAATGCTTTTCATCCTGTTGATATTGCCAAATTTTTTTGTTTGTTAAATATTTCTTGTTTTTAGCCATTCTGATTAGCATTATTAATCACAAAGTAATGTAGTCTGCATTTTCTGTTGTTGCTATTTTTTGGTTTTTGGTTTTTTTTTTTTTTTTGAGACTCACTTTCTTGCCCAGGCTGAAGTGCAATGGAGCAATCTTAGCTCATTGCAAACTCTGCCTTTTGGGTTCAAGGGATTCTCCCACCTCAGCCACCAGAGTAGCTGGGATTACAGACGTGTGCCACAGCACCCGGCTAATCTTGTAATTTTAGTAGAGACAGGGTTTCACTATGTTGGCTAGGCTGGTCTTGAACTCCTGACCAGGTGATACACCTGCCTTGGCCTCCTAAAGTTCTGGGATTACAGGCGTGAGCCACTGCACCCAGCCTGTAGTCTGTATTTTTAATGACTAGGGAAGTTTAGCTTATTTTTATGTTTTATTTGCTATCCATAGCTTTTTTTCAGTGAAGCGTCTGTTTAAATTATTGATTCCTATTTTTATTATCACCTCATTATTAACTTATATACTCTGTCTTTATATATTTGCAACACAGTTTTTTAGAATATATTTGTTTTGCAAATATTTTTACTAAATCTAGGCATATATTTTCATTTTTATAAAAATCTTTCAAATAACAATTTAACTTTTAATGAAGTCTAACTTATCATAATTTCCCCTTATTATTTGTAGTTTTGGCTCCTTTCTAAAAACAATGCATGTGTAACTCAAGATCACAAAGATTGCTAAATGGAAACGTTTCTATAAGTTTTATAGTTTTATACTTTTGTTTTACATTTGTGCTCCTGACTCTTTCAAGTTAATTTATTATGTGGTCAAAAATAAGGTCTTACATACTTTTTATGTAGATGTCCAATTTTTTCTATGTTGTTTTTTAAGAACATTATCCTTATACATCAAATTGCTTTGGCATCATTGTTGAACATCAATGAGTCATATATGTTATGTGTGAATCCATTTCCGGCACCCGATTGGTTTCTTTGACCTGTCTATTCTTATGCTAATATCGTGCTCTATTGATTATTATACCTTTACAGTAACTCTTGAAGTTTGCTGGTGAAACCAAGATAGGTAAGATAAACAGAAAACAAATGGTAAAAAGGTAGATATAAGCCTAATGTATCAATAAATATATTAAATATAAATAGACTAAATAAGCTAATATGTGCAAAAGTATCTGATAAAAGTTTAAAAACTATATTATTTATAATGGACAAACTGTTCAAACACATAGACACAAAAAGATTAAGAATACAAGGGTAAAAAAAGTTGTGTCAGAAAAAAAAGAGGCTAAAATAGTGTTGATATATTTGTATCAGGTAAGGTAAACTTTAAGGTAAGAAAATTTAATACAAATAGATAACATGTTATGATAAAATGGTCTACCTACCGCCAAGGTATAACATTTTTAAATATTCAGACACCAGTATCAATCACTTATGGCTTCAGTAATATTGTGAAACAAGCAAAAACGTAGTGGCACAAAGCAAAATAAAACACTAATGATTTCTTTCAACTCCATGGATTGGCTGGTGGTTATGAGTACTTCGCTGGGTCAACTCATCTCTAGTGGGCTTACTAATGTATTTGTGGTAAAGTTGAGGGGTTCTAATGGTATAGAGTGGACTCTGCTGAGTCAACTCAGCTCTTGTCCATGCATCTCTAACATCCCTCCAGCATGCTAGTTAATGTATATGGTCATGGTTGTTTCAGGGGACCAAATGAGGAAGAAAAAAAGCACAACATTTTTAAGCTCCTGCTTATGTCATGTTTGCTAAATACCCATTGGGTAAGTGATGGCCAAGCCAAGAGTCACTGTGGGAGAGCACTACAGAATTGTGAGGATACAGAGAAGTCTGAAAATATGGGGTCATGAGTGTAATCTACCAAAGCATTTAGTGACATAGCTTAACTTTAACACACAACTTTAATACCTGTGGAGAAGAAAGTAAGGAATATACCATACAAAATGCAGATAGCTTTTTAAATTCTGTAATAAAGCATAATTGAAAGGAACAGAGAACATTCTTCACAAGTTCTTCATACTGTAAAAGAGTATAATATAAGTATTAATTTGACAATATTCTGTAATACACAAAATATGCTAAAATGGTTAGGTAGCAAAGAGATTGAAAATAAAATGGTAATAAATATATTATTATGTTCAAATTCAAAGTGTTTTTGAAACAGGTAAACATAATATAACACACTGGATATTTTTATCCACCCAGGATTACATTGAAATCCTAACTCCACAATATGATGATATTAGGAGGTGGGATTTTAGGAAGTAATTAGGTCATAAAAGTGGAGCCTTCATGAATGAGATTAGTAACCTTATAAAAAATATTCTGGGCCGGGCGCGGTGGCTCACACCTGTACTTTGGGAGGCCAAGGAGGGCGGATCACGAGGTCAGGAGATCGACACCATCCTGGCTAACAAGGTGAAACCCCATCTCTACTAAAAATAAGAAAAGAAATTAGCCGGGGGTCGTCGCAGGCGCCTGTAGTCCCAGGGAGGCTGAGGCAGGAGAATGGCGTGAACCCGGGAGGCGGAGCTTGCAGTGAGCTGAGATCGTGCCACTGCATTGCAGCCTGGGCGACAGAGGGAGACTCCATCTCAAAACAAAAACAAAAACAAAAAAATTCTGAAGAGCTCTGTCTTGCTCTGCCTTTCAACCATGTGAGGATACAAAATGTTGGCAGTCTGTAACATGGAAGAGGCCCTAACCAGAACTCTACCATGCTGGCACCTTGATCTCAGACTTCCATCCTCCAAAACAATGAGAAGTAGATTTCTGTTGTTTATAAGCCACAATGTCTATGTTAATTTTTTATAGCAGCTGAACTGACTGAAGTGCAGTCTAAATAAGCGCATGCTCACATAAAAAAAAGCAGAGTCAAAATACATAAACAGAAATAGAGATAAATACATTTAACATCAATGAGATATATTGGAAAGTCAGTGTCTGATTATTTTCATAGTATTGAGCAGAAAAAACAAATAGTTTGCTCACAATTAACAGAACACAAATAAAACAGATCAAGAAAGGATTGTACAAATAACAAAATAACCCAGAATCCATCCATTCTATTAATTATAAACACATGGCAATACAAAGAGATTATTTACAAGCTTAATTTAGGCATGGGGTTAGCAACATTCTGATACTTTCCATCGGTGCAACAGATAGTCCCTAAGAAAAAACTGGGTGACAACATGGGTGGTAAAAATAAATGAAGAAAAAAGGACTTTTAAGGAGGAAATAAATAGCTTTTACCACTGCACCCTATTACCCTATTCAAAGGACTAACAGTTCAGAATCTGGCTGCAGATAAAACAGGTAAAGGGAAGCACAATTTACTTATGGTGAATCTTCTCCAGTGGAAATCAGAAATCCCTATTCCTAAGTGGGAATAGAAAAAAATCTGGCAGGTGCTCTGTGATTCATATTGCTTTACATTCCCAGTCATCTTTATTCTACCCTGGATTAGCTAAAAATCATAAATATATTGGCCCCAAAATGGAAGTTTCCTACTGCTTGTACTAAACAAACATGTTATGTAATAGAGAAATTAAAACCATATTCATTTACAATTGTTTCTATAATTTTAGTATAAATAATGTACAATGGAGGATTGAAGAGCTTCCTGAATCTGTCTGGAGAGGTCATGTAAACTTCCAAGGAGATATCAATATTGATATGAGATATAAAAATAAGAATGTACTTTAACTTCAGACAAGTAGCGTCTGCATAATTCGGATAGTGGAAGTATCAAGTTCAGGGCACAGAATCTACAGATATGGAATATTTTGTTTGTTACAAATGCTTAATTATTATAGGAATACATAAGGCAAAGAGGCTATAAGCAACAAAAATGTGATTAGAAGTCAGCAAAGACTTCCTATACTTCACTTTCCCCATTTGTAAATATGAGAAAATAACATTACTTCCTCATAGTGTTCAGTGTTAAACCTTAAATGAAGTAATATTTATAAGTTAAAACAGTATGTAAAAAATGTTGATAGGCATTTTTTTGTTAATAAAATCAGAATAATTTTAAAACCATATTCTATAAAGGATGCATGTTTCATGTAGTCAATAAATCTAGCATTTCTGTTCAGGAGAGTAATAAGTTGAGATTTGTTGTATATTAGGCAGTTTTACACTGATAGTTGCCTAGAATTCAACATTTCTTCTTTTCTCATCTGTGTACATTTTGTTCGTCATTAAATAATGCCACTTAAATTGCAAAAATTATGAACAGTTTAAATTCATCATAATTTCTAGTGTGAGGAAAATGCATTCCAGTGCATAATACTAAAAGTACAATAGGAGAGTAATATACGTAATTAAAATTAAATAATAATGTATGTACTAATTTTTAAATGTTTTAACATTAGAATATATTAAAATTAATGTATTTTTTCTCTAAGAATATCTCATTGTTTAAGATATGCCGTGAACCGTTAGTGACATATATTGTACATTGATCCACTAGATTAAGTTAGCATGCAAAATAAATATGTATATAAAACACTATTTAAAACAGTAACTATGGTGAAATTACAGTTTTGTAGCCCTTCAAAATCTTGCTCTTTCCTACTGACTAAAGTAGTATCGTGTGTGTGTGTGTGTGTGTGTAAAAATGAATAAATGAATTAATGTATGAATTAACGAATTGTCTTGAAAGTTCCTAGTTTTTTAAAGGGATTTTTGGTCATGTTATTGATTCAATGTAGAATGAGTTTGCTTTTCTTAAAAAAAAAAAGTGAATTGCTGAAGATTAAATTTCATTGGTCAATACCAGTTACCAGCTAATGTAATGAATCATCTTCTTTAAATATATCATAAAGATAAAATAGACGTCAATAAAGCCTTTCTATTAATCAAGAATCATTTTATTTTTTCTATAAGATTAACTTTTATTTTCTAAAAAGAATAGAAAAGATTTTGCATCAGCATTTGGTTGTTTGGAGCCTCTGGGGAAGTAGCCATATTATTCCTGAGTACTAGTTTGGAAATAGAAAAAGACTATTTTTTTGGATCCTGTTAAAATGTAGAGAGCTTAAATGTAAGAAGTGCAGAATATTTAATGCATATGATAAACTCCTCTTTGACACAAAATTAAAGAGTAGAAAAATATATTTTAATGAAATTGGCTCTTGTTGCCATCTGTTTTTCAAACTACTTTAAAATACACTGTTCAAGATCATATTACAAATTGCAGTGCAAGTAATTTGCACTTAATTTTCTTCTTTATTTCTCCATGCTTTACACATTATCTAAAGTAAAATAGATTCTAATTTCAAATATGAACTCCCAAATTTATTTTCTGTTATATATTTAAAAAGTATAATATATACTCACTTATTTTATTTACTTCCAACTCACTTTGATGCAAATATGGTTTCTTTAAATGTTTGATATCTATGAATCTCTGGGAACTTGATCTATTTACTTGAATTTAATAATATATCCTAAAGCTTGCTGATTAACAAAATAAAATCAGTAGGATATGGATAGTTTGTTCCAACTTCTCTATATCATTTTCAACCCCCTTTTATATTATCTCCTAACTGTGATAATGTTTTCAATCCCCTCCTTCGATTTCATGACTCTCCCAACCCTTTTTTTGCAGCCCAAAATTCTACACACCAATATACATGGTTCTAGTATACACATGCTCTGAGCTTTTCCAATAGCTGAATCTGGTTAAATTAAAAGCAATACAAACACTTTTTTTAGTACTATCTGAACATTTATTTAATATAATTTTCTGGAAACTCTAGGGTTATGGCACTACTCTGTGGAAACCAGATCTTTCTCATCAAAATAATACTTCGCTAAGGAAAAATAAATAGCCTTCCACAACATAATTGACAGGGAGAGGGACAAAGATTATAGTGCAGGGCACAGAAAAAGAGAAAAAAAGGGAGAGAGTTCTGCAAAATGACATTAAAAACAATGAGGAAAAACAAACCACTATACGAATTACAGGAAAATGATGAATAGTTTAAGAAAGGGCAACAACTGATCTGTTTTTATTTGAATAAATAGGTTTGGTTATGCGTACACAATTTTTATACATCACAGAGATGTGATAATTACATATAATTCCTTTACGTTGTTTTACATTTATGGATAATTCCTATTACTATTATGGGTATAATTCTTTCTAATATAGAAAATGTTATGTGATTTCTTCCTCAATTTTTATCATTCTATTGATTTTTTAAAATTATAGACAACTTAAAAACACGTTTTAGTGGCCTTTATTGTATGCATACATGTTATATTTATACCTTCATAATCTTATACGTAAGAAGTATGACTATAAAAAAGGGAAAAAGTTGCTTCAATTTATTTTTACCTTGGAATTCCAATAGAAATATGAGAATTTACCTTAGTTTAGAATCTATCTCCTAGAATCCACTCAGATAAAATAAAAGAATGGGAAGAGACTACATATTTTTTAATGAAACAAAAAATTAAATATAAAATAAAAAAAATCAAACTGTTATAAACCCCAAATAGCTGCTGTGTAAGAACAGCAGTAGCTTGAAATAGCAGAGTATATATGCAGCCACTAGAGAAAATTATAGTGGGAAGAATAGAGAAGAATGGTGACTTGAGATACATCCTGTATGAGTTAGATGTCTTTTTCTCCATCCCTGTCCATAGGGCCACCAGAAGCAATTTGCCTTCAGCTGTCAAACTCAGCAATACACCTTTACTGTTCTAAATCAGTGGTATGTTAACTCTTCAGCTCTAAGTCATAATCTTGTTTGCAGAAATTTTGATCGCTTTTTCCTTCTGTAAGATATCACAATGGTCCGTTACATTGGTGACATTATGGTGATTGGACCTAGTAAGCAAGAAGTAGCAACCACACTGGACTTATTGGTGAGACAGTCACATGTCAGGGAATGGGAAATAAATCTGACTAAAATTCAGGGGCCTTCTACCTCAGTGAAATTTCTAGAGGTCTGGTGGTATAGGGCCTGTCAAGATATTCCTTTTAAGGTGAATAATAAGTTATTGCATCTGGCCACTCCTACAACCAAGAAAGAAACACAATGCCTAGTGGGCCCATTTGGATTTTGAGGACATCACATTCCTCATTTGTGTGTGTTGCTCTGGCCTATTTATTGAGTGACTCAAAAGGCTGCTAGTTGTGAGTGCAGGAGAAGACTCTGCAACAGGTCTAGGCTGCTGTGCAAGCTGCGCTGCCACTTGGGCCACATAACCCAGCAGATCCAGTCATGATTGAGGTGTCAGTGGTAAATAGGGATGCTGTCTGGAGCCTTTGGCAGGTCCCCATAGGTGAATCACAGTGGAGACCCCTAGGATTTTGGAGCAATGCCCTACCATCTTCTGCAGATAACTATTCTCCTTTGGAAAGACAGCTCTTGGCCTGCTACTGGGCCATTGTAGAAACTGAACATTTGACTATGGGTCACCAAGTTACCAAGCAATCTAAACCGCCTTTTATGAACTGGGTGCTTTCTGACCCACCTACCAATAAAATTGGGCATGCACAGAAACATTCCATCATTAAATGGAAGTGGTATATATGTGATCAGGCTTGAGGAGGTGCTGAAGGTACAAGTTACATAAGGAAGTGGCCCAAATGCCCATGGTCCTCATTCCTGCTACCCTGCCTTTTTTCTCTCAGCCTGTTCCTATGGCCTCTTTGGGAGTTCCCTATTATTAGTTGACAGAGGAAGAGAAGACTAGGGCCTGTTTTACAGATGGTTCTGTAAGACATGCAGGCACCACCTGAAAGTGGACAGCTGTAGCACTATGGTTCCTTTCTGGGACATTCCTGGAGGACAGTGGTGAAGATAAATCTTCCCAGAGGGCAGAACGTCAAGCACTGCACCTTGTTATGCACTTTGCCTGGAAGGAGAAATGGCCAGAAGTATGATTATATACCAGTTCGTGAGCTATAGCCAATGGTTTGGCTGAATGTTCACGTACTTGGAAGGAGCATGATTGAAAAATTGGTAACAAAGAAATTTGGGGAAGAGGTATGTGAATGAACCTCCCTGAATAGTCAAAAATTGTGAAGATATTTGTGTCTCATGTGAATGCTCACTAAAGGGTGACCTCAGCAGAGGAAGATTTTAGTAATCAAATGGATAAGATAACTCATTCTGTAGACAACACTCAACCTCTTTCTTCAGTCACTTCTGTTATTGCTCAATAGGCTCGTGAGCAAAGTGGCATGGTAGAGGTTATGCATGGGCTTAGCAACATGAAGTTCCACTCACCAAGACTGACCTGGCCATGGCCGCTGCTGAGTGCCCAATCTGCTAGCAGCAGAGACCAACACTGAGACATAGATATGGCACCATTCCTCTGGGTGATCAACCAGCTACCTGGTGGCAGGTTGATTACATTGGACCACTTCCATCATGGAAGGGGCAGCAGTTTATCTTACTGAATAAACACTTCCTCTGGATATAGATGTGCCTTTCCCACATGTAATGCTTTTGCCAAGAGATGCTTACAAAAAGCAAAGGAAATATAGAATGGATAGTAGAAGAAGGTAGTTATCAAATACCAGCTGCAACCATGCAGCTAATTAAAGAAATGAAGATGGTAATTTTTATGAGTATTTCCTCCTTATTTTGTTAAGAATAAATTTGTGCATATACACACCTGTATTAAGTAAATATATTTGTTTTATTACCTTTATTATTATTTATTATGTAACAGATTTATTGACTTCAAATCAGCATTTAAGTATTGTTAATTTTATGTAATCATATTTAGGTTAGTGTATTTTTGGTTGTATGAAGGATAATTTTATTATCTTAGCAGAATTATGACCTTGTTATTGTCTTTATTTGGAGATTGAGTATGATTTAAGAAGATGTGTATGGGTGCCAAGCTGACAAGGGATGGACTTGTGATAGTTAATATTAGATGTCGACTTGACTGGATTGAGGGATGCCTAGATGGCTTGTGAAGCACTGTTTCTGAATGTGTCTGTGAGGGTGTTGCCAGAGGAGACTGGCATTTGAGTCAGAAGACTGGGAGAGGAAGACCCACCCTCAGTATTGGTGGGCGCCATCCAATGGGCTACCAGTATGTTAGAACAAAGCAGGAGGAAGAAGAGGTATAAGCTGGCTTGCTGAGTCTTCTGACTTTCTCTCTCTTTTCATGCCAGATGTTTGCTTGCTCTCCTCCTTCTCATGTTATTTGGCATTTGGACTCTGGGACTTTCACCAGGAGCTTCCCAGGGGCCCTCAGGCCTTTGGCTTCAGACTGAAGGCTGTGCTGTTGGTTTCCCTAATTTGGGGGCTTTTGGACTTGGACTGTGCCATGCTACTGGCTTCTGCTTTTCCCAGCTTGCAAACAGCCTGTTGTGGGACTTCACCTTGTAATCGTGTAAGCCAGTTATCCCTAATAAGCTCCCTTTTATATATACGTATATCCTATTGGTCCTTTCCCTCTGGAGAACCCTGACTAATGCAAACCACACGTAGCTGGTGTTTAAGAACAGCAGTAGCTTAAAACAGCAGAATTATACATGCAGACACTGTAGAAAATTTTAGTAGGAAGAACAGAGAATGGTGACTTAGATTAGAGTTATGATTAGATTTAGATAACTAATTAAATCTGATTAAAATGATTAAAACTGATTAAATGATTAGAGTTAGGTAACTAAAATACCCAGCAAACACACCTTCCCAGAAGTCTCAACCTATAGTGGAAGTTACTTTGATCAGATATACAACTAAACTGCATGCAGGCACCTGGGAGGATTGAGAAAGAAGGGATACAAGTTACTGTGGAGTGTGCAGAGATGGTTAAACTCAAGAATATTAGTAAAATGCACTTTCTAAAAGTGAGAGGATCATTTTAGAGGCTAGAAATTGGTAGGGGCTAGTAAAGCAAAGATATAGTCTCAAAAAAAAAAAAAGGCGGAAACAAAGAAAGTACCAAGTAAACGGCACAAGTGGAAGAAAATTTAACCAAAAATTTCATGATGAAATTAAAACCAGCAAACTCAATGAAGAGAGCCCAGCAAACACACAGGAATTCAAAGACACGGCCAAACAAGTGAGGGTGCCACACATAGGAAATAGCAGACGTTAGAAATGAGCACTAGATTAGAAGGCACACAGAGCAAATAGACACCAGACAAAGCACAATAAGAGGCAGAGAGGATAGAAATGGGAAAAAGAAAGAAAATAAGGCAAAATTAAGGAGACACTTCAAAATCATTTAAAATGCTAGAGGACTCCGGCATAGAAAATGTATTGTAATCATAGTCGGAATCCCTAAAAAATAAAATCAAAGATACAGACACCTTGTTTTGTTCTTGGTCAGGTTTTTGGAATCTATTTGAAGCAAAATCTGCCCATTTTAAAAAATATAATCTGAGCTTTAACAAGCATATACGGTTTTTAAACTTATACTAACAACATAATTTATACAAGTTCCGTCACCCATGATTAACTCATGACCCCCTGGTGTCAATATCCTCCCCAATTCCTGGTTTCTGGCGAACACTCATCTATTTTTAGTCCCTATAAATTTGCCTGTTTCAGAGGTCATATAAATAGAACTTTATAGCGTGTGGTTTTTAGAATCTGGATTCTTTCACTTAGCATAATGCTTTGAAATTCGTCTATGCTGGATGCATGTATTTGTAGTTCATTTTTTTAATTGCTAATTAGAGCTCCATTGTAAGGCTGTATCATTGTTTATCCACTCACTAGATGAAGAATATTTGGGTTATTTTCTGTTTTAATTATGTACAAAACCTCTATCATCATTAGTATACATGTTTTTCTGTTAACGTAAGTTTTCATTTTTCTTCAAGAAATAGGTATTTCTTGAGTGAGATGGGTGATAACATTTAACTTAGCAAAAGAGAAAAAAACTGATAGCCAGGATATATAAAGAACCCCCACAAATCAGTGTAAGTAAAAAAGGCAAAATTTTAATTAGGCAAATAATATGACTAGATTTTTTAGCAAAGAATGTATGTGTGTATGTATATACGTATACATACATATATAATAAACACATATGGGTGCTCAACATCATTAGTTGTTAAAGAAATGCAAAGTAAAACAAAATGCCACTATGCACATCTATTAGAATATATAAAATTTAAAAGACTGAGAATATTAAAAGCTTATAAGGATGTAAGCAATGTGAACTCCCATCAACTGTTGCTTGAAATGCAAAATGGCACCGTCCCTTCAGAAAAGTTTGGCAGTTTCTTCTAAAACATAAACTTATTATATATTTATTGTGATTCAGTTGGTTGCACAACCATATAATTTAGAAATTTAAAGAAGGCATCATTTATTATATAACTAAATACGATAAAATTATGAGAAATAAATCTGACAAAATTGCAAAATCTACATTGATGTGATAAATATATAAAGACTTATGCAATTTTTATGGTTAGAAACTCTTATAAAGTTGTCAGTTTCTCCCAAGTTGATCTGTAGTTTCTGTGGAACTCTTACTAGTATACCTAAAGAAGTTTTCTAGGCCGTAGAATCTGAAATTTAAATTTGACTCAAGATAAGCTAAAATGCATCTGAGGAAGTGCAATAGTTTGGAGATATTGCCCTATTACAGATCAAGACTCACTAAAACATTGTAGAATTGCAAACAATGTGGAATCACACAGAGAAGACAGATGTATCAATTTAACAGAATAGAGAAGCAAACATATATTTACACTTATCAAAGTTTTATTTATGGCAAATATTGTATTACAATTCACTAGGCAAAGAGTTGAATATTCCTGAAAATAGTACTGGGATAATTAGGTGACCATATAGAAGATCTTGCCTGAAAACTAAACAAAAACAAATCTGTTTAGACTGATTAAAAAATTAAAATTGGCTGGGCATGGTGGCTCGGCTTGTAATCCCAGCACTTTGGGAGGCTGAGGCGGGCAGATCATCTGAGGTCATGAATTTGAGACCACCCAGGCCAATATGGTGAAACCTCATCTCTACTAAAAATACAAAAAATTAGCCAGGCATGGTGGTGGGTGCCTGTAATCCCAGCTACTTGGGAGGCTCAGGCAGGAGAATTGCTTGAACCTGAGAAGTGGAGGTTGCAGTTAGCCGAGATCATGCCATTACACTCCAGCCTGGACAATAAGAGCGAAACTCTGTCTCAAAAAAAATAAATTAAATTAAATTAAAATTAAAAGTCAAAAATATAAAGCTCTTAATAGAGTATAAGGGACAATAAACTTATTAACTGTAGGTTGGAACAATTATTCAAGTAAGAAAATATATAATTTATAAATTAAACAATTTTAAAATTTATCTACTTTGAAATCAATAAGTTCTGCTCATCAGAGACCACCTAAAGAATGATACAAGGCAAATTACAATATAGAAAAAAAATTAAAATATAAATATACTAAATTCATAAATATCTCCTATGAGTCAATGAAAATAAAAAAAGGAATTATATGAAAAAGATTTATATATAGTGCCTATTGAAAAGAAAATAAGGAAATTGCGATAATTTAACAAAATGAAATTCTGTATATAACATTAAGAGAAAATGAACTATAGTAACATAAATCAACAGATATTTTCAACCACACAATGTTGTAAAGAGAGCATGTTCAAGGACTTCATACACTATATATAGAGCTCAAAAAATAAGAAAATATGAACAACCTATTTTTTGAGAATGTATGCACATATGAGAGAATTAAAGGTATAAAAAATAAGGCACAGGCTAATCATATCAACCTGATTAGTGGTTACTTCATGAGTTTTGGAGAGTTGGAAGGTGAAATAATTAGGAAAAAGACATGTAGATTAACAATGTCGGTGATATTGAGAGAGGAGGAAGGAAGAAACCAGTCAGGCGGGCAGTTAGGGTGGCTCCTTGGCAAAAGTCCTTCCAGCCAAGGACAGCCTAAAAATCAAGCTGCAGGCCTCAGATAAGAAAGAGCATGTGTCCTTCAATGGAAAGGCCTATTTTGTGAGCTGAGATGAACAAATTCCACTTATCTTTTGGATACATTTCTCTCTCTTTGGTTCATCTTTGTCTTGCTTCTTCCATATTGGTCCTTACCTTTCACCCATTTTATATATGCCTATCTCCTGTGATTGTGGGCCAAATCTTCATTTGCATAAAGTGTAAGGTCACATCAGCCCCTGATTGGTCCAGGGCCAAGGCCCTAGGCCAAACCTTCACTTCAGCCCCTGATTATTCCTGGGCCAAGGTCTCAGGCCAAGCCTTCACCTCTGCCTCAATTGATTCTTTTCACTATCATGTCTGTTTCTGAGTGGTACTTTCTTCAAGACAGCAGGCAGACCAGTCAGCACACACTTCCCCTGTCCCACTCCATAAAAACCCCTGAACTTTGCCCTGCAACTGGCAACCCTCATTTGGGACACCACTTTTTCTTAGAGCATTTCTGTCACTTAATACATTTGACTCTGCCTTACTCACTTTCTGGTGTCCGCCTGCCTTATTCTTCTTGGTCTTGAGACAAGAACCTGGAGTTTGCCAGTGGTGAGTGTAACCAAAAAACAGGAGTGAAAAAGCTGCAACAACATCCCAGTAATTTCAGTTGTTGGTGTTTCCCAGGTTACTTCCAATATGTTCTTTTTCTTATTATACTTAACATTTATATAATTATGTAAAATGATTAAATGAAATATGCTTTGGTTTCATATCATCCTTAGTTAAAATATCAAGGTACAATACATGTAAAGGGCATAATTTATTTTTAATACTAGTAGAAGATTACTCAGAAATTCATATTTCAGATAATCTTTTGATGATGCCAAATGCTGTATCTCATTGCCACTTTTGATATTTCAATTTAGATTGCCATTATTTTTATACCATAATATGGCTGAGAAGAACACTTTAAGGAGTAGCAATACCAGCTGTATCAATTATTTTTGCTTCTTCATATCAGTATCATCATTACATTGAGGCCTCAGTTTCTAAACAGGAATCATTGAAAACTACTCACCTACTATTTAAGGCCAAATTTCAGTATTGTAGATAATGGAACCTATAGTCAATTGAAGCAGTCTTAGGGAGAGAAAAGAAGCATGATAAATTTCCACTGCAATTGTCTATCTTGTAGATCTCTCACTTTACTTTTATTTCATTTCAAGTGTTAGTGTGGCCATGGATTCACTTGCTACTATCAGTTAATGCATTACTCATTTATAAAATTATTGCCTTTCTTATTCCTTAGATAAAAAGATGACTATAAATAAGATCTTTAACAATTTGTTTTCAATCCTCAACAAATCATCTTGAGCACTCTGCTCTGGAGACCACTGATATAGCAGGTTGAACTTTTTCATTTATCAGAATATCTTTACAATTTTATTTTTATTCAGCCTTCGTCTCTGCCTTCTTTTCATGTTTCAGAACTGAGGATAAATATCAACTCAGTAGATGAACTTGTGTGACTACACTAAGTCAGGGCCTTCCAGTTTTGCTATGATTTTCATAACACCTTGTTTATTTGTCATTACATTTCAAAATCCCAAATTATTCATGTGTTTTTTTATTTTTGCCCATAATATGTCTTTCTAATTGGATTACATAATATGTGAAGACTAGAACCATGTTTAGTTTATCAACTTTTGTGTCCACAGGACCTAGGTCAATGCTTGGCACATGGAAAACATTTATTACCTATTTATTGGAAATAAATAAATGAACAAAAACATTATTCTCACTGGGAGGCCACTCAAATTTCTTAAATTAGCTAAACACTCAGTGACATAATGCCTGGATTTTTAAAATGAAATTTGACTTTCTGTAATCCTTATGGTCTAAGTAAAATTTGTAATATAGATGAGAAATAACCTGATTTTCTTTAATTACAGCTAGTCTATAAAATTGTTTATGGGGCAATTTTACATGTAATACCCTATAGTTATCTTTTAAAAAAGCATACCACACTTTATATTTTTCAAGTAACCTTCTTTTTTTTTCCTATGAGAATGCTTTATTAGGCAAAACCACATACCATGAAAATGCTTTAAAATGCAACAAGTTGTGAGGTAAAGACATGAACAACAAGTGCACAGTGATACATGGCTATCCCAGAACACACTGTGAGTAAATAGAGAATCCCCATACTCCTTCTACTATTACCCAGTAACAGAAGGATCTAGGCCACCTCCTCCTCAGCACACTCCTCAAACTCTACCTCCTCCTCAGCTGTGGCATGCTGGTAGTACTGTTGGTACTTGGACACAAGATTGTTCATGCTGCTCTTGGCCTCAGTGAACTCCATCTCATCCATGCCCTCACTCATATAGCAGTGCAGGAAGACCTTGCACCTGAACATGGCTGTGAACTGCTCCGAGATGTGGCCTGAACAGCTCCTGGCTGGCCGTGTTGTTGCTGATAAAGGTGTCAGACATTTTTAGCCCCTGGGGTGGGATGTCACAGACAGCTGTTTTCACATGGTTGGGGAGCCAATAAGCAAAGTAGCAGCTGTTTTTGTTTTGAACATCGAGCATTTGCTCATCCACTTCCCATGTGGACATGTGGCCTCTGAAAATGGCAGGAACTGTTAGGTAGCAGCCATAATGAGGTGAGGTGTCACAAGCAGCTGTGATATTCTTGGTGTCAAACATCTGCTGAGTGAGTTCAGCCACGGTCAGGGCCTGGTACTGCTGACTGCCCTGGCTGGTCAGTGGGGCAAAGCCAGGCATGAAGAAGTGCAGGTAGGGGAATGGGATGATGTTCATGGTCAGCTTCCACAGGTCAGCATTCAGCTGGCCTGGGAATCACAGGCAGGTGGCGAACCCATTTATGGTGGCAGATACTAGGAGGTTTAGGTCACTCTAGGTGGGCATGGGCAGCTTTAGGGTTCTGAAGCAGATGTCATAGAAGGCTTCATAATCAATGCAAAAAGTCTCATCTGCATTTGCTATGAGACTTGGAGGGTGACATTGTGGGGCTCTAGCATGGTGCCTGACACCTTGGGCAAGAGCAGAATGCTGAATGTGTTTATGATCCTATTTAAATGGTCTGAATAACTGTGATGAATTTACTTGTATAATCAGAATTCAGATTAAAAATTAAGACAACTCTTTTGTTTCCAACAGAAAGAAAAGTAAAATAAATGAAAAAAAGGAAAAAGGCATTTTTTAACCACCTTTGAAATGTTCCTTGCTCTAGGTTGAAAGTCTTGTTTTTAGATTGCATAATGACTGATATTTCTTAAATTTCTTTTCCTTTCATTAATATTGCTGTTGTATATGGGTAAACATTGTCTTGCTTTCATCTTAAAGAACAGATATAGATTACCAAGTATCTGCATTCTATAAACACAGATTTGTATACATAGTGAGTATACATGGAAATGTAATTGCTCAGAGAACTTGTTAATTATAATTTACTTTTTATGCAGAATTAAGATAAATTTATTGTATCTGTGTTCACATCAAATGCCTTGCTACCTTTCATAACACTGGCATTATTGATTTCAAAACCAAACAATTATTTCTTGGGGTGGAGCATCTTCTGTTTATTGTAATATGTTTCATAGTATCACTGGGTCCAATCTGTCAGATGCCAGTAGCAATCTTAGCCCAAAGTGTGACAAGCCAAATTTTCCCAGATATTGCCAAATGTGCACTGTAGGGCACAATTGTCCCTAGTTGACAATTGGGGGCTGATTTATATTTATATTTATATTTATATTTATATTTATGTTTATATTTATATTTATATCTATCTCTGTGTATTCATTTATGTCTGTCTATATATCCATCCATTGAGTAAAATTATAAATGTAGAAGCAGGTTGCTTTCATTTATTTCTATTTTTAGTTTCTCTCTATTTCTTTACTATATTCTAATTAATTGTTGGTGAGTGTAGGTCACCAAAATATAAAGTTAAATTCCTCATTTCACAAATTTGCTCAGGTTTACTCACCTAGGTATATGCTAAGATAAGTTTTGAGTACTAACTCTGCATAAGCCACCATTATAAGTTATAGAGATACTTTAAATATTACTGAGAAGTAGTTGTTCCAATCCAGGAGTTTTTAACATGGTGTAATTGTTGCTATCACTTGTCTTTCCAGCACCAGTCAAGGTGTATGTAGTCTAACAGAAAGATGAAAAGTTTAGACATATTTCCACCAATACATTTTTAACTTAGAATAAATGCCAGTATGTAGGGAAACTAATTGAGAAAATATAAAAATATAGCTTTACTTTTTCTGAATATTCATAATAAAGAATTTAAAAGTTAGACTCCTTGAAAATTATCCATGTGGTAATTGTGTTTGCATGGCCTCTGAAATGTGGATAGGCTATTCTGCATACTGTAAGATCCACATGAGCAGGGACCACATCTGCAATATAGTCTTAGCATTTTAACTTTGAGATCTGAACAAGGCCTCAAACATAGAATATTCTCAAATTTTCTTGAATGATTGAATGAATAAATGAGTAAATTAATAAAACAATATTCAACTTAAAAGAAACTGAACTTGAAAAGAAAGGAATGCTTCTACAGATCTTAGAAAATATAGTTAATTAAAGATATAATTTCCTGTGAAAATTATTGAAATACAAACAATTTCAAATCCCCCCCAAATTTTTTTATCTGAGCAAAGATTTTATAAAAACAGAATTAATGGAAAACAATTGACAGTTTTTACATAAGTTTTATACAGCTATTTCACTTACACAGGAAAGCCTTATAAATGACTTTTTTAGTATACTATTATATAATGATTTTCACAAATGAAATAGTTACATAATTTCAGAATCCTTATGGATTTTATAGTTTTATTATAATTGACTAATAACATTTCCCTTTTATTGTTTTACCCTTTCTTAAAATATAGTATTTTTATTTGCCAATTTTCATGAGGCTAAAAATATAAAGTTCAGCTACTGTTTAATTCACAGTCATTAACTCTATCATCCCCCAAGCCAAATTTTATACTAAGGACTTAAAAATTTGTTGTTGAATTAATAAATTCCATTCAAACAGAACTAAACTATTCTGCATTGAATTATTTCTTATGTTTCCTGGTTCCTGAAAAATTTACATTAAGTAGATTTTTACTTCTTCTTACCCAATTTCCATCCATTCTTCTCAGCTTCTATTTCAGCATACTCAGTTTATTAACTTCAGCTTGAAATTAATCTGTTAGATTGTTTAATTTGGATAAAATATTTGCTTTTTTTTCTTGTACTTGAGCATATACAAGGTTCTTAGCACTTCCACTGGGAAACATCAAGCTAAGTTCTTATGATTTAAACATTGCAGTATCTGTGCAATATACTGGTCACTTTAGAAGTTGTTTTAAAACTGACTTCTCATTGCAATCATTATATTTCAGTATCTCTGCATTATATTGTTCACTTTAGAAGTCCATTTATGACTTTTCCATTGTGAAAAATAAACTGTATATTCAAGTAGTCAAATAGCTAAAAACATAAAACAGCTATAACTGAAGAGTAGTGGAGACAAATAGTCCTTTACATTTTTTTGTGTGTAAAAGTATTCATTCAATTAATTAGAAAAAAAAATGAACGTTTGCAACATATTAGGATATAGATAAATTTATTTTATTCCAAATTACCAAGTCTAAAAATATTGTCATTGTTGCAATTTACCACTAATGAAATAATATATTTTAATTTTTTTTTCTATTTTCCCCCTTCCTCCCGTCTTTTCTCTTTTTCTCTGAGTGTATTACCTCATGGGGTCACATCCTATAGAGATTTGCCACAAGAAAACACCCTGTGTAAAGGGCTGCTTCCTCTTGTTGCCTGCAGTTCCAACACACGTTGAATCTGTCTGCAGTGTTAAAGCACTTTGTTAAAAAACTTTTAGGACTTTCTTGTGGGCTTCAATAATTTCTTATTAAAAAAGACTTACTATGTGGACCTGAAGAAATCAGAAAATGAAGCAAATGCATTTAAACTACTTAGCAAGAGTCATACTCCTCCCAGCCCTATCCCAATGGCATAAATCAATAGAAGTTTATTTCTCACTCTCAAAGTGTCTGATGCAATTCTTGTGCCCTTCCTTGATTTTAACTGGATAGTCTGGACCATTTGTGTCTTAAAGGCAGTGTTCCAGCAGAAAAGAGGTAGGGATGAGACATGCACACATTACTTCAACTTAGAGGTGACTGGCCAAAATTAAGCCCATGGTTCCAAGACTTCTACAAAGAAGGCCGAAATACACAGCAATAGCATATCAAATATTTGGCTTAGACCGTCAATTCCATATAGGGTTTAAACAAGTTATGAATAAAATTTATGTATTAGCAAATTTTAAATTGGTTTTAAACTGACAGTAAAATAGCATTGTTTTAAAGAAAATATTGATCTCATTTGTGTATGTGTTTATGTATGTAATACAAGGATGATACTATCATGATGTTTCTCAAAGTTCTTTGGGATCCAGGCTTCTTTCAGCTTACTGCACAATTATCCTTATTATGTGACCAAAATCACCAACATGGTAGAGAAAGGAACAAAGTAATAGAGAGAAGGGTATGAATGCCAACTAGATTTTAAGAAAGTCTGTTCAAACTGATACATGACATTTCATTTTCATCCCATTGTTCATTGTCTTGTCACATGACCAAATCAAGAAGCAAAAGTGTTTTGCAAACAGATTGTTGGCTAAAATTTCTATAATTATGTAGAGGTAGAAACAGACACTTAGGAAAAAAGCAATCTCCATCACCATTAATCATAAATTAGTAGAAAATGCAGGATCAAATTATAAGAGGCAGGAAAATCAAGACATTAAGTTTTAATTTCTGAAAAGTGTGAAGATTATTATATTAATTAACAAAAAATTTTCATATACTATGCAAACAACTAAAGATGTTTATTCCTTATATTTTCTTCTGTGGATGGACCAATGTTTTTCTTTGACTAAGCTGATAAGTGGTATACAAACTTAGAATTTACTAATTATTTTGTCTTAATCTTGAAATTATCAATTTCATCTATGTCTGTATTTCACTTTACTTCTGCATTTTATTTTCTGTACTTACTCTTTAAAATAGGGAAATACTTACATAATGGCAATCTTTCCTTTCATATATTTGTATAAATCTGTTTTTTGAAAGTAGTACTTTTAAAATAACATTACTATACAAACCATTTGAATATCAAGTCTTTTTTTAAAATAATGAATGAAAATATTTTTAGTTGTTTTCAAAAGGTTACATTTCTGTAAGAGAATAAAGAACATTGATTAGCGTTCCTTTGCTTTACAGATATATGACAGATTAATTACAGAAAATTCATGTAAAAACCTGCTATTTCTGTTATTATAGTTGAAATTATGACACCAATCCTATTTTATTGCTTTATTTTCAAAGGACAATAAGTCTAGAAAGTCACAAAATTTGTCAAAGTTGTAAAGTGATATATGAATATAGAAATTCTCTTGGCATTATCTAGCACTTATCTGAGCCAAAAAAAGATTTAAGCACAAAAACAATAGGGAAAACATAAATGATGATGATGGTAGTAAATACATGGAGCAGTTAATTTCCATTAGGCACTGTGCTAAGCATGTAAAATGTATCAATTATTTTAATACATTGCATATATGGTGGGAAAATTTAGACTTCTGTTTTATGTTTGTTATATTAAAGCACATATAAGTAATTTTTTTCAAATTCCACAACTAATAATTAAGAAAAAAATGAATAAGTTTGAAGACTAGCCTAGAAAATATGGTGAGACCCCATCTCTATGAAAAATTTAGAAATTAGCCAGCTACTAAGGAGCTACTACTTAGTAGCCAGCTACTAAGGAATAAGCCAGCCCAGGAGTTGGAGCCAGCAGTGAGCAATGATTTTACCACTGCACTCCAGTCTAGGCAACAAAGTCAGACCCCCATCTCTAATGTATATGTCTGAATAAGTTTCAGAACACAATGGTATTATCTAAGAGACAATAAAAGACCAGAATATGAAATGCATGTAAGTTGGGAAAATGGTTCAAAATATGTACAGCAAAACAAATGTTTGAGTATTTGTGCTTGTATGCACATATGGTACAACTTTTAATTATTGTTATTATTATTTTTTCTGAGACAGAGTCTTGCTCTGTCACCCAGAGCTAGAGTGCAATGGTGCAATCTTGGCTCCCTGCAACCTCCACCTCCCGGGTTAAAGCAATTCTCCTACTTTAGCCTCCCAAGTACCTGGGATTACAGGTGTGTGCCACCACACCTGGCTAGTTTTTTTTATTTTTAGTAGAGACGGGGTTTCACCATGTTGGCCAGGCTGGTCTAGAGAAACTTTTATTGTTAATATACAAAAATATCATTAATAATATAAAAAAATAATTACTTGGGAAAAAAAAGAATTGTATGACAAAAAGAGTGTGATATAAAACAGTTCTAACAAAAAGCTGAAGTTTTCCAAATATGTGAAAAGTTTCTCAGAGAAATAAAAAGAGTAAAAAATAAGTGAAATTTTAAAATGTTATTGTTAATAAAATAAAAAATAAAAATAAGATCTTAAAATGTTAAGAAAATAAAATAAAAATAAACAATAGTAATAGGTATGATCAGAGACTGGCAACTTCACATAGGGCTAGAAGTAAACTGGCTGACAAATCCAGTGACTACATATACCTTTGATTATTAATTTTGTATTCTAGGAATCTAATGTATATAATCACTAAACAGAGACAAAAAGATAAATAATTTTTAATTAGCATGTTAGTTATAATAATTATATATAATCTTTTACATATTCAAAAACAAGGTAATAAAATTAAGCTTTATTTATACAATTGATTCATAGTATTTCACTTTACCTTTAATAATATGTAAAAGTGTTCTAAGCCATAAGTGTTCTAAACCACATATTAATATGAAAAGATAATCTTTCAGTTAAGATGTCAAAGTAAGCCATGTGTTTCACACACCACTGGCTAATTCATAAATAACTAAATAATAGCTGGACACAGAGATAGTTATAAATATAGGTAGATAGATATCTAAAGGTTTTTTTCTTTAAATATGAATCTAGTTCATTGACATTGAATATAGGCTATGGTTTATCCTCCTACCAAATGCATCTCAAAAAAATACATAATATAAATATATGTCCAGAAGAAAAGAAGGCTGTATATGCAAGTAAAAAACATAACTTCCAAGAAAAAGAGAGTCCCTAGAAAATAATTTAAGAAGACCCACACTATTAGTATTTGTCCCTTGCATTCAATGACTGAAACATTGTTAATATTACTTATTACAAATTTTTAAAAAGTTATATATATGTCCATAAATATTTCCATTGTATGTCTCTATATCCTGCAATTGAATGTATAAAATATATACACATTTTATATATAGGTATGTGGGAATTTATACGTACATGTACATACATATGCTCTAGTTTGACTTGCTTTTTATCCCCATAGTGCAGCCCTCATCAAGTGTGCTTGATACTCTTTTCAAGTAATTCTTTTTCTTAACTTAAATATATCACGGCTCCTCATATGTTTCAGTATGTCTTTTGTCTTTATTCATGAAAACCTGTGAGTTGTAGCCAGCTTCACTAACAAACATATCTGGTTCTCCTTTTCTTCCTATGCAAAAGGCAAACTTCTTAGCCCTATTACAATTAGATAGAGCTAATTCATTTTTCTCCGGACAAGGAAATGTATTTGAAGTGTTGCATGTCTTTTGGAGGGTAAAACTATAAAACCCCCAGTGAATAGTCCAGTTCCTTTCTTCTTCTTCTTTTTTTTTTATTAGTTTTCTTTTTTATTTATTTATTTATTATTATTATACTTTAAGTTTTAGGGTACATGTGCACAATGTGCAGGTTAGTTGCATATGTATACATGTGCCATGCTGGTGCGCTGCACCCACTAACTCATCATCTAGCATTAGGTATATCTCCCAGTGCTATCCCTCCCCCTTCCCCCCAACCCACAACAGTCCCCAGAGTGTGATGTTCCCCTTCCTGTGTCCATGTGTTCTCATTGTTCAATTCCCACCTATAAGTGAGAATATGTGGTGTTTGGTTTTTTGTTCTTGCGATAGTTTACTGAGAATGATGATTTCCAATTTCATCCATGTCCCTACAAAGGATGTGAACTCATCATTTTTATGGCTGCATAGTATTCCATGGTGTATATGTGCCACATTTTCTTAATCCAGTCTATCATTGTTGGACATTTGGGTTGGTTCCAAGTCTTTGCTATTGTGAATAATGCCGCAATAAACATACGTGTGCATGTGTCTTTATAGCAGCATGCTTTATAGTCCTTTGGGTATATACCCAGTAATGGGATGGCTGGGTCAAACGGTATTTCTAGTTCTAGATCCCTGAGGAATCGCCACACTGACTTGCACAATGGTTGAACTAGTTTACAGTCCCACCAACAGTGTAAAAGTGTTCCTATTTCTCCACCTCTCCAGCACCTGTTGTTTCCTGACTTTTTAATGATTGCCATTCTAACTGGTGTGAGATGGTATCTCATTGTGGTTTTGATTTGCATTTCTCTGATGGCCAGTGATGGTGAGCATTTTTTCATGTGTTTTTTGGCTGCATAAATGTCTTCTTTTGAGAAGTGTCTGTTCATGTCCTTCGCCCACTTGTTGATGGGGTTGTTTGTTTTTTCTTGTAAATTTGTTGGAGTTCATTGTAGATTCTGGATATTAGCCCTTTGTCAGATGAGTAGATTGCACAAATTTTCTCCCATTTTGTAGGTTGCCTGTTCATCTGATGGTAGTTTCTTTTGCTGTGCAGAAGCTCTTTAGTTTAATTAGATCCCATTTGTCAATTTTGGCTTTTGTTGCCATTGCTTTTGGTGTTTTAGACATGAAGTCCTTGCCCATGCCTATGTCCTGAATGGTAATGCCTAGGTTTTCTTCTAGGGTTTTTATGGTTTTAGGTCTAACGTTTAAGTCTTTAATCCATCTTGAATTGATTTTTGTATAAGGTGTAAGGAAGGGATCCAGTTTCAGCTTTCTACATATGGCTAGCCAGTTTTCCCAGCACCATTTATTAAATAGGGAATCCTTTCCCCATTGCTTGTTTTTCTCAGGTTTGTCAAAGATCAGATAGTTGTAGATATGTGGCGTTATTTCTGAGGGCTCTGTTCTATTCCATTGATCTATATCTCTGTTTTGGTACCAGTACCATGCTGTTTTGGTTACTGTAGCCTTGTAGTATAGTTTGAAGTCAGGTAGTGTGATGCCTCCAGCTTTGTTCTTTTGGCTTAGGATTGACTTGGCGATGGGGGCTCTTTTTTGGTTCCAAATGAACTATAAAATAGTTTTTTTTCCAATTTTGTGAAGAAAGTCATTGGTAGCTTGATGGGGATGGCATTGAATCTATAAATTACCTTGGGCAGTATGGCCATTTTCACGATATTGATTCTTCCTACCCATGAACATGGAATGTTCTTCCATTTGTTTGTATCCTCTTTTATTTCATGGAGCAGTGGTTTGTAGTTCTCCTTGAAGAGGTCCTTCATGTCCCTTGTAAGTTGGATTCCTAGGTATTTCACTCTCTTTGAAGCAATTGTGAATGGGAGTTCACTCATGATTTGGCTCTCTGTCTGTTGTTGGTGTATAAGAATGCTTGTGAGTTTTGTACATTGATTTTGTATCCTGAGACTTTGCTGAAGTTGCTTATCAGCTTCAGGAGATTTTGGGCTGAGACAATGGGGTTTTCTAGATATACAATCATGTTGTCTGCAAACAGGGACAATTTGACTTCCTCTTTTCCTAATTGAATACCCTTTATTTCCTTCTCCTGCCTGATTGCCCTGGCCAGAACTTCCAACACTATGTTGACTAGGAGTGGTGAGAGAGGGCATCCCTGTCTTGTACCAGTTTTCAAAGGGAATGCTTCCAGTTTTTGCCCATTCAGTATGATACTGGCTGTGGGTCTGTCATAGATAGCTCTTATTATTTTGAGATACGTCCCATCAATACCTAATTTATTGAGAGTTTTTAGCTTGAAGCGTTGTTGAATTTTGTCAAAGGATTTTTCTGCATCTATTGAGATAATCATGTGGTTTTTGTCTTTAGTTCTGTTTATATGCTGGATTCCATTTATTGATTTGCATATATTGAACCAGCCTTGCATCCCAGGGATGAAGCCCACTTGATCATGGTGGATAAGCTTTTTGATGTGCTGCTGGATTCGGTTTGCCAGTATTTTATTGAGGATTTTTGCATCAATGTTCATCAAGGATATTGGTCTAAAATTCTCTTTTTTGGTTGTGTCTCTGCCCGGCTTTGGTATCAGGATGACGCTTGCCTCATAAAATGAGTTAGGTAGGATTCCCTCTTTTTCTATTGATTGGAATAGTTTCAGAAGGAATGGTACCAGTTCCTCCTTGTACCTCTGGTAGAATTCGGCTGTGAATCCATCTGGTCCTGGACTCTTTTTGGTTGGTAAGCTATTGATTATTGCCACAATTTCAGCTCCTGTTATTGGTCTATTCA
This sequence comes from Homo sapiens, assembly GCF_000001405.40. Classification (NCBI taxonomy): domain Eukaryota; kingdom Metazoa; phylum Chordata; class Mammalia; order Primates; family Hominidae; genus Homo; species Homo sapiens. The sequence continues at coordinate 43,265,386 of NC_000014.9, read as the reverse complement.
GAGATTCAACTTCTTCCTGGTTTAGTCTTGGGAGGGTGTATGTGTTGAATTTATCCATTTCTTCTAGATTTTCTAGTTTATTTGCGTAGACATGTTTGTAGTATTCTCTAATGGTAGTTTGTATTTCTGTGGGATCGATGGTGATATCCCCTTTATCATTTTTTATTGAGTCTATTTGATTCTTCTCTCTTTTTTTCTTTATTAGTCTTGCTAGTGGTCTATCAATTTTGTTGATCCTTTCAAAAAACCAGCTCCTGGATTCGTTAATTTTTTGAAGGGTGTTTTGTGTCTCTATTTCCTTCAGTTCTGCTCTGATTTTAGTAATTTCTTGCCTTCTGCTAGCTTTTGAATATGTTTGCTCTTGCTTTTCTAGTTCTTTTAATTGTGATGTTAGGGTGTCAATTTTGGATCTTTCCTGCTTTCTCTTGTGGGCATTTAGTGCTATAAATTTCCCTCTACACACTGCTTTGAATGTGTCCCAGAGATTCTGGTATGTTGTGTCTTTGTTCTCATTGGTTTCAAAGAACATCTTTATTTCTGCCTTCATTTCGTTATGTACCTAGTAGTCATTCAGGAGCAGGTTGTTCAGTTTCCATGTAGTTGAGTGGTTTTGAGTGAGATTCTTAATCCTGAGTTCTAGTTTGATTGCACTGTGGTCTGAGAGATAGTTATAATTTCTGTTCTTTTACATTTGCTGAGGAGAGCTTTACTTCCAACTATGTGTTCCGTTTTGGAATAGGTGTGTTGTAGTGCTGAAAAAAATGTATATTCTGTTGATTTGGGGTAGAGAGTTCTGTAGATGTCTATTAGGTCTGCTTGGTGCAGAGCTGAGTTCAATTCCTGGGTATCCTTGTTGACTTTCTGTCTCATTGATCTGTCTAATGTTGACAGTGGGGTGTTAAAGTCTCCCATTATTAATATGTGGGAGTCTAAGTCTCTTTGTAGGTCACTCAGGACTTGCTTTATGAATCTGGGTGCTCCTGTATTGGATGCATGTATATTTAGGATAGTTAGCTCTTCTTGTTGAACTGATCCCTTTACCATTAAGTAATGGCCTTCTTTGTCTCTTTTGATCTTTGTTGGTTTAAAGTCTGTTTTATCAGAGACTAGGATTGCAACCCCTGCCATTTTTTGTTTCCCATTTGCTTGGTAGATCTTCCTCTATCCTTTTATTTTGAGCCTATGTTTGTCTCTGCCTGTGAGATGGGTTTCCTGAATACAGCACAGTGATGGGTCTTGACTCTTTATCCAATTTGCCAGTCTGTGTCTTTTAATTAGAGCATTTAGTCCATTTACATTTAAAGTTAATATTGTTATGTGTGAATTTGATCCTGTCATTATGATGTTAGCTGGTGATTTTGCTCGTTAATTGATGCAGTTTCTTCCTAGTCTCAATGGTCTTTACATTTTGGCATGATTTTGCAGTGGCTGGTACCGGTTGTTCCTTTCCATGTTTAGCGCTTCCTTCAGGAGCTCTTTTAGGGCAGGCCTGGTGGTGACAAAATCTCTCAGCATTTGCTTGTCTGTAAAGGATTTTATTTCTCCTTCACTTATGAAGCTTAGTTTGGCTGGATATGAAATTCTGGGTTGAAAATTCTTTTCTTTAAGAATGTTGAATATTGGCCCCCACTCTCTTCTGGCTTGTAGAGTTTCTGCCAAGAGATCTGCTGTTAGTCTGATGGGCTTCCCTTTAAGGGTAACCCGACCTTTCTCTCTGGCTGCCCTTAACATTTTTTCCTTCATTTCAACTTTGGTGAATCTGACAATTATGTGTCTTGGTGTTGCTCTTCTCAAGGAGTATCTTTGTGGCGTTCTCTGTATTTCCTGAATCTGAACATTGGCCTGCCTTGCTAGATTGGGGAAGTTCTCCTGGATAATATCCTGCAGAGTGTTTTCCAACTTGGTTCCATTCTCCCTGTCACTTTCAGGTACACCAATCAGACGTAGATTTGGTCTTTTCACATAGTCCCATATTTCTTGGAGGCTTTGCTCATTTCTTTTTATTCTTTTTTCTCTAAACTTCCCGTCTTGCTTCATTTCATTCATTTCGTCTTCCATCACTGATACCCTTTCTATCAGTTGATCACATCGGCTCCTGAGGCTTCTGCATTCTTCATGTAGTTCTCGAGCCTTGGTTTTCAGCTCCAACAGCTCCTTTAAGCACTTCTCTGTATTGGTTATTCTAGTTATACATTCTTCTAAATTTTTTCCAAAGTTTTCAACTTGTTTGCCTTTGTTTTGAATGTCCTCCCATAGCTCGGAGTAATTTGATCGTCTGAAGCCTTCTTCTCTCAGCTCGTCAAAGTCATTCTCCATCCAGCTTTGTTCCGTTGCTGGTGAGGAGCTGCATTCATTTGGAGGAGGAGAGGCGCTCTGCTTTTTAGAGTTTCCAGTTTTTCTTCTCTGTTTTTTCCCCATCTTTGTGGTTTTATCTACTTTTGGTCTTTGATGATGGTGATGTACAGATGGATTTTTGGTGTGGATGTCCTTTCTGTTTGTTAGTTTTCCTTCTAACAGACAGGACCCTCAGCTGCAGGTCTGTTGGAGTATCCGACCGTGTGAGGTGTCAGTGTGCCCCTCCTGGGGGGTGCCTCCCAGTGAGGCTGCTGGGGGGTCAGGGGTCAGGGACCCACTTGAGGAGGCAGTCTGCCCATTCTCAGATCTCCAGCTGTGTGCTGGGAGAACCACTGCTCTCTTCAAACTGTCAGACAGGGACATTTAAGTCTGCAGAGGTTACTGCTGTCTTTTTGTTTGTCTGTGCCCTGCCCCCAGAGGTGGAGCCTACAGAGGCAGGCAGGCCTCCTTGAGCTGTGGTGGGCTCCACCCAGTTCGAGGTTCTCGGCTGCTTTGTTTACCTAAGCAAGCCTGGGCAATGGCGGGCGCCCCTCCCCCAGCCTCGCTGCCACCTTGCAGTTTGATCTCAGAATGCTGTGCTAGCAGTCAGCAAGACTCCGTGGGCGTAGGACCCTCTGAGCCAGGTGCGGGTTATAATCTCCTGGTGCGCCATTTTTTAAGCCCGTCAGAAAAGCGCAGTATTTGGGTGGGAGTGACCTGATTCTCCAGGTGCCGTCTGTCACCACTTTCTTTGACTAGGAAAGGGAACTCCCTGACCCTTTGCGCTTCCCCAGTGAGGCAATGCCTCGCCCTGCTTCGGCTTGTGCATGGTGTGCGCACCCACTGACCTGCGCCCACTGTCTGGCACTTCCTAGTGAGATGAACCCGGTATCTCAGATGGAAATGCAGAAATCACCCATCTTCTGCATCACTCATGATGGGAGCTGTAGACCGGAGCTGTTCCTATTCGGCCATCTTGGCTCCTCCCCCGACTTCTCCCTCTTCTTCTTCTTTCATAAATATGGAGACCATATGTGATGGCTAAACTATTATCAACATAACATGCACAGTATGTAATGCTTTGGTCTTGATTATCCTCTTTGCCAACTGTCCTAGAATTGCTGTCATGTTTAATTATTTTTAAACACTCACATTAATGGAAAGTCAAGCTCTGTCAAAATGATCTTACCAATGTTCCTTACATTTCCCCTCCTTTTCTCTTCCAGAGATACTGATCAGATTATTGAAATTATTACTTGCTTTCCAATAGACTCCTCACTATTCAATTCTTTCAATATATGGCTGTGAAAATAAAATTTCCAGACATTGATGTTGAGGTGTTTGTCTCATACTAAAGAAAATTTTTTATGGCTTCCTATTGATTATAATATACAACTCAAATTCCCAAGTGTTCATGATCTTCTCAATGTGGCCCCAGTCTACATTTCTAATCTTATAATAACTCACTCCCCAAAAGCCCGGCTACTATAATCTTTACTGCACAAGAGACTGCTTTATATTCTATGGAATTGCTGTGCGCTAATACAGTTTCAAACCTTTCTATTTCCTTACGCAGTATGCTCCTGCTTCTTTGATTTATCAGTTATAACTCTCACATTCACTCAGATGTCACTCTTTCTGTTAACTTTCCAAGGCTCCAACTCCCACTCCAAAAACTAGTTTAAAAAATTTTCCAGCAGTCCACATATTTAAGAGATGTACATGGTGAAAAGGATAATAAAGCACAGAATTCCATTTTTAGTTTATTTTGAAAGATAAAATGAAGTTCTAAATTATTTTTAATAATTTGATACAATAATTATTGGAACAAACATAATTTCATGTAGAAATTCAATGTGTAAAAAGATAGAGTGAAGAAGTTGTAACAAAATTAAAGCTATGCCTTGGCCCTTAGTAGGATAAAATAGTATGACTTGTGTTTATAGCATAGAGGATGTTTTATCATAATCTCCAACGTTTTATCACAAAAATAAGTGAAGCATTGAAAGATTTAAACTACAGTTATTCATTCTCTTTCAGGAACATATTGTCAGACAATACTCCATATAATAGAAACAACTGTGAATGAGAGTAATAAATCTTCATCCTTGTAATGAATTCTCACTATATTAAAAGCTGATAGATTAAAATAATATAAATATTTCACTTGTCTTTAAAAATCATTGCAGATCCTGTGATCAAGATATGGGATGTGATATACAATATAAAATAATACTGCTATGCAGATAAACAAAATTTGGTGTAATTCCCAGTTTGGCAGCTTTTTCATTTGGTCTCTCTGGTCTTATTTTTGTTTAAATCTGACTATCATGAAGTAACTGCTAACTATACCTATCTGTTGTTTTTGTTTTATAAAGCACCACATTTAATTTCTATAACACAGCAGTGAGTCTAAGTAGCTACTTCAAGTATCTGTGCTTTTACAATTTTTTTTTACTTCAGCAGGCTTCTTTGGTGCTGTTCCATCTCAGAAGTCCTTGCAATCTTTATAATGTTTTCAAAGAAGAAACAAACAAACTCAAAAAACTTTGAATACACTTTAAGAAAAATGCTTATTCTTAAAAGAATGCAGACTTTTGAATTTGGTTGGTCTTTAAAAATAAGATAAGTTCTTTTTCATATAATAACCTGACTACAAAACTGAATGTAGTTTTATATTGTTGTAAGAAAAAAAATAACTTAAAATGCCTTGTCACTTCTTCTAAGATAATGAAAGGAAAGTTCATAGAAAAGTTTTCTAAAATAAAAGAACACATTAACAGCTTGTATTTCTCACAGGCACACTCAACGGCGCTCTCTCAAGTATTCCTCTGTCATAATGTTTGTATACTGGTGAAAATAGTTGTTTTTAGAGGATCTTGTTTTGTCCCCATTGAGCAAGTTTGCCGCAGTGAAATAGGTGCAGATAATTGTAATGTAGCATAAGAATCACTGTCGCATTTGTGGATTTAAGATAATTGCATAATTAATGCAGAGTTTTAGCTTATTAAAATTTAAAAGATAGTGGGGAAAGTGAACAGAAATACTAACATTTAAAAAGTTGCTCCCTCTATTTATATTTTTCTACCTTAAGTTATATAAAGACAAGTCCTTGATTTACAATTAATTTCAAAAACAAACACCAGTACATCAAAATGTATGTTAACAAGAAAATACGCATGCTATTAAATGACATTAGTACATAGAAAATGAGACACCAGAGAAGATATTATAACCTATTTGAATACTACACACTGATATTTAATACCTCTGTAAGTAATAAAGCTTATAAATAAGTCATGCATAATTTATTTTCAACAAAGACATTTCTATGTAATTTCATTCCACTATTGCAAGCTATAAATGTTCATTTCTACTAAGAAGGTAATGGCATTTATTATTTCCATAAGTGAAAGAGTATGCTTGATGTCATCTAGGAAATAGATAAGTAAAGGTAGTGCTTTCATGGTATGCTGGGCCTGCATGTTCCCTTTTGAAATAACACCCTACTTTCTTAAGTTTCAAAGTACTTGACATGATACTCAAAATTTGCAATGTGGAACACCATTTTATTTTTTATTCTCATAACCTATAATCACTGTATATTGTTCTTGATTCAAAAACAGTGTTGCAATTACGTTATTCAGCTAAGCTGAAATACACTGAACATCTACTATGCTTGCCAGTCATGTGGTTCAAAGTAAACAAGATATTGTTACCCATTAGAGAGATGTAATTTAACAGGGAGACAGACATCTAACTAAATTATAACTATAAAATTATATGTGTTATAGTAAAAATATATTAAAAATTACAGTATAAATGTGGGGGAAAAAACCCGTAAACTTTCTGTGGTAGTTTATATCAGACTTTACAAAAGAAATGGATTTTGAGTTGAGACGTGAAGTGAAAATTCATGAAGAGCATGAACAGCTGCTTTATCAAGTTGGAATCCCTATGAAGGAGAGATGCTTATACAGTGGCTTGACGTTATCAAATAAATTTCCTTATTTCTCAAACTGCTATAATGTTAATTGCATTAAGTGGCATATTTTTAAAGATTAGGCTGAAAGGGCAGGGAGCAAACTGCAAAGCCAAATCTCCTAGACCCCTTCTCTTCCATAAATTAAAAAAAAAAATTAGTCTGGGTAGGTAAACTAAAACAAATATACCTATTAATCATTCAATTTAACTTTATGGTTTGTGAACACTGTTTTCTTTGACTTCTACTACTCCTATCCTGGCCAAGCTGTCTCCGAAACATATAAAGGTTGTTTCTATCTCAATAATTTGCATTTGTGCTCTCTGTACCTGTTCTGTTCTTACATCTGAGAGTCATGTGTCTGGCTCTTAATCACCATTAAGCTTTCTCTTGCCCAATATCTTCTGTAGTTTTCCACAGACAAGCATACACTATTGTATTCATGGTTTGTATTTTCTTAAGAGTCTCTTACCAGTGAATCCATTTTATTCATTTGTTTGTGAAAATGTGTATTGTCTACATCTTTGCCCTAAGCAAAGGGAGAAGCATATGCTTAGTGTCAGTAGGTGATTAGTTTACATCATTGTCATGTATATTAGACAGTCAAACGTTTCTGTTGATGACATTTTGGACAGAATAAAATCAGTTTTTTCCGTTAAATTTTTAAGGTCAATATAAAGATAAGTATATTATTCCTTAACCTAATGAGAATAAATTTAAAATGAAAAATATTTTATTTTTAATCTTTTAAAAATTGTTTTTCAATTCCTAAAGGAACATATGCAAGTTAATGACTTACTTCTACTAAAATTCATAATAGAATATATCAATATTTAAATGATAGTAACGTAAAATGTATATTAATAAAATGTTTTTAACATATTGTAAAAGCATTTTAATTCATTTTCATTGCCAATCAGAAATATAATTCTAACAAGCTTTATGTTTCCCAGAAGCATATCATACATATTAATATTATTATGTATGAGTAGTCAAGTCTGATGCCATTTCACACATAAATAATTGTAATCAGGAAATCAAAATTCAGAACAAAAATATATCCTCTTCCTTATGCTATTTTAAAGAAGAAAATCAAGGGAAACATCATTTATTCCACATATGACCTTCCCTTCATCTATGAATATATGTATTGCTTAAGAAGATATTAGGATTCTTTTTTTTATTATTATTATACCTTAAGTTTTAGGGTACATGTGCAAAACGTGCAGGTTTGTTACATATGTATACATGTGCCATGCTGGTGTGCTGCACCCATTAGCTTGTCATTTAGCATTAGGTATATCTCCTAATGCTCTCCCTCCCCCTCCCCCCACCCCACAACAGTCCCCAGAGAGTGATGTTCCCCTTCCTGTGTCCATGTGTTCTCATTGTTCACTTCCCACCTATAAGTGAGAATATGCGGTGTTTGGCTTTTTGTTCTTGCGATAGTTTACTGAGAATGATGATTTCCAATTTCATCCATGTCCCTACAAAGGACGTGAACTCATCCTTTTTTATGGCTGCATAGTATTCCATGGTGTATATGTGCCACATTTTCTTAATCCAGTCTATCATTGTTGGACATTTGGGTTGATTCCAAGTCTTTGCTATTGTGAATAGTGCCGCAATAAACATACGTGTGCATGTGTCTTTATAGCAGCATGCTTTATAGTCCTTTGGGTATATACCCAGTAATGGGATGGCTGGGTCAAACGGTATTTCTAGTTCTAGATCGCTGAGGAATCGCCACACCGACTTCCACAATGGTTGAACTAGTTTACAGTCCCACCAACAGTGTAAAAGTGTTCCTATTTCTCCACATCCTCTCCAGCACCTGTTGTTTCCTGACGTTTTTATGATTGCCATTCTAACTGGTGTGAGATGGTATCTCATTGTGGTTTTGATTTGCATTTCTCTGTTGGCCAGTGATGGTGAGCATTTTTTCATGTGTTTTTTGGCTGCATAAATGTCTTCTTTTGAGAAGTGTCTGTTCATGTCCTGTGCCCACTTTTTGATGGGGTTGTTTGTTTTTTTCTTGTAAATTTGTTGGAGTTCATTGTAGATTCTGGATATTAGCCCTTTGTCAGATGAGCAGGTTGTGAAAATTTTCTCCCATGTTGTAGGTTGCCTATTCACTCTGATGGTAGTTTCTTTTGCTGTGCAGAAGCTCTTTAGTTTAATTAGATCCCATTTGTCAATTTTGGCTTTTGTTGCCATTGCTTTTGGTGTTTTAGACATGAAGTCCTTGCCCATGCCTATGTCCTGAATGGTAATGCCTAGGTTTTCTTCTAGGGTTTTTATGGTTTTAGGTCTAACGTTTAAGTCTTTAATCCATCTTGAATTGATTTTTGTATAAGGTGTAAGGAAGGGATCCAGTTTCAGCTTTCTACATATGGCTAGCCAGTTTTCCCAGCACCATTTATTAAATAGGGAATCCTTTCCCCATTGCTTGTTTTTCTCAGGTTTGTCAAAGATCAGACAGTTGTAGATACGCGGCGTTATTTCTGAGGGCTCTGTTCTGTTCCATTGATCTATATCTCTGTTTTGGTACCAGTACCATGCTGTTTTGGTTACTGTAGCCTTGTAGTAAAGTTTGAAGTCAGGTGGTGTGATGCCTCCAGCTTTGTTCTTTTGGCTTAGGATTGACTTGGCGATGGGGGATCTTTTTTGGTTCCAAATGAACTATAAAATAGTTTTTTCCAATTCTGTGAAGAAAGTCATTGGTAGCTTGATGGGGATGGCATTGAATCTATAAATTACCTTGGGCAGTATGGCCATTTTCACGATATTGATTCTTCCTACCCATGAGCATGGAATGTTCTTCCATTTGTTTGTATCCTTTTTTATTTCATGGAGCAGTGGTTTGTAGTTCTCCTTGAAGAGGTCCTTCACGTCCCTTGTAAGTTGGATTCCTAGGTATTTCACTCTCTTTGAAGCAATTGTGAATGGGAGTTCACTCATGATTTTGCTCTCTGTTCGTCTGTTATTGGTGTTTAAGAACGCTTGTGATTTTTGTACCTTGATTTTGTATGCTGAGACCTTGCTGAAGTTGCTTATCAGCTTAAGGAGATTTTGGGCTGAGACAATGGGGTTTTCTAGATATACAATCATGTCATCTGGAAACAGGGACAATTTGACTTCCTCTTTTCCTAATTGAATACCTTTTATTTCCTTCTCCTGCCTAATTGCCCTGGCCAGAACTTCCAACACTATGTTGAATAGGAGTGGTGAGAGAGAGCATCCCTGTCTTGTGCCAGTTTTCAAAGGAAATGCTTCCAGTTTTTGCCCATTCAGAATGATATTGGCTGTGGGTCTGTCATAGATAGGTGTTATTATTTTGAGATACGTCCCATCAATACCTAATTTATTGAGAGTTTTTAGCATGAAGCGTTGTTGAATTTTGTCAAAGGCCTTTTCTGCATCTATTGAGATAATCATGTGGTTTTTGTCTTTGGTTCTGTTTATATGCTAGATTCCATTTATTGATTTGCGTATATTGAACCAGCCTTGCATCCCAGGGATGAAGCCCACTTGATCATGGTGGATAAGCTTTTTGATGTGCTGCTGGATTCGGTTTGCCAGTATTTTATTGAGGATTTTTGCATCAATGTTCATCAAGGATATTGGTCTAAAATTCTCTTTTTTGGTTGTGTCTCTGCCCGGCTTTGGTATCAGGATGATGCTGGCCTCATAAAATGAGTTAGGTAGGATTCCCTCTTTTTCTATTGATTGGAATAGTTTCAGAAGGAATGGTACCAGTTCCTCCTTGTACCTCTGGTAGAATTCGGCTGTGAATCCATCTGGTCCTGGACTCTTTTTGGTTGGTAAGCTATTGATTATTGCCACAATTTCAGCTCCTGTTATTGGTCTATTCAGAGATTCAGCTTCTTCCTGGTTTAGTCTTGGGAGGGTGTATGTGTCGAGGAATTTATGCATTTCTTCTAGATTTTCTAGTTTATTTGCATAGACGTGTTTGTAGTATTCTCTGATGGTAGTTTGTGTTTCTGTGGGATCGGTGGTGATATCCACTTTATCATTTTTTTTTGCGTCTATTTGATTCTTCTCTCTTTTCTTCTTTATTAGTCTTGCTAGTGGTCTATCAATTTTGTTGATCCTTTCAAAAAACCAGCTCCTGGATTCATTAATTTCTTGCAGGGTTTTTTGTGTCTCTATTTCCTTCAGTTCTGCTCTGATTTTAGTTATTTCTTGCCTTCTGCTAGCTTTTGAATATGTTTGCTCCTGCTTTTCTAGTTCTTTTAATTGTGATGTTAGGGTGTCAGTTTTGGATCTTTCCTGCTTTCTCTTGTGGGCATTTAGTGCTGTAAATTTCCCTCTACACACTGGTTTGAATGTGTCCCAGAGATTCTGGTATGTTGTGTCTTTGTTCTCGTTGGTTTCAAAGAACATCTTTATTTCTGCTTTCATTTCGTTATGTACCCAGTAGTCATTCAGGAGCACGTTGTTCAATTTCCATGTAGTTGAGCGGTTTTGAGTGAGTTTCTTAATCCTGAGTTCTAGTTTGATTGCACTGTGGTCTGAGAGACAGTTTGTTATAATTTCTGTTCTTTTACATTTGCTGAGGAGAGCTTTACTTCCAACTATGTGGTCAATTTTGGAATAGGTGTGGTGCGGTGCTGAAAAAAATGTATATTCTATTGATTTGGGGTGGAGAGTTCTGTAGATGTCTATTAGGTCTGCTTGGTACAGAGCTGAGTTCAATTCCTGGGTATCCTTGTTAACTTTCTGTCTCGTTGTTCTGTCTAATGTTGACAGTGAGGTGTTAACGTCTCCCATTATTATTGTGTGGGAGTCTAAGTCTCTTTGTAGGTCACTCAGGACTTGCTTTATGAATCTGGGTGCTCCTGTATTGGATGCATATATATTTAGGATAGTTAGCTCTTCTTGTTGAACTGATCCCTTTGCCAGTATGTAATGGCCTTCTTTGTCTCTTTTGATGTTTGTTGGTTTAAAGTCTGTTTTATCAGAGACTAGGATTGCAACCCCTGCCTTTTTTTGTTTTCCATTTGCTTGGTAGATCTTCCTCCATCCTTTTATTTTGAGCCTATGTGTGTCTCTGCCCGTGAGATGGGTTTCCTGAATACAGCACAGTGATGGGTCTTGACTCTTTATCCAATTTGCCAGTCTGTGTCTTTTAATTGGAGCATTTAGTCCATTTACATTTAAAGTTAATATTGTTATGTGTGAATTTGATCCTGTCATTTTGGTATGAGAGCCCCTCGGGGCTCGCCCCACCCACCTCACCGGGTCAGTGAAAAAAGAACCTTTGAGATTTTTACAGAGAGATGCACTGTTATGGAAGGAGAAAAGCATTTCAGTAGATTTAAAAAAGTATCTGTCTTTCTCTACTAATAGAAATTAGCATCCTTGGAGAAATAACTGATCCCAAGGCTGGGACATGGAAAATATATGAGTTGGTAACATATCTTGTGACACAAAGTATGGAATTATTCAAACATGTTGAATGCATTTTAAAAAGACATAAAAGTCAGCTTGAAGATGTGCCTATGGTGAAAAAGGAACACTTTGAATAACTAAAAGAATATAGTGAATAATGATGTATAGTGGTAGATTTTTGAAAAAACTGTAATTATACATCCAGTTCTGTATAAAAATATAATTAGGTTGGTAGATATGAAGGAATGTAGATATATATATATATATACATACATACATGGATAATAGGTACATGATGTGTAGGTAGATATAGAGTGGTCAGAAAAGAAAGTGATTATTTATAATCAAATTTTTGCACTGTTTTGTAATCATAATGCTACTTGATTTAGGCAAGGTTGTTGTAAGGATGCTGAAATCATTTTGTCTTAGTTTACTGAAGAACAAATTATTAACATGGTTTGAAAATCTTTCTAAGTCGATTATGTATTAATCGCAAACGTTTAACAAAATCTTTTCTATAAAGTCATTTGGGCTTTATTGAAGTAAATCTCATACCACGTGATTGAAGTTAATATCGTCAATAATGGGGCAAACTGACATCCCGTGCTTCTTTGTGTGACACACTGAGAAATGCAATATATCAATCACTTAGGTCAGATTCCTGCTCAGAATGCATTATCTGAATTTCTTTATAAAGAAGCAATTGATCAAAACCAAATTGATGAAATTGGACTCAATTCTTAAAAAATACTAATGTCTTGAAAGATGAAGAAAGAATGAAGAACAGCTCTAGATTAAGTGAGAGTGAAAAGTTACAACTGAATGCAATTTTGAATTAAGTTTGGGATTTGGAAGCAGGAAAATAAAGTGTTAGAGTATCATTAGAATGAATGATGAATTTGAATATTTACTATTTATTAGGTAGAAGTATTGTGTTGATGTTAAATTCCCTGAACTTTTAAATTAATGTTGGCGATGAAAGAGAATGCTAATATTATAAGAAAGACCTGCTGAAATAGGTTAACAGTCATGACATCTGCAGTTTACTTTCCAATGATTTAGCGCACACACACACACACACACACACACATAAACACAGACACAAACATACCACAGAAAGCAAATGTGCTATGTGAATGTAAATATATCAACATATACATAGCATATGTACCATTGCATAATTATATAATGCATTAGATGTTTTAATATTATTACATATATTATATGAGGTGTATGATATATACTACCTGATATTATATATTCTATTTCTATATAAATATAGAAGCAAATATAACAACATAATAACAACTGATTAACAGGTTAAAATCATACAATACTGTATCAGTATTATTTCAAGTTTTCTGCTAATGTAAAATATTGTTTTCAAAATTAATTTGTAATAGATTAGGAAAGAAAAGGAAGAGTGTGGATTGTAGGTGAAACTATGATGACAATTCAAGTGTTGTATAAGTTTTGTTATTAAGTTTTCTGGAATATTTATGTATTATTTTATTAAAATATTTTTATAATAAGTGTTTCTTTCTACTTTTAGTATATAATTTACAGCTCCTTTATATGCATAATCAAGTTGCTGGAAAAGTAACATTTCATTCAGTTTCAAATTTCTTATCTTCTGTTCACTCTTCAGCACACTGCACTATGAATTTTTCCCTAAATATTCGGCTTAAAATGCTCTCACTAGTTCTTACAAGTAACTTCCTTTCACATCATCTAAATTGCTTTCCTTTTTGAGATCAAAATTTTAGATACACTTCACTCCACCAAATCATATGATTTATATTGGATAAAGTAAATATAATTTAAGGAAAAGCACATTTGGGAAGGCAAACTTTTTAATACCAAATACACATATTTACAATACAATATGTGTGTGTACACAACACATTTGTACTTAAACTATAATGTCAAAATATTTTCAGCTTTGAAAAAAAATTCATAAACTTATTGATGTAAAATAACTTCCAGATGAGCATACATTATCCTTTACACTTGCAAAGTACATGATACATTTTCAAGCAAAATATAAGCCAGTCTGTTCTATTTTACGTGATAAATGGCCCAAAGCAAGTAAAAGGTATCTTCAGAGTATAGATTATAGTGCTCCTCATGCCCAACAGATAGCATTATTGGTCAGGAAAATCAGAGAAGTTACAGAAGAAACTTTCTTTTAACCATAAATTTGCTATAACAATTTAATGTATATGCCATAGCATCTATTCTAAAAAATCAGAGACACCTGTATTTATGCCAATATTTAATTTAAATAACGTTTGGACTATTCACTAATTTTTATTATGCATTGCATGAATTACATAGCACCTTAACACAAATAACAAATAATTGATTGTATTTTTATTAGGACTTATGCAAAGTTCTAATTTGGGTATTTAAAGCAGGAAATGAAAAATTCAACCATTTACTATTTCTATTATGACTATGAAACTTTGCCACAAAATATTTTATCTTATGTCCTATTACAAATAAATAAGCTAAAAATACATAACAGCTTCAGAATCACAAGGGTGCCAAACAACCATTCTCTTGATTTCAGAAACCATTCTATTATTTACTTGCTATTACCTCCCATTGTATATGTCCATTCTGTGAGAATACATGACTTCATGTGGTAGACCTAATGGGACTATCGATAAGTGGGTGATTTTTCAATGTTATGTTATGAGTGATAACAGCCTGCTAAATTGTTTAAGAAAGCTGGAACAATAGACTCCTGTCAGCATGAGTTGGATGCATTGATGAAATCTACATATCAGCTTTAGAACACTGAGTAATGAGGCAAAAGAGTAGTTTCCAACCCCTAATGGACTTAATTATAATTTGTTTTAGATTCCAGATTAAACTCCAGACCAAAACATGACATCTAAAATTTTATTCCATGAGCAGCTAGAGACAATGGGAAATGGTGTGCATTCTTTTTCTTATTTCTTCCATAACTAACTACCTAAAACTTAGTGTTCCTTTTTTCTTTGCTGACTGTCCTCACGTGGCTATCCTCAGCACCAAGAGCCTTCTCACCATTTTTGTAGCTTGATCTTTACAGTTCAGAGCCAGCAATAATGCATCAATCCTCCTTGGGATAGTTAAGTGTAAAGTTTGTGATATACTGTTATTCAAGATTATCTTTCATTTAAAAATTGTTGAAGATATGATATTCTACACAGTTTATGTATAAAAATCAAACAAGGCACATCAATGAAAGTCATTTTATATTCATTAACATCTTCCTGATGAAATAAATTGCATATATGTCGTAAAAAAGGTTTTAGTTACTTAATGAGTAATTTGTTTTAAAATGTAACTTTATATTATTTTTCTTGACAAGATGCAGTAACAGAAAACTGATTTACACTTCTGTTGGAAAAAATTGTAAAATAAAAGTATATATAAAGCAACAGTATCCAAAATATTTAACATCAGACAAAGAACAATGGTTGCTGACAGACAGCAAGCAAAGAGAGCAGTATGATTGCTCCGTTCTTGGCCTCCAGTTTACTAGGCAGAGTCCAGGAATATTCCTGAGTTGAAAAGACATTGCTGAGAGTATGAAGAGGCCAAGGAGGAAAAAAAAACTTAATGCAGAGAGTAATAGAAGGAGAAAACTGCACAGAGAGAATCTTTCACAGATTTGAAAATTTTTCTCCCTCTTAATATTAATTGAAAACTTACTGGAGCATATATGCCAAAAAAAAAAAAAAAAAAAAAATACCCAAGGCAGGAGGTAGAAGAATGAAAAAACTCCAGAGCTTAGTAGCTTGAAAAAGTTGCTCGTCCCAGCAGCCAGTTGGAAACCCTCTTAATTAATGAGGCATCAGGTAGAATAAACACCACAGTTTGGCGTCAGCAGTAAGCCAAAGTTTTCTCGAGCAGATATTTCTCTGGTCCCACATACCACAACTTAAGAGTAAGACCAAAAAGAAAAAAAAAAGTAATGGTAATTAATCCAGAAATAGTATAGATGACATAATTAGTACATAAAGACATTAAAGCAGTTAAAATAACTTTATTCTGTGTTGCCAAAAAGCTGCAGAAAGTTTGACCGTGCTAAGTCAATAAATAAATATATTTAAAAGACCAAAATCATATCCTGAGAGAGAAAATATCATATTAAAGTACATGAAAAATAAAAATTATAAAATTTATTCCATATGAAATATTCCAGATAAAAATATTAGTAATTCTGAAAATATAGCATCATAAACTATACAGACTGTAACCTAGAAAAAAAGAAGAATGAAAAAAAATAAACAGAGGTTCAGTGAACTGTGAGACAAAGCATGCAAAGCAAGTAGCCTAAGGCATGTGCAATTGGATTCCCAGAAAATAGGGTGTGGGCAGAAAATGCCACAAGAAATAATGGATATTTTTGCATATTTTATTAAAACTGTAAACTCTCAGATCCATGAGCTCAATAAAATATGACATAAACTAAAACAAAGTACATCTTTATTGAATTGCTTAAAACTGGCATTAAAGAGGAAATTTTAAAAGCAATCAGAAAAAAAAATACACAAGACACAGAGAGAAAGAAATTAGAATGATAGATTACCTCTCATCAGAAAAAATGCATGGTGGACAGTAGGAAAATATCTTTAAATAACTGAAAGGAAAATAACAAAAATGAGCAAACAATACAAGTCAACCTAGAGTTGTAGATTCAATGAAAACAATTATTCACAAAAAATAAAGGCAAAAACAAGACACAGGCAATTGATGAAATCATTAATTACCAATCATCTTACATTATGAAAAATGTGAAGAAAAGTCCCCCAGGCAGAAGGAAAGTGAGGAAAATGATAACAGATTGAAATCTGCATTTATTAAAAAAAAGAGCCTCAGATGGCATGCCTTAGGGCTGATATAAAAGACTTCTTTCTTAACATTATTATTTTTATCAAAAGTAATATAAAATGTAGATTGTCTAAACAACAAAACTAAAACTTGTGGATTGTTAGAATGAATACAAAAGCAAAATGTAATTATCCACTACCTACGAGAAACTCACTTTAAAGAAACAAAGGGGTTCAAGCGTAAGAACAGATAATGACATCTAACAATAATCATACTAATACTAATTTTTGAAAGTTGATATTAAAAGAAAGCTGGAGATGCTACGTTACTGCTTAACAAGTTTGATTTCAGAGAAAAAATATTATCCGGGAAAAAAATGTATCCTTTAATAATATTAGAGGGTAAATTCATCAAGAGAGCATAGCAATCTTAAGCAGTATACACATAGTAACAGAGACTCAAAATATCTGAAGCAAAATCTAATGGAATGTCAAGAAGAAATGCACCAATCTGAAGTTGCAGTGAGAGTTTTTAATACTCTTCTATCAATAATTTTAATTAGAAAAATTAATTCAACTTTAGTAGACTACCTATTATTTTCAAGCACAAGTGAAATGTTTATGAATATAGACCCAATTATGAGCAATAAAACAAGTCTCAATATATTTGAAGTGAATTAAATCATAGAAAGGAAACAAAGAAGATGGAAGAAAGAAAGGAAGGATGGATGGATGGATGGATGGACGGAAGGAAGGAAGGGAGAAAAGTAGGGAAGGAGGGAGAAAGGGGAAGAGAGAGAGAATAGGCCTTACTTTGAAGACCCAACAATTATTTTTGGAAAAAAAATAGAATTTATACATTGCTGGACTAAAAGCAATATATAATCTGAGGGAAATATAAACTAATTGGCATAAACCTAGTACTACCAACAATAAGGTTGGTATGAGGGAAGAAATCTTAAATAATCATTTTGAAGACTCATGTCTCTAATGAAATATCATGTCAGGATAGGAATCATTTTCTATTTTATTAAATATTTTTTAAAATTAACCAAAATATAAAATGATTAATATTTTTTGAAGCAAAAGAAAATAATCTATATAAAGATAATTCTCTCAGGTACCATGCAGATGTACATTTCAGTTAACAATTTATCTGAAGTTCAATTACATAATAATGTTGTTTATATGAGTTAATGTCTAAATATAATTTCTTATCTGATTCTATCATGTAGATAAAATAATGCAAATAGTATACCCTCATTGGTAATGCAAAATGGTACATTCTTAAACTTAATAAACCCTTATGAAAACAGGCTTCATTCAAAACAAATTGTAAGTTAATAAAAATCTAGAACTTTTTCAATCCTGTTTCTGTTCCATCATTTTCACATGTACAACACATTCACAGTAACATATACACTTTTCTTTTTTGATATGGAGCCTTGCGTTTTTGCCTAGGCAGGAGTGCAGTGGTGTGATCTCTGCTCACTGCAACCTCCGCCTCCCAGGTTTAAGTGATTCTCCTGCCTCACCCTCTTGAGTAGCTGGGGTTACAGGTGTATACCACCACACCCAGCTAATTTTTGTATTTTTAGCAGTGATGGGGTCTCGCCATGTTGGCCAGTCTGGTCTTGAACTCCTGGCCTCAGATGAACTGCCTGCCTTGGCCTCCCAAAGTGGTGGGATTACAGGTGTGAGCCACTGCACCCAACCAACATATAAAATTAATGGGGGAATTATCAAGGGAGAAGAATAGCCTTTAACTAAGTAACAGAGTAAAGTAGTCTGACTATAAAAAAAAAATTGTAAGGTTTTCTGACATCCTCATTTAAAATGAACTTATATATAAAAAGCAAACATTTTCTTATTACTTTTTATTTAATTTTATATTGCAAGTACAAGTCATATGCTTTATGGTAAAATAATACAGAAACATGAGAAAAAGTTAAAAATAGTCTTTTCCTTCAATGTTTTTTACTACACAAATTAACATTTATTCACCTTTTGACAATTTTCTCTATGATTATGAAAAATATAAATCTACTACAGATATAAATGCTCTATGTTAATATATGAACATAAATGACTATATAGATATACATATACATGTACATACATATATAAAAAGAAGTTTATACCATTGTAACGCCTAAGGTTCTTGCCTAGCCATGCTAAAGAACTGGTGTGGCCTCTGACTGCATTGAGTGATAGAGACGAACTGAGAGAGAGAAAAAGCTGTAGGCTTTATTGAGCAAAGTGAAAGGACAAAGCTTCCGCAGCATGGAAGTGTGTCCTGAATTGGTTCCTTCCGGTGGGTTCTTGGTCTCACTGACTTCAAGAATGAAGGCGCGGACCCCACAGTGAGTGTTACAGTTCTTAAAGATGGTGTGTCTGGAGTTTGTTCCTTCAGATGTTCAGATGTGTCTGGAGTTTCTTCCTTCTGGTGGGTTCATGGTCTTGCTGACTTCAGGAGTGAAGCCACAGACCTTCTCCGTGAGTGTTACACCTCTTAAAGGTGGCGCGTCTGGAGTTGTTTGTTCCTCCTGGTGGGTTCGTGGTCTCGCTGACTTCAGGAATGAAGCCGCAGACCCTCGTAGTGAGTGTTACAGCTCATAAAGGTAGTGCGGAACCAGAGTGAGCAGCAGCAAGATTTATTGTGAAGAGTGAAAGAACAAAGCTTCCACAGCATGGAAGGGGATCCGGCTGCTGCTGGATCTTGAGTGGCCAGCTTTTATTCCCTTATTTGGCCCTGCCCACATCCTGCTGATTGGTCCATTTTACAGAGGGCTGATTGTTCCATTTTACAGAGTACTGATTGTTCTGTTTTTACAGAGTGCTGATTGGTGCGTTTACAAACCTTTAGCTAGACACAGAGCGCTGATTGGTGTGTTTACAAACCTTTAGCTAGACACGGAGGGCTGATTGGTGCATTTTTACAGAGTGCTGATTGGTGCATTTACAAACCTTTAGCTGGACACAGAATGCTAATTGGTGCGTTTTTACAGAGTGCTGATGGGTACGTTTACAAACCTTTAGCTAGACAGAAAAGTTCTCCAAGTTCCCACTCAACCCAGGAAGTCCACCTGGCTTCACCTCTCAATATGGTAATATGAAAACCCTGAAGACGCCACCAAAAGATATATTTCCATTTGTTTGTGTCATCTTTGATGTCTTTCAGCAGTGTTTTGTAGTTCTCCTTGTAGAGACTTTTTACCTCCTTCATTAAGTGCATTCCTAGATGTTTTATTATTTTGTAGCTATTTGGAAAGGAATGAGTTCTTGATTTGATTCTAAACTTGGTTGTCTTTGGTGTATAGCAGCAATACTAATTTGTGTA
Organism: Homo sapiens; assembly: GCF_000001405.40. NCBI lineage: Eukaryota > Metazoa > Chordata > Mammalia > Primates > Hominidae > Homo > Homo sapiens. Next base: position 43,245,489 of record NC_000014.9, on the reverse strand, counting down.
ACATTGATTTTGTGACCTGAGATTTAACTGATTAATTTATCAGATCCAGGAGTATTTGGAAGTCCATAGGGTTTTCTAGGTATAAGATCATATCATCAGCATACAGAGATCATTTGACTTCCTTTTTTTCAAGTTAGATGTTCTTTATTTTGTTTTTCTCTTGCCTGAATGCTCTTATTAGGACTTTCAATAGTTATGTTGAATAGAAGTGGTGAAATAAGATATCCTTACCTTGTTCCACTTCTTAGAGGGAATGCTTTCAGCTTTTCCTTGCTTAGTATGAGGTTGGCTGTGAAATATCATATATTGCTTTTATTATTTTGAGGTACTTATAGATTAGAAGAATCAATAATGTGAAAATGGCCAAACTTCCCAAAGTAATGTAGAGCTTGGATGCAATTTCTATCAGAATACCAACATCATTTTTCACAATATAAGAAAAGACAATCTTAAAATTCATATGAAAGCAAAAAAAGAGCCCAAATAGCCAAAGCAATCCTAAGCAAACAGAACAAATCTGGAGACACCACATTACCTGACTTCAAATTATACTGCAAGGCTATAAAGTAATCAAAACAACATGATACTGGCATAAAAATAGATATATAGACCAATGGAATAGAATAGAGAACACAGAAATAAGTCCAAATACTTACAACCAACTGATCTTTGGCAAAACATACAAAAATATAAATTGGAGAAAGGAAACTCTATTCAATTAGTGGTGCTAGGAATGTTGTATAGTGACATGTGGAAGAATGAAACTGGATTCCTATCTCTTACTGTATACAAAAATTAACTCAGGATGGATTAAAGACTTAAAGCTAAGACCTGAAGCTACAACTATCCTAGAAGAAAACCTAGGAAACACTTTTCTAGACATTGTGACTAAGATCCCAAAAGCAAACACAACAAAAACAAACATAAATAAATGGGACTTAATTATTTTGCTGCACAGCAAAATAAACCACCAACAGAGTAAATAGACGACCTATAGAATGGGAAAAAATATTCATAAATTATGCATCTGACAAAGGTCTAATATCCAGAAGCTATAAGGAACTTAAAAAACATTAAGAAGCAGAAAGCAACACCATTAAAAAGTAGGCAAAGACATGAACAGACACTTCTCAAAAGAAGACATACAAGCAGACAAAAAACTTATGAAAAAGTGCTCAACATCACTAATCATCGCAAATGCAAATCAAAACCACAATGAGATATTACCTCACACCATTTAGAATGGCTAATATGAAAAAGTCAAAAAACAAACAAACACACATGTTGGCAAGGTTGCAGAGAAAGGAAATGTTCATATACTGCTGGTGGGATTGTAATTTAGTTCAGCTCCTGTGGAAAATTATTTGGAGATTTGCCAAAGAACTAAAAATAGTATTATCATTTTATCCAGCAATCCCATTACTGGATATATACCCAAAGGAAAACAAATCATTCTACCAAAAAGGCATCTGTGCTCACATGTTTATTTCAGCACTATTCACCACAGCAAAAACATGAAATCTACTTAGGTGCCTACCGATGGTGGACTGGATGAAGGAAATGTGATACAAAAACACCATGGAGTACTATGGAGCTATAAAGAGAATGAAATCATGTCCTTTGCAGCAATGTAGATGCAGCTAGAGGCCGTTATTCTAAGTAAATTAACATAGAGACAGAAAACCAAATGCTGCATGTTCTGACTTATAGTTGAGGGCTAAACATTAGGTACACACAGACATAAAGATGGGAATAATAGACACTGGGGACCCAGAAATGGGGAAGGGAAGAAGAAGGTCAAGGGTTGAAAAACTACCTATTGGATACTATTTTCACTGTTTGGGTGATGGTTTCAGTTGAAGCCTAAGCATCACACGATATATCCATGTAACAAACCTGCACATGTACCCTTTGAATCAAATATTTAAGAAAAAAATAATAAAATAATACTTTAAAAATATGATTGCTACCTTGTATGTGAGGTAGTAATCATATTTTACTACCTTAGAGTTTACTACATTATATGTCATGATCCTTCCGTTTATTTCAGGATTTTCTCACTCTTTTCTTCAATTTTATTTTACCATTTAGGAATCAGCCCTTTTCTTCATTTCTGCTGATCTTGCTCTTTTCTACTATTTAGTAAGCTCATATTAGCTCCATCTTCTGTGTAGCTGCTGCTTTTGTGACTATCTCAGAAATATTGTTTATAGATATCTTTGTTATTTCCAGATAAATCCATTACTTCAATTTGTTTCATGCCTAACATATGCCTTCTCAATAGAACAACCTTTCTGTGTAAATAGTTGACAGTGTTTTCTAAAATTTTGAATTTTTTTTTGCTTACGTCTTATATTTAATATTTTCACTTCACTGAATCTGATCATCCTAGATCTCCTTGGTGTGAAGCAGGTGGCTTAAGGTTATCTCTTTCACTATTTTTTTTTTTTTTTTTTTTTACTAAATAAATCAGTCAAGAGTATTCTGAGTGGGAAGGCTAAACAATTAGCATATTGATGTGATGAAACACAAGCTCTGTTACCACAATTGTCTAGTAGAGTGGTTCATTCCTCAAGTAAGTTTATGCTTTTACTATTAAACTTCACTAAATAAATAGATGTTGGGTGCCCTCCCAATTAATATTACAATTATTTTTCTTCTATGAGTGTTTTTATGTCCTAAGAACATAAAAACTAATATTTAATAAGTTGCATTACATTTGGTAACAGGAATAATAACAACAATGGTTAATAGTCAGCTTATGTTCTTTTCTCACAGAGCTTGCGTATACATTTTGGTTTTCTTCTAATCTGGGATAAACCAACATCTTCAACAAGCTTAAAATTTTCTAGTATAGAAAGAACAATGAGACACTTTTACTTATATTAAAATATGTTGAAGAAGAAATACAAAATAATCAAACACAAGCTTAATGGGGAAGAAAACTTTTTTCATACAATATGTTTTGAACTGGTCAAGAATAAAATACTACTGTTTGTATTTTGTTTCCATGGAAAAGATGCATTCTCTAATGTTTAGATCAAAATTTACCTAAGAGAAAAATAGAACAATTTTCCAAACATCAGAAATGCATTATTATTTCGATATATTTGGTTTAGCAAAACATAATATTGACATATTTTTATTATTAATAATTAACATATCAATATATTTTTATCATAATTAACATATTAATTTTTAATATAAATTTAACATTAACATAATATTAATTTTTGGTAGTGTGTAAAAAACGAAAGGTTAGGCAATGTCTGAGGAGCTAAGTTTGACACAAAAAAGAGGAAAATTTTTACTAAAATTTTGTGGATTTTCAAAACTAAAAAAATAAAAACCATGAATTGTGGATTGCAGTGGGAAAACAAGCCTGAGCACAATGCAATAGGATGGGATTAAAAAAAAAAGATAAATGCTAGACACCTCACCAAAGAATATATGCAGATGGTAAATCAACATATAAAAAGATAATCTACCTCATATGTCATCAGGGAAATGCAAATTAAAACAGCAATGAGATACACATTGACTTGAATGGCCAATATCTAGAACAATGACACTAAATGCTGTTGAAGATGGAAGCATCAAGAACTCTCATTCATTGCTAATGGGAATATAAAATGGTACGGCCACTTTAGAAGACAGTTTGGGGGCTTCTTCCAAAAGTAAGCATACACCTACCATATGATCTAGCAACAGCACTCATCATTTTTTTTTCCCAAAGAGGTTAAAAACATATGTCCCCACAAGAATCTTCAACCTGATGTATATTGCCACTTTATTCATTGCCCAAACCTGGAAGCAACCAAGATGCCCTTCAGCAGTTCAATGGATAAGTAAACTCTGGTACTTCCAGACAATGAAATATTATTCAGCACTTAAAATAAATTATTTATTAAGCTATGAAAAGTCATAGAGAAAGCTTCTATGTATATTGCTAAGTGAAAGAAGTCAGTCTGAAAAGCCAATGTATTCAAACATATAACATTCTGGAAACGTAAAACTGTGGTGAGAGTAAAAAGATTGGTTGTTGCCAGGAGTTGATGGGAGTAAATATTACATGGTATAGGGTTTGACCAGAAGACTGACATTAGAGGAAAGGAGGTTTGGAAATGGGTCCATTACCACAGGATCCACTGGTCATCCAGAATAAGTCCGCCTGTTATAGCAATGGAAACACCTATACAAAACAGGTTTGAAATGACACCTAAAGGGAAAATCCTCTGAAAAGATGGTTTCCATCTTTCAAAATACAATAGCTGTAATATATGCACTTTTGTGCTGCACATGGACTATAGAAAGAATAACTGTGTCTGGAAACCAAAAGGAGAAATTCCCAATCACTTACTAGAAACTGCAAAGTTGGAAGTTCTGATCTCTAATGTAAGTACATGCTTGTCAGTGGACACAAGAGGTACACTATTTAATTTCAAGCCATATTACCATGTGGGCATATTGTACTCATGCCCAGGGACCAGTATTTATAAGAAGAGCCAAGATTTTGATGAAGATAATTGACTCTGATCAGCAGAAGCATGTAGTTGTTTTTACAAAAGAGGAATGAAGGGAAAGTGTGTGGAATCCAGCAAATTTCATTCAGACACTTGATGTTCCTCCGTGTAATTTTAACTATGAATGTACGCATAGGGGAAACTTAGTTTGAAATTATCAGATCATTACCAAAGTGTCAAGCCCTTTAGAAATGAGTGTTTAGGTCATACCACTATCTAAACCATCAATACCTGCTGAGCAGAGAGTAAGGAACATTTCAAGTGGATCATGGAGAAGCCAGCCATATGTAAATGGTCCTGAGACCAATTGCAGCAAAAGGGATTTTAATTTTCTCTAAAGGGATTTTAGAGAAAGGGTTCTCAATTAAAATTAAAATTAAGGGATTTTAATTTTCTCTACTAAATTCTGTAGTCTAGTTTTCTCCTGGAAGAAATACCTCACAGGAACTGTGGAAGAGCTCCTGCCTGAATCTGTGTGGTAAAAAAGATTTTTGTAGAGAAGTGAAATGGAATTGGTGGGCCTTAAAAATGTCCTACTTGGATTTTTTATCAATGGATCCCACTTAAAAAGTGTTGTTGCTTAACAGCCTTCAACAACTACCCATGTAGTTGCATGTATAAAACTTTTAATATCACTTATTAAATGGCTATTTTAAAATATTAAATATAATTTATTGATATATTAAAGGTAATATGTGTTTATTTGTGCCTATTATTATTTTTATTTGTGTTGATAATTGTTTATTGGTCTGAAATTTCAGGAAGGGAGACTGTCATAATAGTAAAGAGTAGAACATCTTGGCGGGGGATCTGTAAATGATAATAGCAAGGAAAAGTGGGTCACATGAAAAAAGAGAAGACTATAGACTGAGCAATGTTTTGTAGATTTAGACTTTTCCTGTAGATACTGGAACTCCTTCATCTTTTAAAATGTATGTAAATAATTCACACAAAAAATTATTTCAGTTAAAATTCTCTGGTTTTATCACTCGGCATCATGGCCACCACAACATGGTGGTTAAGGGTGTGGGTTTAGTAGCTACATAAAACTGAATCTGAGCTATGAATCTGGCACTTAGTTAGCTATGTAACTTTTGAGAATTTCTGTCCTTTCCATAAGCCTCTGCTTTTTCATTTTTTAATATTTTAATAATACCTCCTTCACAATATTGTAATGGAGCTATATTAAGAGAATGCATAGTAATTTACATTTACATATTTTATGTTCACAATACATTTTCAATATTTGGAATAACAACAATAACAACAGTAATAGTAATGTCAATAATTTGAAGTTATTTCTTTTGGTCAATCATTAGTCTATTGAAGGAAGCATTAAAATACTGTTATATAGTGTGATCTAAGATTTGTGATGTCTATCTTTAATGACGTATGACTAATTTGGAGATAAGAATAATGCACATAAGCATATAAGTACATATATTATATGATAATAACATTGTTTTAAGTAGTAAAATATCAGTAAGCATGAATACAACAGTCTACTGACAAGGATTTACTGTAAATTGCTAACACTAGGGACAAGTTTGAAATATTGCAGATAAGTAGACTAGACTCAGATTACGGAGTGCATTGACATCTCCGTAGATTGATTTCTACTAAACTCACTGAAAAGTTCACATCATTATGTTTTGAATATGTTTGAGAAAAGCAACTTGTGAGAAGAGATAATCAACCAGAATATGTGCAATTATTGGGAAGAAAGACAATGTCAGGTTAAGTACCTCTAATGCTCCTAAAACACTTAGTCAGAAAGAGATTAACATCCAGTCTAGATTAATGGGAGTAGTAATAAAGAATAAAATGTGTATCTAGTATATTGATGATTTAAATAAATTAGATAGAAGAAATAAATAATTAGTGTCTATTGTTGTATCATAAATGCTACTGTTTTCAAGTACTGTCAAATTATAAAATCATAGAAAGATGATGAGTAAAAGAGTTACCTTATTGCCAGTTACTGGATCCATATCTGAGAAAGAGGCTTGACCTACGATGAAAGAGAAGGGGATCTAAAGGATAGAAGAAATAGAGTAGGTTTGTCCAGCAAAATTTTGAGGATAGAAAATATAAATGATAGTTTGAAAATGCCAGAAAAATAAAAGATACTTAACAATATATACAATTTTAATAAAGGATAACATAAGAGACCAGTGTATTAAAGTTGCCTAAAACTGATTATCACTAATAATGACAGGTCTGTGATGTGTTTGGTTGCAGAGGAAGAGTAAGGTGGGGGTAGAAAGGAAGGCACATAAAATGGTAGAGTGATTTATCTTTATCAACAACTAGGAAGACAGCTGGTTACAAATAGCTAGCTCATACTGCAAGCAATTTAAACAATTCCCTAAATATAATAGCAAGAAGATGAGGTTTTATGAAACCTAAATTCAGATCAAATATGTAGACAATCTATCATAATTATTTATGTCACCATCATCTTTTATGTTGACATATGCTGAAAACCTGTTCCCTAAAATGATCACTCTGAACAAAATACTTCGGAGTCAACTAAAAATAAGTAATACATGCATTGAGTATTATGTAATATATTTCTTCAAAAATGGCTTTCAAATCATGCAGTAGTGAAGAGGGGAAGTAGCTAATAATTTGGTTTCTTGGGTATAAACTTTCCTCTGAAGCAAGCTTGTGTAATGTAAACACTTAACCTTTGAGCCTGACTTACCTAATTGGTAAAATGGAAATAATGATCCTGCCTTGAAAGCATGTTGAAAATTAAATCTTCACTATTATTAATGTTATTCACTTTAATATGTTGAAGTAATGCAGCATGGCCACTTAAAAAAGAGAAACTACAAATAAAATTATAGTAAATTTTTATTCTAATTAAATTTGGCTAGCAAAATAATACAATTTAATACGTGAAATTATTCTTTCAAACCGACAAGAGGGCATGTCCCTTATAAAAGTCTATTGGTCTGAATCTTACATATGCATGAAATATATTCATAATAGATATCTTTATGTATTACATAAACAGATGTGTGGTAAATTTCTATATAAATTCAATTACAAATCCACACAGATGTATAAGAAGATATATTAACAAAATATAAGTCACCATGAGAAATCAGACAAGTTCAATTAAAGATATTCTTTAAAATATGCCACTAGTAAGAGTTATTAGGTAGAATTACATTCACATAACACGTTTTGAAAAGTATGACCTTTAACAAAGGAACTCACCTCTAAGTTTCCTCACCAAAAGAAAAGAAAGAGAGGTGGAATGGATATTTGTATTGTGGACTTATAAGAAGGGAATGGAATGAGATAACATCTGAAAGCTGCAAAAACTGACATGTAGTAGGCAGCCTATAAACTTTAGCTTTGCTTTGTCTCATTTTAACTTAAGAAAAACTAAAGGTGGAAAGATTTAAAAAGTTACAATTGTCTTAACCAAGAATGTGACCTACCTTATATTATCATTCCATAGTAAGAATCCACAAAACTTTAGGAATGAAATATTCGTTGTAGGAGGGATCTGTTTAGATCAGTAATTTTCAGTGCCCTTGGACTTTCCAAAGTCACATAAGAGAGCACGGACCTAGATTTTTTTTTTTTTTTTTTTTTTTTTTTTTGATACGGAATCTCGCTCTGTCGCCAGGATGGAGTTCAGTGCCACAATCTCGGCTCACTGCAACCTCAGCCTCCTGGGTTCAAGTGATTCTGCGGCCTCAGCCTCCCGAGTAGCTGGGACTACAGGCGTCCACCACCACGCTCAGCCAAGTTTTGTATTTTTGTAGAGACGGGGTTTCACCATGTTGGCCAGGATGGTCTCGATCTCTTGACCTCGTGATCTGCCCGCCTCGGCCTCTTAAAGTGCTGGGATTACAGGCGTGAGCCACCGTGCTGGCTGGGGCCCTAGAGTTTTTAACCCATACCTCTCTAGTGCCCTTTTTTTCTTTCCATCTCCTCCTCATTCTACTTATCTACCACCAATAATTATTGTGATTGTGAAGCACTCTGAGCTTTTGGAATACTGCATTGCTCAGTTTTACTGCGTTGGATTAAACAGAGAGGCCTCACTCCAAAAATTAAGACTCTTCACTTTCTAGTTGATAAAATTCACAAACATCTCTTCAAGAAAAGTATTTTTTTGGTTCACATAGCTTATTCTGTACAAGAATTTACAGTGTTGAGTAGGTTTTTTCTCTTTACAATGCTTGAGTTTCTACTGCGGCATTAGTTTGGGACTGCTTGTTAGTTGGCAGGTTGGAGTAATTCAGAAACTAAACATAAAAATTTCTTCTTTATAGAAAGATAAAATCTAGAAAAAAAGTCATTTCTTTCTCACTAAAGACTATGAAATCTAAAGCAATCATGTTTTATCACACTAGTGCCTTAAATCTATCTGAATTTGACAGATAAATATTTTGAAATTTATTGTATATTTAAATAATGCTTTTTCCACTCACTAATTTTAATCTATGTTAACTTGAAAAGATATAAATTGGAAGATCATCTTCAATTTATACATAACTAAGTGAATTTGACAACTTTGATTATGACATTTAACCTGCAAGTGGATAGCATAATTGAGGACTAAAATGATAAATAGTTAACTATAGGCAAATTACAAATGTTTTCACAATGATTGTGTTAGAGTGGTATTCCTTATTTCTTTTCTTAAGCTGAAAAACATTTTTAATTACTTCTGACTTCTACTATGTTCCATTGTACATGTATATCAACAGTGCTTTAAGTTTAGTTTCAAATATGGCATAAACAATACGGCAAAATTTTATTAGTTTACACACTAGTTATTTAAACATAAATCCAAAAGAAATAAAACTTCATTACAAAGGGCAGATAGCAAAATGTAACACTATTAAAATTTCTACCAACTATCCTAATGTCTAGCATGTAATAAGTATCTGTTGAGCTATTAAACAAAGTTTTTGAAAATGCATGGCTATGCCCAAAAGGACAATTATTTGCTGAAAAATTATACAAATATAACTTAATGAACAAAATGTTTCTGTTTTGAAAATTAATATGTAATATTTCCTACTGTCATTGATAGGCATGCTTGTAATTCTTTGTCTTAAATTAAAAATAGTTATTAGAACTTATTAAAAGCTTGGTGTTACTTTATACATAGAAGCCTCTATAAATGTAGTTTCAGTTTAGATATTGTATTTTTATTTAATTAAATTAATCCATAAGAATTTCCTTTTATAATATATAATGTCTAATACCTGAATTTCAATTTAAAACTTCTTTTTCTATCATATGAGCATGCCTATATGTTATTTGACATTTGGATATGGCAAATTTATACTTCAAGTTAATGTTTTAACATATGTATTTTTTTTTCTAAATAGGGCCTTTTGTAGTTCAGAACACTAAAACTCACATATTACATGTATTGGTGTGCGTGTTTAGAGAAACCGTATTTAAATATAAAAGTATTTTGTTCTTCACTAATATAAACAATTTCAAAACTAAAAAACTTTGTATTATGGATACATTCTATTTGATTTTCTACAGATTAATGATTAATATTTTAAAATTTTGGGATTTTTGCATTTATTATGCTTCAAGTTATTAGTGAAAACCTTCAAGAAATAAAACTTAATTATCCATTAATTTTTTATCCAAAAAATTAAAAGATTTTTAACTTCATTATTAGTTAACTCTTTAGGAAGGTCTAAATAAGGTTTTAAATCCATATTTATTTGTAGAAAGGTAATATAGTAATCATGTCAAATATTTCAACTTGACAAGTATAAATTAAATTGCATTTAATTTTTAATATCTTTGCAATCTTAGTGAAACTGTTAATAAAATGTCTCAGGTAAATATGATTATCTTGTTTTCAAGTTTATCTGAAAAGAAAGAAATATACAATAATTCAGAAGGAAAATGATGTAACTGGACCAAACGGAAAAGGAAACTTGTCGTAGCAAAATTTAAATATTGAGGGAAATGATGGAAACTTAGAAGAAGTAGATTACTTTAAAAAAATGTGTGTTCAAATTATATATGTACACAGTGGCAATGATGCTATACGCTTATTTAAATTAGTTGTAGTTTGCCTAGATCCTAGTTAGACTCTACAGCTTTACAGTACATACTTTGCTATAAATTTAAATCTCAGCTTAGTTGTCATCAAGTTAACTTAACTGAAAATTTCCAAAAGTAACTTATTGAATTTTACCTAATTATCATGCATTCTCACAATTTATATAATGTTACTTTTATCTGACAGTAAAATAAAACCACCATCAGTATCTTAATTTCCCTTTCAAAACAGATAGAGGCTTTGAACACTCTCAATTTTATGTCTTGGTCTGGTATTTATCTACCACAATGACTTGCATAGAATCCCATTAAAACTGACACAATCCTTTGATATTTCAATTTTTAAAATTTAAATAATAAATTTACCAAATGCATATGGTACAGCAAATCAATACCAAAACTTAAAAAAAAATACTAGAGGTCTCTATTTTCCTCCTCTCACTCATTCAACTCAAATATAAACATGTTTTTAATCTCTTATTGAAATACACAAACAGAAATTACTTAAACATATTGCTATGCACTTTACTTTTTCACTTCATAATATTACACATTGTGTTATATACATTTTAAAATTTATTTGGCTTTATAAGCTCTTTTTTTAAAACATGCCTGGGTGAGGAATGATTTGTATCCCAAACCTCAGCTTCATGCAGTATACTTTCAGATAACAAACTCATTCATGTATCCCCTAAATCTAAAATAAAAATTGAAAATTAACAAAAAGTAAAATAAAATAAAAAAGAAATAAGCTTGATATCAAAGCTTGACGCTCTTTAAATTAAGTTGTTCAAAATCATGATCAATCATAGTATGAACAATATTATATTAAAGACTTTTTTTTTTTTTGAGACACGGTCTCACTCTGTCACCCAGGCTGGAATGCAGTTGCAAGATCTCAGCACACTGCAACCTCTGCCTCGCGGGTTCAAATGACTGTCGTGCCTCAGCCTCCCTAGTAGCTGGGATTACAGGCACCCCTCACTACGCCTAACTAATTTTTGTGTTTTTACTAGAGACAGGGCTTTGCTATGTTGGCCAGGCTAGTCTGGAGCTCCTGACCTCAAGTGATCAGCCCACCTCAGCCTCCCAAATTGCTGGGATTACGGGCGTGATCCACTGCACCCGGTCTGAAATCATTTTTAGAAACAATTTTCCACCAGTTTAAAGCAAATAAACTTATCATAAAGTAAAATGATGAAGAAAAAGATCATTTCGGTGAAATACTTAAATATATTCTCTTTATAATTTAAAGTACCTTTGTATGGTTCAGTGTTCTGAATAAACATTTCTATGGATAAAAAATGCTTGTATAAATTTTTTGTTGAATGGTTAAATAAATTAAATTTTTGTTAAATTACTGTGGCTTTAGGGAATATTTACTATATTAAAAGTGTATTTTAAATTTTCAAATGGGGATTTGGTAAGCAGCATTTTCCCTGCTCTGTTTATTATCATACCTTAATCATATCTATTACTAGCTGCTACCTATTAACAGCTCTTGAAAACGATTTCTAAACAGTTTACAAAATTCTCATCTAATTTTATTCAGAGTTTCTGCCATATTTATACCAAATATAAATTGGTTTTGCTTTTTAGAATGACCATTCTGCCCAATTCAGTACTTTTTATCATGATTATGTTTTACATTGAATGTAAATGAATTTCTATTGAAGAAACTCATAGAATAATGTCTGAATATATGTAAATCTAACATGCAACAACATAATTCAATTTTCATTTTATTTTATTTTTAGTTTTATTTTTGAGATGGAGTTTCGCTCTTGTCCCCCAGGCTGGAGTGCAATGGTGCGCTCTTGCTCACTACAACCTCCGCCTCCTGGGTTCAAGCGATTCTCATGCCTCAGCCTCCTGAATAGCTGGGACTACAGCTGTGAGCCACTATGCCCGGCTAATTTTATAGAAACAGAGTTTCACATGTTGGGCAGGCTGGTCTCAAACTCCTGATCTCAGGTGATCTACCCACCTTGACCTTCCAGAGCTGGGATTACAGGCATGAGCCATCACGCCCAGCCAATTTTCATTTTAACAAAGTCATTTTTGGGGAAAAATGGCCATTAGAATCAGCAAAGATTTTTCTAAATACACTATCCCTTGCTCTTTTTTGTGTGTGATTGAAAAATTTTGCGAGGGCATCTATTAGCATGTATATGTGTTAGAATTCCATGCTAAAACAAGAGAAACCAATTTGCTTGCTTATTGCTTGCAGAACTAATGAAGGAATAGACCTCAGGAAACATTGGAATGAAAAAGCTTAAACACTGACATTACTCTCTTCATTCATTCTTTTTTTTTTTTTTTACACATTAATTCATTTGTATTGTGACTCTTCTCTGCTCCAGGGACAATGGTGAGACATTTGACATACAATGGTCTGATGGTCAGTAAATTGTCCGGCTTTTTATGTTTTCTTAAGTTTTGGTTTTGCCTTAATTTATTCTTTCTTAATCTTCTGTCATTTTTTTCTACTCCCTTTTCCCTCTCTCCTTTGGTTTTTCTTCTTCTTTTCTTCCTCTCCAATCTTTATTGTCCTTTTCTTCTCTTAAGCAGAAAATATGATTACTGATAGGGCCTGAAGAAGATACAGCTTTGGCTATCCGAGAGAAAATTTTGTGCTTCCCCCAAAAAGTAACAAAATGTCCAAGAAAGAGAATATATGGTTCTATTTGGCTGAGGCTTATCTCTAGGCAATAAGCTGTGGCTGGTGGGTGATAATTGGAGTTGAGGACTACTAAAGTTTGAATTGTGTTAGATGACTGCTATTAAAGAAAATATTTAGAATGTCATAGTCCTAGGTACAATAATGTCTTAAAAATACTCATAATTTTTGTATAAGGTGTAAGGAATGGGTCCAGTTTCAGTTTTTTGCATATGGCTAGCCAGTTTTCCTGACACCATTTATTAAATAGGGAATCCTTTCCCCATTGCTTGTTTTTGTCAGGTTTGTCAAATGTCAGATGGTTGTAGATGTGTGGCATTTTTTCTGAGGCCTCTGTTCTGTTCCATTGGTCTATATATCTGTTTTGGCACCAGTGCCATGCTGTTTTGGTTACTGTAGCCTTGTAGAATAGTTTGAAGTCAGATGAAGTGATGTCTCAGGCTTTCTTCTTTGTGCTTAGGATTGTCTTGGCTATACAGGCTCTTTTTAGTTCCATATGAAATTTAAAGTATTTTTTTTTCTAATTCTGTGAAAAAAGTCAGTGGTAGCTTGATGGGGTTAGCATTGAATCTATAAATTACATTGGGTAGTATGGCCATTTTCATGATACTGATTCTTGCTATCCATGAGCATGCATTGTTTTTCCATTTGTTTTTGTCCTCTCTGATTTCCTTGAGCAGTGGTTTGTAGATCTCCTTGAAGAGGTCCTTCACATCCTTTGCAAGTTGTATTCCTAGGTATTTTATTCTCTTTGTAGCAATTGATAATGGGAGTTCACTCATGATTTGGCTCATGGGTTGTCTATTATTGGTGTATAGGAATATTTGTGATTTTTTACACATCGATTTTGTATCCTGAGACTTTGCTGAAGTTGTTTATCAGTTTAAGGAGATTTTGGGTTGAGATGATGGAGTTTTCTGAATATACAATCAAGTCATCTGCAAACAGAGACAATTTGACTTCCTTTCTTCCTATTTGAATACCCTTCATTTCTTTCTCATGCCTGACAGCCCTGGCCAGAACTTCTAATAATATGTTGAATAGGAGTGGTGAGAGGGCATCCTTGTCTTGTGCCGGTTTTTAAAGGAAATGCTTCCAGCTTTTGCCCATTCAGTATAATATTGGCTGTGGGTTTGTCATAAATAGCTCTTATTATTTTGAGATATGTTCCATCAATACCTAGTTTATTGAGAGATTTTAGTGTGAAGGGGTGTTGGATTAAAGACTTAAACGTAAGACCTAAAACCATAAAAACCCTAGAAGAAAGCCTGGGCAATACAACTCAGAATATAGGCATGGGCAACGAATTCATGACTAAAACATCAAAAGCAATGGCAACAAAAGCCAAAATTGATAAATGGAATCTAATTAAACTAAAGAGCTTCTGCACAGCAAAAGAAGCTATCATCAGAGTGAACAAGCACCCTACAGAATGTGAGAAAATTTTTGCAATCTATCCATCTGACAAAGGGCTAATATACAGAATCCACAAAGAACTTTAAAAATTTACAAGAAAAAACCAAACAATCCCATCAAAAAGTGTGCAAATATATGAACAGACACTTCTCAAAAGAAGACATTTATGTGACTAACAAACATGCAAAAAAGCTCATCATCACTGGTCATTAGAGAATTGCAAATCAAAACCGCAATGAGACACGATCTCAGGCCAGTTAGAATAGCGATCCTTAAAAAGTCAGGAAGCAATAGATACCGGAGAGGATGTGGAAAAATATGAGCGCTTTTACACTGTTGGTGGGGGTGTAAATTAGTTCCACCATTGTGGAAGACAGTGTGGTGATTCCTCAAGGATCTAGAACTAGAAATACAATTTGACACAGCAATCCCATTACTGGGTATACCCAAAGAAATATAAATCATTCTACTTTAAAGACACATGCACACATATGTTTATTCCCACGTTGTTCACAATAGCAAGGCTTGGAACCCACTCAAATGCCCATCAGTGATAGACTGGATAAAGAAAATGTGGCACATGTACACTATGGAATATTATGCAGCCATAAAAAGGAAGAGTTAATGTCTTTGGAGGGACATGGATGAAACTGGAAACCATCATTCTCAGCAAACTAACACAAGATCAGAAGACCAAACACAGCATGTTCTCACTCATAAGTGGGAGTTGAACAATGAGAACACATGGGCACAGGGAGGGGAACATCACACACTGGGGCCTGTTGGGAAATGGTGGGCTAGGGGAGGGATAGCATTAGGAGAAATACCTAGTGTAGATGATGGGTTGATTGGTGAAGCAAACCACCATGGCATGTGGATACCTATGTAACAAATCTTCACGTTCTGCACATGTATTCCCGAACTTAAAGTATAATTAAAAAGAAAAAGAAAATAGCAGTAACAACAACAAAAAGAAAACAAAGAATGTAAATCATCACATTAATGATGTCTGCATTGATTACATGTTGAAATGATAATATTTTGGATATATTGGGTTATATTATATATATTATTAAAATCAATTTCACTTGTCTTCCTATAACCTTAAAAAACACTCATAATGCACCTTCAGTTATAGATGACTGTGTGAGTGGTAGTGTAAAGGGAAAAGAAAGTATGATGGTTCATTTCAGGTATGATATTGACTGGAGCAAGGGATACCCAGACACTGGTAAAGTATAATTTCTGGGTGTGCCTGTGAGGGAGTTTCTGGAGAAGATTGGCATTTGAATAAGCAGATTAAGGAAGATCTACCCTCACTCAATCTTGTCAATCACTGTCTCGCCACTGAGGACGCAGATAGAATAAAAAAGCAAAGGAAAGGCAATTTTTCTTGTTCTTCCAAGGCTGGGACACCCATCTGCTCCTGCCCTTGCTCATCAGAGCTCCAAGTTCTCTGCCATTTGGACTCCAGGAGTTACACCAGCAGCTTCCAGATTGTCAGGGCTTTGGCCTAAGACTGAAAATTATACTATAGGATTCTCTGGTTCTCGAGCCTTCAGACGTGACTGGAACAATGTTACGACTTCTCTACTTCTCCAGCTTGCAGATGGTCTATTGTGGGACTTCTTGAGTTGGTAATTGTGTGAGCCAATTTCCCTAATAAATCCCCTCTCATACACCTGTGTATATCTGAAACTATTCGTTCTGCTTCTCTCGAGAACCATGAGTAATACAAAAACTTTGATAAAACATTATTTTAACTCATTCAGTGATGTAGTATACATCACAGAAAATTATAAAAGTGATAGATTTGTCTTAAGCATTATACATCTCCAACATGCCCAGTGGCCTTGTATGTGCATTGTGGCATCTCAGGTTCTTCATTGTGCCTGCTACACAAAGATGTGCTACTAATATAATGACTATGTCTTCAAGGAAGAAAATATACCTTCCTATTGCTTCAAATCTGTCTTACAGAAAAAGTATGGAGAAATCTACTCCAGCACATTTCCAATTACTGCATAAAAATGACTCAGATGTGTATAAAAGCGGTTTCTGCCCTAAAGTAATGATTTCCTCAATAATATATTTTATACAACTGGAATTAACTAGTGTAATTTTCAAGTACTTTTAATTATTTCCTAGAATCAGGTACCAAGATTGAGAAATAGAGTTAATCAAAAATATTCAGTTTATTAAAATATTTCTGTTTGGAAATGGGTCTAAAGTTATCTGATTTATTAATGATTCCAAAAATTTTTGTGCATTTCTTACCTTCAGCTCAATGTTAAACTAAATTTGTTGCTAAATTAATATTTGTTGATGACATATTTTATAAAAATAAATGATAAGATTATTACTTTACAGATAATAATATAATACTGATTAATAATTCCATATTGGGAAAAAGTTCCATTTTGTCATGTATGAATAAAAATATCTCTTTGAAGTCCATTCTAAGTAAGGCATACACAATTCCTGAACTGTCTAGAGAAAGCATAACGATATTATCTCATATTGATTTGAAGGGAATGGTAGCCCTGTTACCAAATCAGCTTCTGTAGCCATGATATTTTTTTAGAGAAACATATTCAATTACTGGTCATGCCACACTTGGCTTCCTTTTTTAGATGGACTGCATTACACTACATGAATTTGGATGTGCCCCATTGCCTCTGCTCTGAGACTTTTGCACGGAGGTATAGTAACAAAAGCAATGCTAACCTTCGGAAAGAGCATTCCCAAGGATTAATGTTAACAACCTTTGGCTATACTGCAAACTATCACCTCTAGCCATGTAGTCATCAATCCAGAAAAAATACTTTGACCTTTGGGTATTACTATTTAAGTTGTAAAAAGTAAAGAAAATAAACAAACAAAAATCACAAGCATACCCATTGAAGTTATGCCTTTCTCCAGGCAATGCAATGGCAAAGTTGAAACTTACTCTTGAATATGACTACGTTATGAAGACCACTACACTTTTGAACAATTAGGTTATTATTTATTGTGATAACATGATGGCATTAGATCAATCTCCTTCACATTTATGCTTAAAGTAAATGAATATTTATTGGTAATTCATTTTGTATTTCTGTTTCTCTTGAAAAATGCATTCTCAATTAGTATCATCAAAACTCATTTTTTAATGTGTTTAATGTTCAAATAACTGACAATAGGTAAAATTCTGTTAAACATTCTACAGAACGATAGTTTCTATGGGTAAGTGGGAGTCAGCATCATCTATGGAATATATTTATAATATAGATTCGTTGAGTCCTCCTAACAGATTCTGTTCAAATAGGTTAGAGGTAAATTCAATCTTCTGAAAAATATTTAATATACTTACAGGGAATATTAATTCATAGACGGATTATGAGGCTATACTGCTTTACAACTCTAAACTAGAATTGAAATTTTATTTCTTTATTTGTGATACATTTTATAATTCTTAAAGACAAGATCTTGAAGAAAATATTTTCTGTTTCTTTGAGCTTTACACAGCTCTACACTAAAATCTAGAAGAACTTTACATTTTATAGTATTATATAATTTATCCAAATTAATTTTATTTAATAGAGTAGTTGTGCCATATGGTATTAGAAATATGATTCAATATGTGACATTAAAATGACATTTTCATAGTTGACTTCCTGAACAACTTATTAAAAATATTATAATACCAATGTTTTAGAAATTATTCTAAACTAAAAAATAAGATGAAATATTCGCAAACCGTCTTAGAAAAATAACATAAAATTAATGTCACAACGCAATACTGATAGTAAAATATGAAAATAAATGGGACAAACTGTATAAAAAGCGTGAAGACTATACTAAATAAAATGTAAAAATTAAGCAATGTAACAAATAACATCAAACTTTGATAACTTTGGATTTACGCCAGGAACTGAAGAGAAGTGTGGTAGTAGAAAATTTAGTAACATTAGTTTATCTCATAAAAATGAAAGAAAATAAATCAAATAATTTAATTTATGAATGCTAAAAGGGCATCTGATAATCTTTAGAAATATTTCCTATTCAAAAAGATAAGATAAAAAAGTTTATAAACATTATTTAAAAAATACAAAAATCAAATATAAAACTCACAGATTTTAACTGAACTTAGGTAATAAAGAGTAATTCTTGCTACTAAAACATTACTCAGATTGATTAAAGGTAAAATTTTGTGCAAGAAAATAACCCACATATAAAGAATTAAAATGATATTTTGTTTGTGATATGGCCTTATATCTGCTAGAAAACTCTAATAGTCTAAACAAAAAAATAGGAATCAACCTTTGAAATACATTTATAAATATGTAAATTATATATTGAGATATTGTATAATTCTTTGACTACTGTTTCTCCATAGCAATAGACACATAAAAATCAACAGGGAAAATAGCTCTTTCAATATAGTGACAAAATTATGAAAAGTCTAGGTATAACAGGTAAACAACTATAATACAACATTGGGGGATATTTTAAAATGGAAATGTGTTTTTAAAACGCAATATTATTTGCTAAAAATATTTACTATCATAAACTGTGAAGTCTCTGCATTTTGATATTTAAATATAAGTAATTGCAATCAAAGTTATAAGACTTTATTTTTTATACAATTATTTAAACATTTATTGGAATAACAGAGGCTTTAGAATAGTTGAGGAAATGGTGAACAGTTTTAAAGAATGGAGAGATAATCTCTGAAATTTTATTAAAATGTTATTTGCATACCACTAGAGAGATTACTTAGCTATTTCATAGATTCAAGTTATGTATCAGTGGTTAACGTATGACAGCAATAGCACTTCTGTTTAATGAGGAGCATTAGTTAGTATATATTGATAACAAATTTAGCTGTCCTTTAGGAAAATAGTAAAGATTGTTTCTGATTTTGCCCAATTTAAAAATAATATATTGCAAATAATTTCTGATTTAAACATAACATGATGATTTCAAAAATATACTAGATGTATGGTCTTCATTCCTGGGTCATATATCTAATATATCTAATGTGACCCAGGAATGAAGACCTAACTTGAGAGATAGTTGAACTTTATTATGGGATAATCTTTGGTATGGCTGGAAATTGATTTATAAAACCAAAGTACCTATGATAAAGTCAGGCAAAAAGTTTGCAATGGACATATTAATTAGCATTTACAAATTTACAAATAAATAAATAAAATATTCAAAGGTATGGGAAAACATTATGCTTATAAAATGTGAAAAATGATAAATAGAACTGACAGCATGAACAATTGGTTGAGTGCAGTGGTAATTCTGAAAAAGCAACTTAGAGATAACATTTATTATTAGGTTTCAGTAAAAATAAATAAACTTTCCATGTAATCTCTGTGCGTATATACCAAGGAAGATGTGTAAGGATATACTGTGATTTTTTAAATTATTGGCTTAGGGAGGTGAAAATTGGAGGAGTCAGGGTTTCAAGTGAGATGATTAGCATTCTGTTATATATTGTACTGTAGTCATTTAAAAAAGGTTTATTAGTACCTGTTATAAGCTGATTGCTCTTCCATTTGCTAAGTATATGGCATTGAACAAAAATACAAAAATGACTGCTAACAGCTATGATTATAACAAAGTAAATATAAAATATAAAATGACCAGTATTAATAATGGATGTTACATCGTTGTATTATAAAATGTAAAAGGAAAATTGAATATAAAATTCTATAATTTCAAATAAATAAATTGAATATCAAATGATGTGTTTCGTTCAAAAATGTTTTCATCATTTCTTTTCTCTCCTCAAACTACAATGTGGGGTTATATACAGATCTACATGAAAGCAACCAGTTTTCATTGCTTCTCACCACTGGTCTTAGCTGATATTTTCCCATCATGTTATAAGCTCCAGAAGAGAATGCCAGGGTTTTAGTTGCCTGTAAAACTCAAGTTCTGTGTTCTACAATTAATTCTATGTCTTGACTCTTCTTAACTGTTGTTGACCATTAGTAGTTGAAAGCAATGCTGAAAACTTGGTAGAAAGTGTTTTGTACTTGGATTTCTTTATTATCTTAAGGAGATACTGTGTTTTGCTTTTGGAATTCAAAGCCGATATAAAGAAAAAGTGTTCACTTCTATATTTTAATTTACACAGTGTAAAATGCCTTAATAATTTTTTTTAAAAAGAGATGATAGAAGTATAATTAAAGACCTACATTAGGAATAGTTGCTTTTTCTCATATAAAATTATATATGTCAATATAAAGCTGATCCTCTAAAAATACCTGCCATTACTCTTTAATAATTGGTAAAATAAAACATTTTAAAATATTGTATAACAATATCTATAAATATTACAATATTTTTTCACGATGTAAGATGTGTCTAACAATTGTCTTCTCATATTACTACTAGGAGTTTCCATGTCATGTGTTCTCATTTATTTCACTTACTATAGTTCATAGTACATATTTATCAGATACTGTAAATGAAGTAGAGATCTCAATCATTAATCTTGATGTTTCATGAAGGCGAGACCCGTTTTTGTTTTGGTAAATATCATATTCCCAGTATCCCTATTCTACTCCTGCAATGTCTTATTTATCAACACTATTATCCTCTCCTTCCTGTGAAATAATTATATAATCCCTGAGAAATAAAAGAGGTGGGGGATAAGAACTTCTTTTCATTTGCTATCTCATTTTAGTATACCTAACTCCAAGCTTCTACACCTAATAGAGAACTTTGCAAATTAAAGATTTGCAATAAATCTTGTGTTATTAAAATAAGGTACTTCAAAGGAGATTTACTTATGGTATCTCTTTTTGTTTGTTATATTTAGAAACTTCAGTCTGTTGAAGAGAACACGTTTCTTTTAAATTTTAGTTGTTTCGAATTCATATTCACATCAGTACAGAGTTAATGAGGGATAATATATTAATACAAATTTAATTATGGTAATTGAATGCCATTGTCTTTTCCTGTTGCTTTCTAAATAAAGTCACAAAAGTAAAAAAGATTAATATTTATTTCTAATGTTCAATTAATCCATGTGTCTTGCCAAGATTCACTGAAGATTTTGAAATTTAATTAGTCTTAAATTAGCAATACAAATTTGATATAGATGTTGTATGTACCCTAGTAGAAGGAACTAAAAATTATACTTTATAAATTTTAATACAATCAGGAGTTTGCAAGTTTTAACTTAATTACATTAATGTGCTTAACATCAATCATAAAATGCCTTTGTATTCATGCTACATTGTACTTTGAATATTCATTTTTAATGGGAAAAACTGAAAGAGATGTGGAGGTCGTGGCTAAAATTCAGTAATAAAAATGAGTGATAGGTTCACGTATCTCAACTTTGAAGGTTATTTTTTTTTTCAAGTTGGTCATACTGTTCTCCTAATATAATTATTGTACATTAATAGGCATATCTTACGTCACACAAGGAAACCACACTTGAACAGAATTCTCACACATTTACAGCTTACTATCAAATTCTAGAACCTCATTGAAAGAAGGTATTTGCAAGTAAAATAAGTTTTTACATGTTCACTATTATTATTTCTCACTTTTTTGCCACATATATAACTATTGTCTAGAAATCAGAACAAGGCTAAATGTTTGTGTGTGTGTGTGTGTGTATATATATATGTTACTTTCAATAATTGTACTAGCTACATGATAGTTGATTCATTATACTCTTTTATGATCTTGTTTTTCAAAATTCATCAACGGCATTTTTCACAGACACAGAAAATAATAATCCCCAAATGTCTGTGGAACCACAAACGTAAGCTGGATAACCAAAGCAATACTGAGGAAGAAAATCAGAAAGTATGATGGAGGAATCATGCTCCACAGACCAGTAGTACAGAACAGAGAGCCCAGAAATAAATCTAAACATACACAGTCAATTAATTTTTGACAAGGGCACCAAAAGGACACAATAGGGAAAGGATAGTCTCTTTAATAAATAGCACTGGAAGAACCGAATTTCTACATGCAAAATAATAAAATTAGATCATTATATTACACCATGTATATTACACCATGCACAAAAATTCACTCAGAAAGGATAGAAAACCTAAATGTAAGATCTGAAACCATAAAACTCTTAGGAGAGAATAAAGGAAAAAAATACCTTGACATTGGCCTTGGCAACTATTTTTTGGATAACAAGCCAAAAGCTCAGGCTACAAAAGTAAAAATAAATAAATGGGACTGCATTAAACTAAAAAGCAACATAAGCCTCAGCATATAGGAAACAAGTAACAAATGAAAGAGCAACCTATGAAATGGAAAAAAATGACTGCACGCTATCTGTCTAATAGGGGGTTAATATCAAATATTTGTAAGGAAATTTTACAAGCAATGGCAGAAAAAACAAACAAATTGATTTAAAAAAATGGCAAAGGACCTGAACAGACATATATCCAAAGCAGACATAAAAATGGCCAGCAGGTATGTGGAAAGTGCTCATTATTACTAATTATAAGAAGATGCAAGTTAAAGCCACTATGAGATACCACCTCACACGCATAAGGATAACTGTTATAAAAAATACAAGAGAAAACAAATGTTGGCAAGGATGCAGAGGAGAGGGAACCCTAGTACACTGTTAGTGGAAATGTGGATTGTTACTGCCATTATAGAAAATAGCATGGTGGTTCTTAGAGAAATTGTTAATAAAACTACCATATGATCCAACAATCCCCCTTCTGCATGTATATCTAAAAAGATGAAATCACCACCTTGTAAGTAAAGACATCTGCATTCCCATGTGCACTGTAGCACTATTCACAATTATCAAGTCATCAAAACTACTTACATGCCTATTGATTGGTAAATGGATAAAGAATGAGTAATATACATATATATATAATATTTTATACACATACACACATACACAATGAAGTATTATTTAACCTTAAAAAAAGAAAAAAGATTATGCCACTTTTTGCAAAGCAGATGGACCTACAGGACATCATGCTAAATGAAATAAGCCAGACACACATACAAGAAATTATGTGACCTCACTTCTGTGTGAAACTTCAAAACAAAAGAGTTCAAATTCAAATAAACAGAGTATGAAACAGAGGTTACCAGTAGGGATGGTGGGAGGAGGGGTAGAGAAGAAATGAGAAAATATTTATCAAAGGATACAAAATACAAGATATGTAGGATGAACAAGTCTAGAGGCCTAATGTACAAAATGAGGAAGTTAATAAAATTGTATTACATTAGGGATTTTTGTTAGCAATTATATTAGGGATTTTTGTTACGTAGATTTTAGCTGCTGTTGTCACCAAAAAATTAACTATTTGAGATGATAGATGTGTTAATCTGCTTCACAATAATAATCATTTTGCTACCTATATGAATCTGATAGCATCATGTTGTAAATTTGAAATATATGTTAAGTAACATCTACTAAATAATAAAATAAGTTGATTCAGAGAGGCCTTATGTCAATTACAATATTGGCCATGATAAAAATTGATGACTTATAAATTAAGGAATTCCTAAAGCATTCCTGTGTAAAAATTCAAAAACAATGAAAGCATATTGAACAGGAGGACATTTAGGTCAAGTTATGAGTTTCATAGTGAAACCTACCAAAGGCAAACAAATGTAATTTTATTTTGTACTTGTATTTATCATGCTTATATAAGTAGTTTGAAAAGAAAACTATTTCTGTGGATAGTTGTAACAAGTTGCAATTACCCAAATTTTATCGGGGACCTTTAAATGAGTTAATAAATAATACAATTATTTGCCATTAGTGTTATTTGTGAAATGAATGTTAAATATTATCCTTTAAAACATATCTATAGGTAAATTTATTATTGGCAATAGCCATATTCTGCATATTCTGCAATAAAGTAGAGGTTTCTGCTTAGTAATTCTTTATAATGGATTCTATTTTGTGGAAAACATTGCATCACTCAATAATATTTTATCAAGTCCAGCAATACAGTGGGAATTAAACACGTAAAAAACTTGCCTACAAACATAACCTGAGCAATTAAGCTGCCTAGTGGAAACACACACAAACTACATATGTATCTTTAACTTTTCTAGTAGCCCCATATATTAGGTAAAAAGAAAAAGGTAAAATTAATTTCAAAAATAGATTTTAACACATTTTATCTAAAATATTTTTATTTCAGCATTTAATCAATATAGAAAGTATAAATAAGATATTTTACTTTATTTTTGTGCTATCTTTAAATGTGGTAGCTTACATTTAGAATATATTTAAATTCAGTAATAAATTTTTACTAAAAGTATATCTTTATGTGAATTTCATAAAATTTGCATTTTAAAAAGTAACCTTAAATACCAAAGGTTTTGTAAACAACATAAATGTTTCCAATATTATGTTTTAAATTTAAGCTTAAATTAGCTAAAGTAGAGTAATTTTTTAATAATCAGGTTTAAAGTCACACTAGTCATATTTCAATGGCTGACAGGCCATATGCCACCAGTGCATTCCATCTAGAACATTACACATCTCTAGTGTGTAAATCTGATACACAAATGGTATTATGTTTTACTCCAAGGTGAATTGAAATGCAATGAAAAATTATTTGTGAAATTATATATACTGACACTCTACAAAATAATCATATATGCATTTTTCTTAGTTTTTTATTTAATTTTAATGGACTAGTTCACTATTTCTATAAAATTTATTTTATAAGATAAAGACTTTGATTAAATATATATGACAAATTGAAACAGTCTCTGTAATTAGAGATATGTAAACCATTAAAAAACAGTCTCTGTAATTAGAGATATGTAAACCAGGACTTTAATTTTAGGCAACTGTTTAAGACAATATCTTTCTATTCTGTTGTTCTGTTTTCTTTTGAATTATTTACTCCTTAGACTTAATCTTGAAGGCCCTTACAAATACATTTGTTAAAACTTTAATAGGCCTACAAAACAACAGTTGACAAGACAATTAAAGTATAGAATATACTTTTCTATACAAGATATAGCTCATTAATAAATATGAACTGAAGCCTAGTTCTAGTCATCTATCAATATTTATTCATTTTATGCTAAATTTTTCTCTACTTGATAATTTCCCCACAATCACACATATCTCTAACTTGTAAATATTATGTAATTAAATATTAATAAATATATTGTATAAAAATATACACATAATTTTTATTTCATAGAAATTTTTATGAGATTGTATATATGTTTGGAATGAAAAATAACTTATAATATAGGAATGAAAGATATGCATGGCTTTTGGTATGATGGAAAGAATATCCAGTAAACTTTTTTTGATTTGTTTTTTACATCAGAAACAGTTAATAACATTATCCATAACATATATTAAAGCCTATTTCATGAGAACTATATATGATTTCACATTTGAAGCTATCAAAGATACTTTATATATATATACTTATATAAAATTCATTTTTTGTTAATAGAAATTCACATTTAAATATTACCGCATATATTGCCGTAATATTTTGTTTTTTTAGCAATATTTAGCATGTGCTCAGCCTTTTTAGAGTAGAAAAAGGGATTAGGGCAGAGGGCTTTGGCAGAGAAAATATAAAAGATATAAATATGTAAAAGGACTCATCATAAAGGAAAAATTAACAGGAATTATATCTAATCTGGGATATAGCATTGCACTGAAAGCCTAAACTTCTTAGCCATTTTTCTGATAGTTCTGGCTCGTGGTAATAACATAACCTCAACCTGAGATCAATATGTTGAAATCATATATTGGCTTGAGTTTCTGATACACTAAAACAAGAAAAATTGATCAAATTAATAAGTTCATAAAATCAACATATCAATATTCACACATGCATATACATTTTTATAGAACAGCATCTGAAATTTGAAGTAAATGTATTTTATAAATACATTTTATAAATAAATTGCTGTTTTATAAATAGATAGGCTCTGAGTGTGTAAGTATTGATCAGAACAGGTAGACAATTAAATCAGGGAGGATGACCTTAATGCGCATATATTTTTCAGAACTAAATCTTGGGGCAGAGATATGGTTTGGCTGTGTGCTCACCAAAATATTTTGAATCACCACGTGTTGTGGGAGGGAACTGGTGAGAGGTTGAATAATGGGGGCAGGTCTTTCTTCTGCTATTCTCCTGAGAGTGAATAAGGCTTATGAGATCTGATGGTTTTATAAAGGGGAATTTGCCTGCACAAGATCTCTATCTTTGCCTGCTGCCATCCATGTAAGCCATGATTTGCTCTTCTTTGCCTTCTGCCATGATTGTGAGGCCTCCCCAAACATGTGAAACTGTACATTAATTAAACCTCTTTCTTTTGTAAATTGCCCAGTCTTGGGGTATGTCTTTATCAACAGCATGAAAATGGACAAATACAGTAAATTGGTACTGAGAGGGGAGGACTGCTCTAAAGATAACCCAAAATTTGGAAGCAACATTGGAACTGAGTAACAGGAAGAGGTTGGAACAGTTTGGAGGGCTCAGAGGAAGACAGTGGGAAAGTTTGGAACATCCTAGAGACTTATTTAATGGCTTTGTCCAAAATGCTGATGGCGATATAGACAATAAAGTCCAGGCTTAGGTGCTCTCAGATGGAGATGAGGAAGTTGTTGGGAAGTAGAACAAAGGTGACACTTGTTATGTTTTATCAAAGAGACTGTGGCATTTTGGCCCTGCCCTAGAGATTTGTGAAACTTTGAACTTGAGAGAGATGATTTAAGGTATCTGGCAGAAGACATGTCTAAGCAGCAAAGCATTCAAAAGGTGACTTGGGTGCTGTTAAAGCCATTCAGTTTTACAAGAACAGCAGAGCATAAAAGTTGGAAAAATTTGCAGCCTGACAATGTGATAGAAAAAAAAATCCCATTTTCTGAGGATAAATTCAAGGCAGCTTGAGGAATTTGTATAAGTAACAAATGTTAATCCCCAAAATAATGGGGAAAATGTCTTCAGGGTATGTCACAGGTCTTCACGGCAGTCCCTCCCATCATAGGCAAAGAAGCCTAGGAGAAAAAAATGGTTTCATGGGTCAGGCCAAAGGTCCCTGTCGAGTGTAACGTAGGGTCTTGCTAGATCTTAACTTAGCATCGCAGTTGTTCTAGCCATAGCTGAATGGGCCCAATGTAGAGCTTGGGGCATAGCTTCAGAGGATACAAGCCCCAAGCCTTGGCAGCTTCCACATTGTATTGAGTCTGCAAGTGCACAGAGGTCAAGAATTCAGGTTTGGGAACCTCCACCGAGATTTCAGAGGATTTATGGAAATGCCTGTATTCCTAGGCAGAAGTTTGCTGCAGGGGCATGCCCCTCATGGAGAACCTCTGCTAGGGTAGTGCAGAAGAGAAATGTGGGGTTAGAGCCCCGACAAAGAGTCCCTCCTGGGGCACCACCTAGTGGAGCTGTGAAAAGGGTCCTCCAGACCCCAGAATGGTATATCCACCTATGACTTGCATTATGTGCTTAGAAAAGCCACAGACACTCAATGCCAGCCTGTGAAAGCAGCCAGGAGGGAGGCTGTATCCTGCAAAGGTATGGGGGCAGAGCTGCCCAAGACCATGAGAACTCACCTTTGCATCAGCATGACCTGGATGTGAGGCATGGAGTCAAAGGAGATCATTTTGGAGCTTTAAGGTTTTACTTCCCCACTGGAGTTTTGACTTGCATGGGCCCTGTAGCCCCTTTGTTTTGGCCAGTTTCTTCTATTTGGAATGGCTGTATTTACTCAATGCTTATATCTCCATTGTATCTAGGAAGTAACTAACTTGCTTTTGATTTTACAGGCTCATAGGCAGAAGGGACTTGCCCTATCTTGGGTAAAACTTGTGACTGTGAACTTTTGAGTTAATGCTGAAATGAGTTAAGACTTTGGGGTACTGTTGGGAAGGCATGATTTGTTTTGAAATGTAAGGACATGAGATTTGGGAGTGGAATGATATGGTTTGGCTGTGTCCCCACCCAAATCTCATCTTGAATCCCCATGTGTTATGAGAAGGGCCCCAGAGGGAGGTAATTGGATCATGAGGCCAGGTCTTTACCGTGCTGTTCTCATGATAGTGAATAAGTCTGATGAGATTTGTTGCTTTTATAAGAGGGAGTTTCATTATAAACTCTCTCTCTTTGCCTGCTGCCATCCATGTAAGACATGGCTTGCTCCTCCTTGTCTTCTGCCATGATTGTGAGTCCTCCCCAATCATGGGCAACTGTTAAGTCCATTAAACCTCTTTCTTTTGTAAATTGTTCAGTCTTGGGTATGCCTTTATCAGCAGTGTGAAAATGGACTAATACATGGAGAATACTTCTTATTGTAAACCAAAAAAATGAAACTGAATTAGTAAAAGAGACTAAGTATTTTATACATTTTTCAGTGTAAAAAAACCCACCAAATAAGCAATTCAGCCATTGAATCATTTTAACTTGATATTAATAGCTAAGGTAAAATGATCACTTTATTTTGCATAATCATAGAAGAAAGTGGCATCTTAAAAAACCATTGTAACTAAAGACTATATACACTGATGATGTTAATATACAGAATCCTCAGTGGTTATGAATAAAAAAATCTTTCTGGTTACAAGACCATTGTAGAGGGATGTTAGCAATGTAAATATTACCTGGATGTAGTTTCCTTAGAAGACTGATTCAGCTGAACAGGCTTCCATAATTTAATGCAACTTGTATGTTTCTTATGGTGATTCAGATTTGCACCTTCTGAGACTATGTTGCAAATAAATAAATTTATATAGTTTATGGAAAATGCTGAACATGTCTTAAGAAAATGTGTTTATCTCTTTTTTCTGTATTTTCCCCAACTTACTTTCAATTCATTCTAATCTAACTAGAGTCTTTTAATTTATAACTGTTAGTCTGATTGCATTGCTATAAAATAATACCTCAGACTAGATAATTTATAACTAAAGAAGTTTAAATGGCTCAGAGTTCTGGAGGCTCTACATGATGCATGACACCAGCATCTGATTCTGATGAAGGTCTTAGGAATATTCCAGTCATGGAGAAAGGCAAGGAGAGCCAATTTGATGGGGGAAGGGCCAGGCTCTTTTAAATAACTCTTCCATGACTTCACAGAGGAAGAACTCACACATTGCCATCAGCAGGACACCACGTCATTCATGAAGGATCTTCCCCCATTACCCAAACACCTTCCACCGACCTCCACTTCCAACAGTGGGAATGACTTTTCAACATGAGATTTGGAGGAGATAAATATCCAAACCATATCCATAACATATTTATGATAAAACAGAAAGAAAAATATTCTGAGAGATAGTACTTTTATTATCTTCTTTACATATTAAAAAGTATTTTAGTTTTAAAACATATAGAACACATGAAAATCCAAATGACACCCTTGTAAATTTGATAAAATATTATCTGATACTATTGATAAAAAGGCAACAACAATCAGAAATTACACAGAAGTATGCTTTGCCTGAAAAGGAGATAAATATATAATTATTAATTTATATTGTTCATATTTGGTAACATTTTCTTAAAATTTAACTATAAAAACATGTTATCATCTGTAGAGGATTTAACATATTAGTTATCAAGACTCTTAGTGTCAGTTAACTCGCATTAATATTCCTACAACTTTTCTATAAATTTTTAAAATATATAGAATTTAGTGTTGGTAAGACTGTGTTTGATTCTAATTTTGATCTTACATTAAAATACAATAGACTACAATATATGATATTTAACTAAGGTTGGGAAATAAAATGTGAATGAAGGAACCTTTAAGTAGGACTGAGTAAAGAGAGTTGCCTGATACAAGATTAGGCTAAAAGTTGTATAGATTAATTATTAATATAAATAATATAATATAAATATTGCTTAATCTTTAGCCTCTACACTTTAATAACTAGTTATAGTTGTCATTTAGATATAAAATATCAATGGCTTCTCTAAAAATAGACATAAAATAAATATAAATATCCATTATATTTAAAATAATCATTTAATGATACTAATAAATGACTAGTTTATCCAAAATAATTCTTCATAAAATAATAGTGATAATTAACATGACATAATATATATACATATGTATATTGTTATAATTATAACATATTTCATAATATAATTTGAATGTCACACTTTATTATAAAATAAATATTGTATAAATATAAAACATAATTTACTGTAAATATGATTTCATAATATAAAATGATTATGTTAATAAAAATACACCATGAATACAATTAATTATGAAAATTTATAATCTGTTATTATATTTACTCCTAAACATAACAAGGCTATATTGGACTTTAAATTTTTGAAGTTATGAATAGAACAAAACTGTCAATGTAAAACAATTTTACAGCTCTT
This sequence comes from Homo sapiens, assembly GCF_000001405.40. Lineage (NCBI taxonomy): Eukaryota > Metazoa > Chordata > Mammalia > Primates > Hominidae > Homo > Homo sapiens. Next base: position 43,214,464 of record NC_000014.9, on the reverse strand, counting down.
ATTTGCCAAAATTATTTCCTAAATTCAATAACCTGACAATAACATAGAAGGAAAAATGTCTGATTTGCCATAGAAAATGAAGTACCTAAAAATCCTGATCTTTGTAGGACTCTTGGAGTAGAAAATCATCAAAGGCAACTAGAAAATGCAATGTCAACATGATATAATATAGCCCATAGGGAATCTGAAGCAATAGGGAGAGAAAAATGGGCAACAGCAGATGTTTTCCTGTAGGGACAATTATAGAGCAATAATTAAAGACCAGGATAGGATCTAGAAAAGAGTATAATAATTCTACCTGGAGGAGAAAATTAAAAAGAAGGACGAAACCATTTACAGCAGTTACTCCACTATTTGCTAAAGGTGATATTCGTAATCAAAAACAGACACACAAACACACAAACAATTATGAACCAAATCAACAAATGCTCCAGCAATCCAGAAGAGTTGCTGTTATAGAACATAGCCAGAATTAATTTCACCAATTATTTTTAGCTGAAAGGGGTATATACACAAAACAACTTTTTATTGGGGTTATTGTATTTATATCTTTCTCTTTATCCCATTAATCTTGCTTGGGATAGTCATGAAACAACAGAACCTGATTTAGTTTCAAGACCAGCCTGCACCACTAATCTGCATTCCTCCTGGAACTGCTTTCTTGTAGACCTTGAGACTCAGCTTTGTTATTATCATTACAAAATAAAATGTACAGTATGTGATCTGCAGTTGCCTTTTTGTATTCTAACATTCTATATCTGTGAAATACATTTGTTGTCAATTTTCATTTTGAAAAATATTCATTAGATAGTCTTACATTACAGAGATTTCCAATGTAGGTAAATTATTATATTCTTCCCAGGGCATCTGAAGCAACAGAGAAAAATAATTTTTTATGAATTAAATTAAATTGTTATGCATTACATTAAATACTTTATTTAATTGTATTACTATGTATCATAATAACAGAGAACTAAAGATACCTGGCAATTTAACAGTTATAATTTAGTTAACTATTTTTCTTAAACACAGGACTGTAGAGTCTTTCAGATTATACAAATAAGTCCAGTTAGAAAATTTATAGTCTACCTCTGTTATTAAATATCTGATTTACATTGACAAAGTCAAGTGAAAATTTTCATATATTTTAAAATATATGAACTAAAAAACAATAGTTATCCTATTGTCACTTCAGTTATAAAGTTCCTCACTTTGTATTGAACACAGAATTTTTGATGACATAAAATCTTGATTTTTTTTTGTATAGCATAGTATTTAACAAAAGATGGAAATTCCACAAACGGTGAAAGAAACAGGAAAAAAGGAAGGACAGAGAAATTGTGTTACTGAATCAAACATAACTTTAAGTTCCTTTTTCCAACAGAAAGTAAACTATATGTTATATACCCCCTTTGGAAGGAAACCAAATGAAAGACATGAAAGAAATTCATATGTGCTTCATGTTGAAGTTTAATTGGTGAAATGTGAATTCTCTTTTAATCTGCTCTAGTGAAATATAAAAACATATGCAATCACATACAATCTTATTACTGACTTGCAAACTTGCTTAAACTCTACTTTTTCAAACCAGGTATTAGCTGTGTTTCACATGCCCAATTCTGTTATAATAAAGTCTATGGTTTGCTCATGATTGGCTATAATATATGGCCTTACCTTCCTATGAACTTTCTTTAACTGAGTATTGACATCATCATAACACCTTCTGCTAAACTTCAAAATTTTTATTTAAGGGCATTTTGACAGAGTTCATAAATAAACAAGTTGTGTTTAAATTCTCCTAATAAATATTGGATTTGTCAGTGACATAAATTGAACAATGCAGTATTCAGACTATGATAACTGATCCAGTGATGGGAAGAGGTTAAAAATAACTTCCTCCAAAAAAGCTGGCTCAGAGAAAGAATAGATAACATTCTAAATAGATTGTAATGTTATAATCCACAAGCAAATATAAATCTAATGCAAGTAAATATATAAGTTTTGAGGATAATTTTAGAAAAGGCAAATTAGAGAAAAGTTTGTCCAAAAGAACATTTCTGGCCAGCATGCCGGCTTATGCCTGTAATCCCAGCACTTTGGGAGGCCAAGATGGCAGGATCGCTTGAGCTCAGGAGATGGAGACCAGCCCCGGGCAACATAGCAAGACCTCATCTTTATAAAAAATTTAAAAAAATTAGCAGGGCATGGTGGCACATGCCTCTAGTCCCAGCTACTTGGGAGGCTCACTTGGGTCCAGGAGTTTGAAGTTGCAGTGAGTTATGATCACTGTACTCTAGCCAGCACCAGAGTGACAGGGCAAGACTCTATCAGTAAACAAAACCAAAAAAAAAAGAAAAGAAAATAGGAAATAAAATAAAATTCTGAGGGCTTGTTTGTCTCTAGCGAATGCCTCTTAATCTTTTTTGTCTCAATTTACAGGCACATATTCTGAATTTCTAGATTAGATTTAATGACAGGCACTCAGAATTTTTCCATGGAGTTTAAATGAGCTAGTGAAATATTAAATTTATATGAAAATTTTTATTTTATTTCATTACCTAGGAAATGCTGTAGACATTTTCTTAGAAATCCCTCAAATTAAAATCCATATTATTTTTACTTTTTTAAACAATTATTTTTATGTTAATATCAAATCCACAAATAAAACTGTATAATTTAAGTATCTGTTTTAGTCTGTCCAAGCTTCTATAACAAGATACCATAAACTGAGTATGTTAAAAATAAAACAAATGTATTTTTCACAGTTTTGGTGGCTGACAAGTCCAAGATCATGGCACAGACTGATTCAGTGTCTGGTGAGGTCCCATTGCTGATTCACAGAGAGTACTTTCTTACCATATTTTCAGGAGGTGAAAATGGCAAGCTAGCCATTTCATAAGGGCAGTAACCTCATTCATGAAGGCTTCTTGCCCATGACCTAATTACCTCCCAGTGTCCCACCTCCTAATACTATCATCTGGAGGTTAGATGGTATGGTGGCAATGTTTCATCACATCCTCAGAAATCCAATGATAAGTCCTGCCTATCACTGAAAGGCTATCTCTAGATTAAAGGGATGTTTCCTATGCTGTAGAGGAACTGTAGAGTAACTACAGTTATAGGGAATAAAGTAGAAAAAAGAATAAATAATGTACTCTTATCGACAGAATTGTGTCTGCACAAATTATGTGATAAATTATTTTCCTTTAAGGCTAAAAATTTTAGTGTTTATTTTAGACAGTCAATTTCCTAGCTACAAATTAAAGTTTTTATTATCACATAGAAATGGGGAAACAAATTGAAAACATAAACTAAAATATCTGATAAAATATTTAAGTTTTAGTTTTAACTTAGCTTCAAATGTTCTGTCTATGATTTCTTATATATGTTTTGTTGTAAAGAGATGCCTATGGCAACTATATTGATTGGAGTTCTTGGCTGCACAAAGAAAAACTAAGCTAGTTTGAGCATAGAGATACCTTTTTGTGGGATTTTAAAAATCTGATCAAATCTTTGTAGGGCTAGAGGAATAGGCTTTAAGATTTGATGCCAGAAACAGCTCCCAGAATGACTATGCAGAACTGTCAAGCTGAAAAGGACTGCCGCAATGGTTCATTGAAGAACCATGTTGCCTCTGATCCAAACTCAAAACAGGTTGTTCTGAAGTGATTGAGAATTCCTTGCCACCAACACTGCAAACAACAGATACAAGGTGACTTTCACAAATCCAGTTTGACACCAGATAATTCTCACTGATCCTAATTCCTCAAGTAACTTATATTCAAACAAACTGTATGTAATGGAACTTATTTCACATGTCAGGACAGTAATGACAAGACAAATTGAAAACTATAGTTTTTTGGCTTCTACATCTGGTATTTTGCAATGTATGGAACTGGAAAAGTATCAATAATATTTCTGAGTATTTGGAAGCATCATAGATGCAGATTTTCTGATAATATTATTATCTTTTAAAACATGAAAAAAATTCATTAATTCTACTTTTAAATCAATAAAATTAGTCCCAAATAGGTTATTCTTAGTGGCATGGTGATATTATAATTCACATGTGATTTTCTGTTTAATGCAATTAAATATTTTTATAAATATTTTACAAGCTTTATTGGCTTTTGTTTTTCCAAACATATGGTTACTAATTAAATTTTTTTCCTGGTAATTATTCTATTCAGAGTATATTAAATTTGTTAAAGTTTGTATGTGTTAAAAATTTAAGAAAAGACAATTTAAAAAAGAAAGATCTCAAAAGCTGAATGCAAGAGCATAAGACCATTATTTATAAAAGGCAATCTGATGAAATGAGAACTAAATATGAGTTCTATCCAGAAATAAGCCCCATTTGTCTTTGAGCCTTTATCAGATACCAAAAAGTGAAATGCAAATAGAAATTATGAATAGAAGTATTAAGTAAATTTTTATACTGGTTACTTGTGGACATGAGTTTTCAAATCGATCAAGTAAGTATACAGTAGCACAGTTTCTGAACTTCACTTTTTATTTTGTAAAAATCTGTCAAATTGTCAGCCAAAGTGGCTGTATTATTTTACATTCTCACCAGCAATGCATAAGTTGCTTTATGTGGTTGCCAGGAGTTGATATTGTCAGTTTTATTTTTGTATTTTATTTATTCTAATAGGTGTATTGTGGTATCTCATTTGTATCTTAATATATGTTTTTTTCTCATTTCTTTAAATGACAAATTATGTTCAACAAGTCTTCATATGCTAACTTGCCATCTGTGTATAATTTGGAGTGGTATCTTCAGATTTTTGCTGATGTAAAAATAAGTTATTTATTTTTTACTACAGAGTTTTAAGAACTATTTGTATGTTTTAGGAGTGACATAAGCAATATGGCAGAATAGGAGGCTACTGACGCTCCCTTCACCCATGGACACACTGAATAAACATCTACACAAGGATCATTGTCATCTGAAAGAGAGTCATAGACAAACTTGAGACTCTATACTCCAGGCGACTGAGAAAATATCTACAGCAAAAGTGTAGAAAAAGCTTAGGCACACTTAGGTATGAACCTCACCTTGGGAACTACCTCAAAAAATTGGGAAGAAATTTTCAAATCCTAGCTTCTCCTTGAGGAGAGAAGAGTTTGTAACAAACATTTAGTACCCCAACTTTAAGGCCCCTCCTGAGTTGGCACAATTCACCAAGCTCTGGAAGCAGAAGGGATTAGGTATACCTGAGTTTCCCTTGACTACTAAACAAAGTCATGTACAGGTATGTAAACACTTCCTGGGGCTTCATTCTCCCTAAGATCAGGAAAGAAAAGGGACTAAAACTCAAAAGGTCCCCATTTCTCACTGAAAGGGGTTTTCCAGTGTACTCTGCCAGTTGCTGCTGCTGACAGTTAAACTCCTAAGTAGCTTACGTCGGGGAGTTAATTGGGCTGACAAACTTAGAACTTCAGAAACCTGAAGAGAAGTTTGGGTATTTTCTAAGCTTTCTCCTTGGCTCACCCAGTGGACAACCCCAAGGCTACCAATTCTTCCTGGTAAAACTTTGCACACACATAGAGTTTCCCAACTTTTACAACTCCCACCCAAATAGTCTGCATCCTATACTTCCTAGTGCCACTGTGGAAAGTGATTTGGTGATTTCTCAAAGAACTTAAAACAGAGCTACCATTCAATCCAGCAGTCCCATTACTGGGTATATATCCAAAGGAAAATAAACTATTCTACAAAAAAGGCACATGCACTCATATGTTCATTCCAGCACTATTCACAATAACAAAGACTATAGATTAGACATAGATTCCTATCAATAGTGGATTTAATAAAGTAAATATGGAACAGGACACCATGGAATATGACACAGGCATATAATAGAATAAAATCATGTCATTTGCAACAACATACATGGAATTGGAGGCCATAAACCTAAGTGAATTAATGCAGGAACAGAAAATCAAATACTGCATGTTCTCCCTTATAAGTGGGAACTAAATATCAGGTACCTATGGACCTAAAGATGGGAAAAATAGACACTGGAGACTAATAGAGTGGGGAGAGAGGGAAGGGGACAAAGGCTGAAAAGCTACCTATTGGGTTCTAGGCTCACTACCTTGCTGTCAGAATCACTTACACTACAATCCTTAGTGTGACACAATATACCCATGTAACAGATATGCATGTGTACCCCTTGAATCTAAAATAAAAGCTGAAAATGTAAAGAAGTATAAGTATATAATTATAAGTAATGTTAAAAAAATGAGAAATATGATAAAACAACTTTAAATGAGCAGCAATGAAAAGGCAAATAAGGGCATTATGTAATGATAAAATGATCAACTCCATAAGAAGGTTTAACAATACTAAATATATATGTACCCAACACTGGAGCAACTAGATTTATAAAGCAAATACGACTAGAATTAAGAAAAGTGCTAGATAGCAATATCATAATAGTGTGAGACTTCAACACCCCACTGGCTACTGCAGCATTAGTAAGATTATTAAGGCAGAAAACTAGAAAAGAAACTCAGGACTTGAACAGCATTCTTGACCAAACAAACCTAATGGATATCACAGAGCATTACACCCCACAGCTGCCAAATATACATTTTTTCTCACCTGTGCTTGGAACATCCTCCAAAATTTATCGTATGCTTGGCCACAAAGCAAGTCTCAATATGTTCATAGAAATCTAAATCAGATTAAGTATCTCCTTGGACCACAGCAGAATAAAATTGTAAGTAAACACCAAGAGGAACTCCTAAAACTATAGTAGTATGTGAAAACTAAACAAGTTGCTCATGAATGACTTTTTGGTAAACAATGAAATTAAGGCAGAAATTTAAAAATATTTAGAACGGAATGAAAGTAGAGGCACAATATACCCAAACCTCTGAGATATAGCAAAATCAGTACTAAAAGGAAAGTTTATAACACAAAATTCCTACATCAAAAGATAAAAAGTTCTCAAATTAATGACCTAAGCTCTCTATGTGCACAATCTAGAAAACCTAGAAAAAAATGATAAATTGCTGAAAACATTACACCTCCCAAGTTCAAACCAGAAAAAAAAAATAGAAATGCTGAACAGACAAATAAGAAGTGATGAAACTGAATCAGTAATAAAAAAGTCTACCACCAACAACAAAAAAGCACATGACCAGAAAGACCTACATCCAAATTTTACGAGATACACAAAGAAGAGCTAGTAACAATATTACGGAAAGTATTATTAAAAAATGGAGGAAGAAGGATTGTTCCCTAACTCATTCTAAGAAACCACTATCATCCTGATAATGAAATGCGATTCACCACATAAGCAGGATGAAAAACAAAAAAAAATAATAATTTTAAAGATGTAGAAAACCTTTCAATAACATTCAACATCTCTCATGAAAAAAACCCCAACAAATTAAGCATCAACGAAACATACCTCAACATAATAAGAGCCATATGTGACAAAACTACCACCAACATCATACTGAGTGAAGACAAGTTTAAAACATTCCCCTAAGAACAACTCAAGACAAGGATGTACACTCTCACCACTCTTGTATCCAACATAGTACTGGAAGTCCTAGCCAGAGCAACTGGGCAAGAGAAAGAAATAAAAGGCATGCAAATTAAAAAATAGAAAGGCAAATGTTTTGTTTCCTGATCACACAGTCTTATAGGCAGAAAAGTAAGACTCCGTCAAAAGACTCTGAGACTTAATAAAAAACATCATTAAAGTTTCAGGATACAAAATCAATGTAAAATTAATCAGTTGTATTTTTGTTCAATAAAAATGCTCAAGCTGAGAACAAAATCAAGAACTCAAGCCCATTTGCTATAGCCACAAAAAAACTAGAAATACACTTAACAAAAGAGGTAAAATACCTCTAGAAGGGAAACTAGAAAACACTGATGAAAGAAATTGTACATGACACAAACTAATGGAAAACCATCTCATGCTCATGGAAGAATTAATAATGTTAAAATGACTTTACTGACCAAATCAATCTATGGATTTGGTGTAATTTTGAACAAATTACCAACATCATTTCTCACAGAATTAGAAAACACAATCTCTAAATATATATATGAAACCAAAAAAGAGTGAAAGCAATCCTAAGCAAAAAGAACAAAGCCACAGACACCATATAACCTGACTTTGAACTATTTTATAAGTCTATAGTAACCCAGACAGCGTGGTACTGGTACAAAAATAGACTTATAAATCAATGATAAAAAGTAGAGAACCAAGAAATAAAGCCACTTATCTGCCACCAAGTGATCCTCAACAAAGTTCACAAAACTAAACCATGAGGAAAGGATACTTTATTAAATGGTGTTGGGAAAATTGTCTCACCATATGCAGAAGATTCTAACTGGACCCCTGTCTTTTACCAGATACAACGATCAGCCAAAGATAAATTAAAGAATTAAATGTGTGACCTGAAAATGTAAAAAATCTTATTACAAAACCTAGGATGAACTCTTCTGGACAGCAGTCTATAAAAATTACTAATTTGTACAATGTTCACTATTTGAGTGTTGGGTTCACTGGCACCCCAAATCTCACCATTACATTGTATATTAATGTAAAAAACCTGTACATGTACCCATGAATCTAAAATAAAATAATATATTTTTAAAATGTACTCCACTCTCTTCCTTCTGTAGTTTCCAATGATAAGACCCTGGAATTATTACCTTTTTTCCATATGTAAAATTTTGTTTTCCCTTGGCTTTTTAAAATATTTTTTCTCTGCATTTGTTTTCTTGCAGTTCTATTATGATATGCCTAAGTGTTTTACTTATTTGTTTATTTATTTGGTGTTTATCCTGCTTGTGGGTTTCTCTACTGTCTTGTTTCCATTATTAACTCGGGAAATTATTTAGACATTATTACTTCAAATTTTTTGCACCATTATTTTTGTTTCTGTCCCAATAGCATGTACAATATATATTTTACAGAATTGCTTTTCGTTGTTGAGTATTCTATTTGCTTATTTTCATTCATTTTTATCTTTGCATATAGATATTGTTTCTATTGACCTATTTTCAAGGTCACTTTGTTTCCTCACATGTCTATAGTATGTTAATATTTCTATTAAAGGCATTTATTTTTGTTGTAGCATTTCTTATTCCTAGCATTTCATTGTGATTCTTTTGTGTATTTTTATATCTGTGTTTACACTAGTCATCTATTCTTGATATTGTCTACAGTTACACTAGAACCTTTAAAATATTAATCATAATTATTTTTACTTTCTTATTTGATAATCTAACATTAGAATCATATCTGAGTCTGGTTCTGATGCCTACTTTGTCTCTTCAGATTGTGTTTTTTCTTGCCTTTTGACATTCCTGTAACTTTGTGTTGAAATCCAAGCATATTGTAATGAGTAACAGGAACCAAAGTCTTTACCGTGTAGTTTTATCTTAATCTGTCTAGGAATCTGACTCTGCTTAGTGCTTTGTGTAGCTGTAGTTGTCACTGGCTCAAATTCCTACACTGTTTAGGTTTCTTCTGCCCTATTGACTTGGAATTTCCCTAAGTAGTCTGCCTCAGAGAGGCTAACTTTTGCATCTCTTTCTGCTTTCATCTTGTGATGACTTCAAAGCTCTTTACATGTCGTAACTGAAACTAAAGGTGTCTGTACTCTCATAAATGCAATAATTATATTTTTCATGCAAAAATATTTTAATTACAAAATGTATAAATATATTCATAATATCCTAACGTGGATTTTATTTGACTGTTATGTAAATCAAATATTTTTGATACTTTAATTTGATAAAATATTAAATGACATATTGAACCTCAATTTAAATAATTTAATCCTGATACAGTTTGGCTGTGTGTCCTCACCCAAATCTCACATTGAATTATAGCTCCCATAATCCCCACATGTTATGGGAGGGACCGGGTGGGACATAACTGAATCCTGGGGGCAGGTTTTTCCCATCCTGTTCTCATGATAGTGAGTAAGTCTCATGAGATCTGATGGTTTCATAAAGGGCAGTTCCCCTACACACACTTTCTTGCCTGCAGACATGTAAGGCATACCTTTGCTCCTATTTTGCCTTCTGCCATTATTGTGAGTCCTCCCCAGCCATGTGGAACTGTGAGTCCGTTAATCCTCTTTCCTTCATAAATTACCCAGTCTTGGGTATGTCCTTATGGAAGCATAAGGATGGACAAATACCAATACCATTATGTGTCTGTAAGTATTTAATAAATATTACTTATTTATTTTGAAATACTCAGGAAGTGGAATGCACCCTTTCCATTTCAATAAAAATAAGAAGCAAGTTCATTTGTGTCATTCTTTGGCAAAAGAAATGAAGTGTTCGTTTGGAGATCTCAGGATATTTTTATTTCTGATCAATGTTTTCTACCTTATTATACATGCCAGCATAGAAAACACAAGTTTCTATCTTGAAGAAGGAGTAGCAGGTAAGGTCACAATATTGGAGGGCTACCCTTTTCCAGGTCAAACATTTATTTTGTGTGTGTTAGTGTGTATATATATGTATACATCTGTATATATACATATATACACACGATAAATGTATATATGTTTATACATGTATGTATACATATGTATATCTACATGTACATATACATATATACATATATATATAGCAAGAAAAATATCTACCATGTGTTTTAGAAACATTAACTCAACTTTACTGAGCCACTTCTCTTTAAAGTTTTCATTAGCTTTTATTCTGTAATATAAGAAATACAGATTACAAACCTATGTATTTAAAGTGATATATTTATGTCAATTATGTTTGTTATATTACTACCAGTTTATACATGATTATGTTTGTAATGGCCATTTAAATAAAGGCCTATGGGTAGTTATTTAATTAGCTAAAAGAAATGAGTGTATAGAATTAAGAATAGCTATGCAGAAGTAAAACAAAGGATGAGTATATATTAAAGTTTTGGTTTCTCAGTTTCACCCTGTATTATAATCAGATAGGTTCTATACAAAGAGATTTGGGGTACACCTCCTGAACATCAAGATTTCACATAAAAATACCCCTAGAAAGTTTCAAACTGGACAATAGGCATTGAAATCTGCTTTAGGGCATTATAAATTATCCTGTTAACTAATAGTGACTTTTCTAAAACACTGGCATGGTATTAAAAAATAATGCTTCAGAAATGAAAACTGCCATGTATCCTTCATGAGAAACTACATGTAATTTTGTCCCTTCCTCCTTAACCTGTGGTTGCCAATAATTAGATAGTGGATTTCTACATTAGGATTAAAACAATGCTTTATTATGATTATTATGAAAAATCATTAACTTACATGTTGAAGGACAGTAGAGTTCAGAATGTGCTTGCTGTTTACTTTATCCCAACTTTAGCCTTATGGTGCAAAACATATGCCTTCAGTCACTCTAGGCTTTTAAACAGCACCAGAGCTTCTAACCTGCCTAGACCTCACAAAGCACCACCATTTAAAAGAGATTATCTCAATAAATAACAAATTTGTTATTTGGAAATCACTTCTCCAAATATTATTATTATTTTGTATTTTATTATTTTCTCTCTATTCAGCATTTTGCTAAAGGATATAATTACATAACATTAAATACATCTTTCCAAAGGTCTGTGAGCCAAGGCCAGGAAATCTAAGGAACTGCTTTCTAGATTTTGAAATAACTTAGTGTGCCCCAAAACTTTAGGCTGGGGAATTGGCCAATGATTTCTGAGTGACAACTGAGAGCCTGGCAATTATTTTCAGCTGAATAATTTATATAGTCAAAAACACTAGCCCTTGATCATCCCAAAGGAGTCATTTGGAATGAGCAATCCATACTTCTGTTGAAAGGTGAATGTAACCCTGGATAATTCACCTTTAAGCTGAATTATTCCAAAGGTTGTTGACTTTGGCACATCAATAAAGATGTAGCTATATAGCTGAGATAACACTCAGGGCTGTAGTATTTTCCATTTGGTATCCCATTTGATGATTGAGAACAGTTGTATCCAGAGGTCCTGCAACTCCATGAATTTCAGGGAACTGGCATGGGGCTATGTAAGGCGCTGACAAAAGCAAAAGGATAACTTTTCTGCTTTTCTCAAAAAGAGCTTATTTCTGCATGAAAGTTTGATGAGATAGTGCATTACTAACCAGAGTAAAGGGGCTCATGTCCTTCTTGAACTCTTCTGACTGCCTCACTGACAGACTCACTAATCTCTGGAGCAGATATTTCAATAGTTAACAAGGACCTTCACAGGATGTACCATAATTTGAAATTGTTAAATGCACATTGTTTCTCCTATTCAATTGCAAAAGCCCCGAGAACAAACTTGCTTATGTATTTATTCATTGTTGTATTCCAGGACCTAGAAAAGTGCATGGTACATACTAATTACCAAAAAGAAAATGAAATTTAAGTTTTGGATATTTTGTGTGAGAGTGACAGAAGCCTGATCCTCTATACAGTTTAGTCTCCCAGGGGATTTGAATGAAAAACAGAGAGTTTTTAATTTGAATATCTCTAAGTTGGTAGAAGTCATAATGGCTAAGATCTGAACATTGTACAAAAATGTTTAAGGCAGACTGAGGGTCCTGAAACATTGAAATACAGGGAGAAATTATTGATTTTCTAAATGGCATAGTGTCATAAAAAATTGCTAGAGTTCTTCATGTGTTTAATTTAGTTTAGAAATAGTTTATGACATAAACTATGTCTTATATAGGTGAACGTACATAAAAACCCTAAAAAAGAAGATCAAATTTAGGCTAGTTGAGAAGTATAGTACACAAGATTAATTACAGAATCAGAATCAGCAAGCAGGAAGACTTACACACTAAATAATTTTTAATTATTTTAGTCATTGAATATTATATGGGGAAAATTAGTACCAAAATATCAGAAATTATTATATGCAGCACTAGATATTTAAGGACATTGATCTTTAGAATCATTTTATAACTCAGTTACTTTTGAGAAATACTAGGTGTTCCAACTGTATTATTAAGATCTGCACCTTTGTCAACATTCAATTTGCCAGACACATGAAGTTCTATTTCTGGGCTGTCAATTTTGTTCCATTGATCTATGTGTCTATACTTTCACCAATACAACATTGTCTTATTTTTGCTTTATAGAAAGTCTCAACATAATGTAAGTTTTGTTACTTTATCTTTCAAAATTGTTTTATTCATTCAGTTTCTGTGACTTATACATTTTAAAAATCAGCTTATCTATGATAAAAATATATCCTGCTGTGATTTTGATTTAAAATGGAATACATCTATGGATAAATTTGAAAAGAATTAATATCTTAATTGTTTTCAGACTTTGATAAACATAGCAGGTCTCTGCTATTATTTAGGTCAGCTTGAATTTTTTCTCCAGCATTTAGTAACTTTTAGCCTACAAATCCTCCATATGTTTAGTTGTATTTACACATGACTGTTGAATTTTTGAAGCTAATTTAAATGTTTACTTAATAAGTTTCATTTTCTAATTATTGCTGGTAAATATAATTATGATTGCTTTCTTTATGGTGCCTTTTTATCCTCTGGTTTTGTTAAATCACTAATTAGTTGTGGAAGATTTATTGTGGCATCTCTGGAATTTTCTGTGTATATAATCATGCTATCTTTGAATAGAGACTTTTACTCCTTCTTTTCTATTCTGTATAAACCATAAATCTTTTACTTCTCTTACTGCACTGGCTACTACTTCTGATATGATGTTGAATAGGAGTAGCCAGAGTTGACGTCATTTCCTTGTTCACAATCTTAGGGGGAAATCATTCTTTTTTTTTCCATTAAGTGTTTTATCAGACATGAAATTTTAAATGTCTTTTATCATGATAGAAAATTTTTTTTTGTTCCTAGTTTGCTGAAAAAGTTGGTTTTGTTTTTTGTTTGTTTGTTTTTATCATGAATGTAAGTTGTATTTTATTAAATACATTCTGGGTATCAATTGGTAGGATCATGTGGTTTATTTTGTGTGTTAATATGTTGATTGAATTAATTAATTTTAAGGTTTGGACTGAGCTTGCATTCCTGAGAAGTTCTGCTTGGGCATAGCATATTAAATATTGTATATGCTACCAGATTCAGCTTATTTCTGTTTTGTTTAGAATTTTTGTGTTTATCTTTATGAAAAATATTGGTCTTTTTTTTTCTAGTTCTATTTTTTACTCCTTTATTTTGTTTGATGGCAATATTAACCTTATGATACAAGGTTGCAGTCCTTTCTCTCCTATATTTTCTGGAAAACAAATTGTATATAATTGATATTATTTTCTGCTAATCTATCTGTTAGAATTCACCAATGAAACTATTGCACCTGAAGTTTTCTCTTCTAGAAGCTTTATATCTAAGAATATACTTTCTAAGGTGATTTGAAAACTGAAATTCTAAAAATATTTTGCATGAAAACTATATCTCACTGGAATGAATGTGAAGGCTTAACTTGACTATTTTGAAGATATCAAACTCATTTAGTGTATAAGAAAAAATTAATTCCATAGTTATACATTATAACTCTTAAAAGTCTCAGAAATAGCTAAGTGAGGAGATTTGAATGCCAGCAAAGCCACTTTGTAACTCCATGACATCAACATTAAACATTCCATTCCATCCCTACCTGTAAAATTTTCACATTTTTTCTCATATTCTCTTAAATGCATTTTTCTCTCTGTTTGTATTTAACAGGAGGAAAAGTGCAGTTGATTTGGGGAGGAAGACTTATTCTGAGTAACAGGAGTAAAAAGAGGATAGTTTTACCCATTTAAAGGGCAAAGTGAAACATACAATATAAGATTGCTTTTTAAGAGTAACTCAGAAATTTCAAAATACAAATTTGAATAGCAGCATTAGTGGTTTAAATGGGTAGTGTATTACTCAGGGTTCTCAGGAGGGACAGAAGCAATAGGATACACGTATGTACAAAGAGGAGTTCATTAAGGAGTATTGATTCATACAATCACAAGGTGAAGTCCCACAATAGGCCATCTACAAATTGAAGAGCAAAGAAGCCAGTCCAAGTCCCAAAACCTCGAAAGTGTGGAAGCCAACAGTGCAGCCTTCAGTCTGTGGTTAAAGGCGCAAGAGTCCCAAAGCTGAAACTCTTGGGAGTTTACCTGATGTTTAAAGGCAGGAAGCATCCAGCACAGGAGAAAGGTTTAGCCTGGAAGACTAAGCTAGTCTATTCCTTCAACATTCTTCTGCCTGTTTTTATCCTAGCTGAACAAGCAGCTGATTAGATTGTGCTCACCAAGATTGAGGATGAGTCTGCCTCTCCCAGTACACCGACTCAAATGTTAATCTCCTCTGGCAACACCCTCACAGACACACCAAGGAACAATACATTGCATCCTTCAAGCCAGTGAAGTTGACACTCAATATTAACCATCACATCTACCAAAGGAAAAACTGAATCTGATTAATAAAATAAAAGTCTGGTATTTGTGTTTTAAAATACTCTTTGTTAGTCACAGCTTGTATTAAGCCTTATTCCTGGTTTCCCTATTTTCAGGATATAATTTTTAACTATTACTACATACCTGATTTAATCATTAAATTTAAAATTCTGCGCCATGGTGTGTATGTTCAAATTCAAAGCATTTTAAAATGTGACAGATGAACTTCATGCAAGTTGGCAATAGTTCTGGTACTAAAAATTGTAGTTGTTGGTGCCGTGTATGTAAGCTGCTTAGTAGTGTATCTACCAAGAGTCTTTTTAAGAATGCCATCATTATTTACCCTTATGTCAAAAACTTGTGACATGAAATTTTTAAACGGACTTATGTGAACTATGATATTGTAATTTTTCTAAGCATTTTAAAAAGAGTAACAAAGTTATGTTTATGTACTAATTCTAATCAGAAAAGTAAGCCAGTAAAAGTTGATGGTCAATTCATTAGGCTTTAACTTAATGGGGAGGTTCCTTATGATAGCAATTGTTCAGGAAGGATAAAACAGTAACTTAATGTATATTTATTTTAAATTGTTATATATTTTTAAATTGCCAAGGAAAAGAAATAGCTTGATACATTTGAAAAGAAATAATATTATTTCTAACTCAGTACTCAGTAAATATTTTCTACAAAACTAATAAGTAGTTTAAGGTTTGCTGGCCAAGATGCGACATCAATGATAAATAGATAGTTATATGATGGAAGAGAAAATAAATTTATGTAATTTTTATTGACAAGATTTATAAAACAATAAAAATTTACCACCTTTTTGTGACGCTGGTCTACTCATAAGAATAACTTGATTTTATACTTTTAGAGAGCAAAACATTTTGCTTATTGGGGTTCGGAGTTAATGTTTGCTGTAGTCAAAATCCGTTGCAAATTTTTAACTATTAATATTGATCTGTAATTAGATTTATTTGTATTACATCTTAAAATTTCTTTTCTCACAGTTAGGAACTGCAAATTTTGGTGTCAGTCTCTGAAAACGTGATTTTAAATTAGTATATCTATAGCCTGGAAACCATATAGAATTCTTTTTTTAAAAAATATTTACTTTTAGTATGTCACTGTGTTTCAGATAAATTGCATCCAGTTGAAAGCTAAGTAGAAGCTCCTCAATGGCAGAGGTAAATGAAGTTTGAAATATTGAAATAGCCTTTTCATCAGCCTCATGGGCAGAAAAACATGGCTAGAAATAAAATTTGAGCTTGAAAAACATCTGCTGCAAATTTGTCCAGGAATTGAAATTCCATTTCTGCTTTTAATTTTTTTTAACATCACAGAAATGTGTAAAGCAGCTGACATAACTTGTAATTAAAATATGTTAGTTGTTATCAAATACTTTATATTTAATCAGTGTTTTGCTTGGAATTTTAGATTGAATTAATCAAGACATATTATCAAGTCTGCAGCAAAATTAATTTCCAAAGCCATTTGGTAATTGATAACAGTGGTTGAGGGTGTTTCCACTCATTCATAAACCTTTAAATAACAAAAGTGATTTCTAAAAGTCACAATAAAACTTTACTTTCACTAAGCAATTGAACTACTGTGTGGTTAAGCAAGTAGGAACATTCAGCTTGTATTTCTCACTAAAAATTAGAGAAGTTATGATGGTTAATTCCCTGAGAGTGACTTGAGTTTACTATTGTTACTACTGGCTTAATAAAATATTCAAATGTTTTCCACAAAGTACCTGCTGATAAAAGATGCAATGAATAAACATCAAATTTAAATGGCTTACATTTTTACCACCTTTGTAAATTTATCTAATTAAGCATTTTGGGCCCAACACATACCAGTTTTAACACATCTTAGCAAATTCCATTTCAGGTTGTATCTCATTACTGTTTTCTCAGCCCTCTTGAAAATAGACTCCCCTACACTTGTTCCACATAGACTCCAGATAGAAGCTAGTTCTATAGTCACTTCTAACTTGACATTAAGGCTTCAAATAAAAAACGGTAACTAAATAGTATCTGTAACATTTGACACAAGGAAAGCTACTTGAAATTTTGTTTATTTTACATGTCTTGCTTTTTACTTTGAGCTGTTCTTCTTTATTATTTATGTTGCTTAGAATTTCCACAACTATTCAAACAGGTGTTCTCACCAAAAGCCTAACCACTCTTAAAAAGTTTGTTTTCTCTGGAAACATTTCTTCAGTTGCTTCAGTTAAATATGATTTAATTAACTCACTATTGATAAGTGGTTTAAATTGTTTTTAAGTTTTATTTTAAGTTCAGGGGCATATATGCGGGTTTGTTACATAGGTAAAGTTGTGTCATGGGGCTTTGTTGTACAGATTATTTCACCACTCATGTATTAAGCCTAGTATCCATTAGTTATTTTTCCTGATCCTCTCCCTTCTCCCACTTTTCATGCTCAGATAGGCCCCAGTGTCTGTGGTTTTCCATTGTGTGTCCATATGTTCTCAACATTTACCTCCCACTTACAAGTGAGAACATGGAGTATTTGATTTTCTGTTCCTGTATTAGTTTTTCTAAGGAAAATGGCCTCCAGCTCTATCCATGTCCCTGCAAAGGACATTATCTGTTCCTCTTTTATGGGTGCCTAGTATTCTATGGTATATATGTACCACATTTTCTTTATCCAGTCTATCATTGATGGGCATTTAGGTTTTTTTTCCCTGTCTTCTATTGTGAATAGTGTTTCAGTGAACATACACGTGCCTGTGTCTTTATAACATAATAATCTCTATTCCTTTGGGTGTATACCCAGTAATGGGATTGCTGGGTCAAATATTACTTCTGCCTTTAGGTCTCTGAGGAATCACCCTCTGTCTTTCACAACGGTTGAACTAATTTACACCCCCAACAGTGTATAAGCATTTCTTTTTCTCCACAACCTCGACAATATCTGTTGTTTTTTGACTTTTTATGTAATAGCCATTCTGATTGGTATGAGATGGTATTACATTGTGGTTTTGATTTGCATTTCTCTAATGGTCTTTCTTTCATGTGTGCTTTTTTTCATACATTTGCTGGCCACATATATGTCTTCTTTTGAAAAGTGTCTGTTCATGTCCTTTGCTCACTATTTTATGGGGTTATTCATTTTTTCTTATAAAATTGTTTAAGTTCCTTATAGATGCTAGAAATCAAACCTTTGTCTGATGTATAGTTTGCAAAAATGTTCTCCCATCCTGTAGCTTGTCTGTGTACTCTGTTGATAGATTATTTTGCTGTGCAGAGCTCAATAACAAATGTGTCACAGAGAAAACAACTTTGGTTACAGCTGCATTTTCTTTTCATTTGAAAAATTTGTGAAGACATTATACTATGATGAAATATCTTGTTTTACATTTTCTAATATTTCCAGCCAAAGGGTAAACTAGGTGGATACAGTGAGTACAGTTCCTTCTGTGACATGGCCTCTGTAAAATGATGAATGAACAGTGATTTTTTTCTAGGCCACCCTAAGAATTACACACAATTAAAAAGCAACTCTGGTTTGGGGGCTCCTTTTGCATTTCTATTAAAAAATACCTGAGGCTGGGTTATTATAAAGAAAGGAGGTTTAATTGGCTCACAGTATTTCAGGCTGCACCGACATGGCTCCAGCATCTGCTTCTGGTGACAGCCTCAGGAACAATTATGGCAGAAGGTGAAGCAGGGGTAGTCACCTCACGTGATGAGAGTGTGAGCAAGACAAAGGGGGGAGTTGCCACACACATTTTTTTTTCTTTTTTCAACTTTTATTTTAACTTCAGGGGTACATTTGCAGGATGTGCAGGTTTGCTACATAGGTAAATGTGTGCCATAATGGTTTGCTGCACAGATCATCCCATCACCTAGGCATTAAGCACAGCATTCATTGGCTATTCTTTCTGATGCTCTCCCTCCCCCCACCTCTACCCTGACAGGCTCCACTGTGTTTTGGTCTCCCCTATGTGTCCATGTGTTCTCACCATTCAGCTCCCATTCATAAGTGAGAACATATGGTGTTTGGATTTTTATTTCTGCATTATTTTGCTGAGGGAGATGTCTTCCAACTCCATCCATGTCCCTGCAAATGACATGATCTCATTCCTTTTCATGGCTTCATAATATTTAATGGTATATATGTACCCTGTTTTCCTTATCCAGTCTATCACTGATGGGCATTTAGGTTGATTCCATGTCTTGGTTACTGCGAAAAGCGCCACAATGAACATACATGTACATGCATCTTTATAATGGAATGATTTGTGTTCTTTGTAGTATATACCCAGTAATGAGATTGCTGGGTCAAATGGTATTTCAGCCTATAGGTCTCTGAGGAATCACCACCCTGTCTTCCAAAATGGTTGAACTAATTTACACTCCCACCAAGAGTGTAAAACTCTTCCTTTGTCCCCACAACCTCACTGGCATCTGCTGTTTTTTAACTTTTTAATGATAGCCATTCTAACTGATGTGAGATGGTATCTCACTGTGGTTTTGATTTGCATTTCTCTAATGATCAGTGATGTTGAGCTTTTTTTCATATGTTTGTTGGCCACATATAGGTCTTCTTTTGAGAAGTGTCTGATCATATCCTTTGCCCACTTTTAAATGGAGTTATTTGTTTTTTTTCTTGTAAATTTGTTTAGGTTCTTTGTAGATTCTGGATATTAGACCTTTGACAGATAGATATGACGCAAAAACTTTCTTCCATTTTGTAGGTTGTCTGTTCACTCCAATGAGTTTCTTTTGCTGTCCTGCTCTTTAGTTTAATTAGATCCCACTTGCCAATTTTTGCTTTTGTTGCAATTGCTTTTGGTGTTTTCATCATTAAATCCTTGCTTATGCCCAGAATGGTATTGTCTAGATTTTCTTCCAGATTTTTTATAGTTTTGGATTTTAAATTCAAGTCCTTAATTCATCTTGAGTTGATTTTTTTATATGGTATAAGGTAGAGGTCTAGCTTCAGTTTTCTGCATGTGGCTAGCCAGTTCTCCCAGCACAATTTATTACATAAAATATCCTTTCCCCCTTGCTTATTTTGGTCAGGTTTGTGGAAGGTCAGATGTATGTGTGTGGTCTTATTTCTGAGTTTACTATTCTATTTCATTGGTGTGTGACTGCTCTTGTACCAGCACCTTGCTGTTTTGGTTACTGCAGCATTGTAGTACAGTTTGAAGTCAGGTAGCCTGATGCCTCCAGCTCTGTTCTTTTTGCTTAGGATTGTCTTAGTTATTTGGGCTCTTTTATGGTTTCATATGAATTTTAAAATAAATTTTTCTAGTTCTGTGAAGAATGTCAATGGTAGTTTAATGGATATAGCATTGTATCTATACATTAATTTGGGCAGTCTGGCCATTTCTAAGACATTGATTCTTTGTATTCATATGCATGGAATATTTTTCCATTTGTTTATGCCCTTTCTAATTTCTTTGAGCAGTGGTTTGTAGTACTCCTTGAAGATGTCCTTCACTTCCCTTGTTAGCTGTATTCCTAGGTATTTTATTCTTTTTGTAGCAATTATGAATGGGAATTCATTCATTATTTGGCTCTTTGCTTGCCTGTTGTTGGTGTATAGGAATGCTAACAGTTTTTGCACATTGACTTTGTATACTGAGAATTTGCTGAAGTTGTTTATCAGCTTCAGAAGTTTTTGGACTGAGACAATGGGGTTTTCTAGATATAGGATTATGTCACCTGCAAAAAGAAAAAAAAAATTGACTTCCTCTATTCCTACTTGAATACCCTTTATTTCTTTCTCTTGCCTGATTGCTGTGGCCAGAACTTTTAATACTATGTTGAATAGAAGTGGTGAGAGAGGGCTTTCTTGTCTTGTGCCAGTTTTCAAAAGGAATGCTTCCAGCTTTTTCCCATTCAGTATGAGATTAGCTGTGGGTTTGTCAAATATGACTCTATTTTTAGGTATGTTCCTTCAATACCTAGTTTATTGAAAGTTTTTGACATGAAAGGATGTTTGTTGCGGGAAGTAAGAGACCCCGAACGGAGGGACTGGCTGAAGCCATGGCAGAAAAATATGGATTGTGAAGATTTCATGGACATTTATTAGTTCCCCAAATTAATACTTTTATAATTTCTTATGCCTGTCTTTACTGCAATCTCTGAACATAAACTGTGAAGATTTCATGGACACTTATCACTTCCCCAGTCAATACCCTTATGATTTCCTATGCCTGTCTTTACTTTAGTCTCTTAATCCCATCATCTTCGTAAATTGAGGAGGATGTATGTCACCTCAGGATCCTGTGATGATTGTGCTAACTGCACAAATCATTTGTAGAGCATGTGTGTTTGAACAATATGAAATCTGGGCACCTTGAAAAAAGAACAGGATAACAGCAATGTTCAGGCAACAAGAGAGATAACCTTAAACTCTGACTGCCGGTAAGCTGGGCGGAACAGAACCATATTTCTCTTCTTTCAAAAGCAAATGGGAGAAATGTGGCTGAATTATTTTTCTCAGCAAGGAATATCCCTGAGAAAGAGAATGCGTCCCTGAGGGTAGGCCTCTGAAATGGCCGCTTCAGGGGTGGCTGTCTTTTACGGTCACAGCTGTAGGGATGAAATAAGCCCCAGTCTCCCGTAGTGCTCCCAGGCTTATTAGGTTGAGGAAATTACCACCTAATAAACTTTGGTCAGACCAGTTATCTGCTCTCAAACCCTGTTTCCTGATAAGATGTTATCAATGACAATGTGTGCCTGCAACTTCATTAGCAATTTTAATTTCACCGCGGTCCTGTGGTCCTGTGATCTTGCCCGGCCTCCATTTGCCTTGTGATATTCTATTACCTTGTGAAGCACATGATCTCTGTGACACACACCCTATTCGTACACTCCCTCCCCTTTTGAAAATCACTAATAAAAACTTGCTGGTTTTACAGCTCAGGGGGCATCACGGAACCTGCCGACATGTAATGTCTCCCCTGGACACCCAGCTTTAAAATTTCTCTCTTTTGTACTCTGTCCCTTTATTTCTCAGACCAGCCAACACTAGGAAAAGTAGAAAAGAACCTATGTGAAATATCACGGGTGAATTTCGCCCGATATCTGGCTGAATTTCCCATGATAGATGTTGAATTATATTGAAGTCCTTTTCTTTATTTCTTGAGCTAATCATGTGGTTTTTATCTTTAGTTCTATTCATGTGATGAATCACATTTATTGATTTGCATATGTTGAACCAAGCTTACATCCTGGGGATGAAGCCTACTTGATTGTGGTGAAAAAGCATTTCAAAAAGCTTATTTTTGAAAAGCTGGGTACAGTTTGTTACTATTTTGTTGAAAGTTTTTGCATCGATGTTCATCAAAGATATTGGCCTGAAGTTTTGTTGTTCTTGTATCTCTGCCAGGTTTTATTATCAGGATGATGCAAGCATTATAGAATCAGTTAGTCCCTCTTTTTCAAGTTCTTGGGATAGTTTCGGTAGAAATGGTGCCATCTCTTATCTGAATTCTCTGGTAGAATTCAGCTGTTAATCCCTCTGGTTATGGGCTTTCATTGGTTAATAGGGTATGCTATTTATTACTGTCTCAATTTCAGAACTCGTTCTTGGTCTATTCAGGGATTCAATTTCTTCACAGTTCAGTCTTGGGAGGGTATATGTGTCAAGAAATTTATGTATTTCTTCTAGATTTTCTAGTTTATATGCATAGAAGGATTTATAGTATTCTGTGATGGTTATTTGTATATCTATGTGGTCCGCGATGATTTCCCCCCTTATTATTTCTTATTGTGTTTATTTTATTCTTCTCTCTTTTTTCCTTTATTAATCTAGCCAGCAGTCTATCTGTTTTATTATTTTTTCAAAACACCAGCTTCTGGATTTGTTGATCCTTTGAAGGGTTTTTCGTGTCTCTGTCTCTTTCAGTTTAGCTCTGATCTTGGTTCCTTCTTGTCTTCTGCTAGCTTTGGGGTTTGTTTGCTCTTGGTTCTCTAAGTAGATTGCTAATTTGAGATCTTTCTAGCTTTTTGGTGTGTGCATTTAGTGCTATAAATTTCCCTCCTAACACTGCTTTAGCTGCATCCCAGAGATTCTAGTATATTGTCTCTTTGTTCTCATTAGTTTCAAAAATGAGATTTCTGCCTTAATTTCATTATTTACCCAAGAGTCATTCAAAAGGAAGTTGTTCAGTTTCCATGTAGTTGTGTAATTCTGAGTGAATTTCTTAATCTTGAGTTCTAATTCACTTGTCCTGTGGTCTGCAAGACTATTTGTTATGATATCAGTTCTTTTGTATTTGCTGAGGAGTGATTTACTTCTAATTATGTCACAAATTTTAGAGTAAGTGATGTGTGGCAATGAGAAGTATGTATATTTTGTTGTTTTGGGGTGGAGAGTTCAGTATATACCTGTCAGGTCCACTTGATCCAGAGCTGAGTTCAGGCCCTGAATATCTTTGTTAATGTTCTGTCTTGATGATCTGTTTAATATTGTCAATGGGGTGTTAAAGTCTCCCATTATTCTTGTGTGGGAATCTAAGTCTCTTTCTAGGTCTCTAAGAACTTGCTTTATGAATCTAGGTCCCCTTGGATTAGGTGTGTATATATTTAACATAGTTAGCTCTTCTTGTCATGGAACCCTTTATTATTATGTAATACCCTTCTTTGCATTTTTTTTATCTTTGTTGGTTTAAAGTCTGCTTTATCAGAGACTAGGCTTGAAAACTGTTTTTTTTTTCTGTTTTCCATTTGCTTGGTAAATTTTCTTCCATTTCTTTCTATTCAGCCTATGTGTGTCTTTGAATGTGAAATGGGTCTCTTGAAGACAGTATACCAAAGAGTCTTGGCTCTTTATTCAGCTTGCCTGCAGTCTTTTAATTGAGGAACTTAGCCCATTTACATTTAAGGTTTGTATTGTTATGTGTAGATTTGATTCTGTCATCATGTTGCCAGTTGTTTATTTTGCAAACTTGTTTATGTGGCTGCTTCATAGTGTCACTAGTCTGTGTACTTCAGTGTGTTTTTGTAGTAGCTGATACTGGTTTTTACTTTCCATATGTGATGCTCCCTTCAGGAGCTCTTGAAAGGCAGGCCTGGTGATAGTGAATTCGCTCAGCATTTGCTTATCTGAAAAATATTTTATTCTTCTTTCACTTATGAAGCTTAGTTTGGCTGCATATGAAATTCTGAGTTGGAAATTATGTTTTTTTAAGAATGTTGAGCATTGGTCCCCAATCTCTTCTAGCTTGTAGGGTTTCTGCTGAGAGGTTCACTGTTATTCTGATGGGTTTCCCTTTGTAGGTGACCTCACCTTTCTCTTTGGCTGCTCTTATCATTTTTTCTTTCATTTCAACCTTGTAGAATCTGATGATTATGTGTCTTGTGGTTGATCTTGTGGAGTATCTTACTGGGGTTCTCTGAATTTCCTGAATTTGAATGCTGGTCTCTCTTGCTAGGTTGGGAAACTTTTCCAGTATGATTGCCTGAAGTATGTTTTGCAATTTTGTTGCATTCTTCCTGTCTCTTTCAGGTACCCCAATCAGTTGTAGGTTTGATCTCTTTATATAATCCCATATTTCTCAGAGGTTTTGTTCATTTCTTTTCATTCTTTTTTTTTCTATTCTTAAATGCCCCTCTTATTTCAGAAAGATAGTCTTCATACTCTGAGATTCTTTCCTCCCCTTGGTCTATTCTGCTATCAATACTTGTAATTGCATTGTGAAGTTCTCATAGTGCTTTTCAGCTCTATTAGGTTGGCTCCATTCCTCTCTAAACTGGCTATTCTGGATGTCAGCTCCTGTATTGTCTTATCATGATTCTTATCCTCTTTACATTGGGTTACAACATGCTCCTTTAGCTCAGCCAAGTTTGTTATTAACCCACCTTCTGAAGCCTACTTCTATCAGTTCAGCCATCTCAGCCTCAGTCCAGGTCTGTGTCCTTGCTGAAGAGGCATTGCAGTCATTTAGAGAAGAAGCACTCTGGCTTTTTGAGTTTTCAGCATTTTTGCATTGATTCTTTCTCATCTTTGTGGGCTTATCTACTTTCAACCTTTGAGGTTGCCAAACTTTAAATGGGGTTTTTTGGGGGTCTTTCTATTGATGTTGTTGTTTTCTGTTATTTTGTTTTTCTTTTAACAACCAGGCCACTCTTCTGTAGGGCTGCCACACCTTGCTGTGGGTCTGCTTCAGACCCTAGTCACCTTGGTTTTTTCTGTGCCTGGAGATATATGCAGTCAAGTCTGTGAAACTGCAAAGAATTCCTTCCTATGGAGGCTCCTTCCTCTGGAGGCTCTGTCCCAGGGAGTACTGATGTGTTGCCAGCCTGAACACATCTGTAAGAGGTGGTTAGAGCCCCTTTTGGGAAGTCTCACTGAGTCAGGAGGAATGGGATCATGGACCCAATTAAAGAAGCAGTCTGGCCGCTTTTTGGTACAGCAGGTATGCTCTATTGGGGAGGACCCTTTCTCGTCCAGATCTTTTGGACTTTCAAAGCTGGCAGGCTGGAATGGTTGAATTGACTGAACCACAGAGATGGCAGCCACCCCTCCCACCAGGAGCTCCATCCCAGGGAGAGATCAAAGCTCTGTCCATAGGATTTTTGCAGGTGGCTGAAACACCTTCAGGGAGGTCCTGCCAAGTGATGATGAATGAATCATGGTCCCATTTAAAGATGCAGTCTAGCTACAATCTGGCAACGCAGCTGTGCTTTGTCGTGGGGGGTCTTTCCTTGTCTGGACCATTAGTATTCCCAAAGGTGCAGGCTGGACCAACTAAGTCTACCAAACTGCAAAGTTGGTGGCCACCCTGCCTTCCCAGAACTTGGTTCTGACTCAGGCGGACTCCAGCCTGTTGCTGTTGGCTGGCTGGAATTCTAAGCAAGTGGGTCTTAACGTGTGAGGCGCTGCAGAAGTGGGGCCTGCAGAATAACCCTGCTTGGCTCTTTGGATTTCCTTCTTAGGGGCTGTATGGATGGACCTCCTGCCTTGTGGGGGATCCTGAGGCTAGAGTATATAAAATTCCTGGGTCTCTGCACACACTTTTAAACAAGCAGATCTCTTGAGAACTCTCTAACTATCTATCACAAGAACAGCACCAAGGGATTCATGAGGGATCTGTCCTTATGACCCAATGCCTCCCTACTAGGCCCCGCCTCCACCACTGGGGACAAACATCTAAACTATATCATACTCTAACAGAGTACCATAAACTCAAGATTCTCAGAGATTCTCCAGTAGCAGCTAATCTCTGGAAGCAGATATTTAACCTAGAACCTTCAGAACAAGCTAATGACTTCAGTAGTGTATGGTTTCCACCCAAGATTCCAAACCAAAATCCTTATCTAGTTTTTTTTTCTATTAGCTTATAATCACTCTTCTGACTTTCTGTAGACGGCAAATTGTTGTCCACCCAATAACATACCTTTTCTTTTTTCCCCCCTCTTCTTTTTATTATTGTGGGGGTACAAAACAGTCTTTCTAATGGCATTTTTAGAATATCCTAAATGGTAGTCAATGTCTTCAAGCTTACTGACTGCTAGATATGCCATCCCATACCACATCTTTATGAATAAGCAATCTGGGAAATCCTAGTGTCATCCAATGAGACATAAGAGAATTTCAGCCAATGATATTTTTACCTGCACTTACATGGCCAAATAACCTTATACAGAATGACCTGTGATATAGTCAGTGGCCCTCTCTCCCACAGGAAAAAAGATATGCTTACATTTGATTGATCATACCCTAGGTAACAGTAAATTCATATTCAATAAACTTTGTAGGGTGATGGATCAAATATTTACTCATTAAAAGAGACAAAGAAAGGTATAGATATGTAACCTAGCTAATACAAGGCCTTGGTTCAGACCTTTTGTCATAAATAAATCATTTTTTTTTTTTTTTAGATTTCTGTGTGCTTCAACTAAACTCTAATTTTTTGTAGCCAGGAGACCTAGTTCTGCGTATGTAAGATAAATACCTTATGGACTTTATAAATATTACTCTGAAACCTTCCTATACACAGAGACCCTACTTCTATAAATCACCAAGGCTAGAAATTCAATCTCTGATTGAGACTCAAAATGGGGTTACTTTTGAATGTTTGGGTATTATGGCTACTCTGCTTGGGGAATTATTAATTCAAGTTTTTATGTGAATAATTACAGAACATTCTTCTCAATGTGAGAATCATACAAATAGGAACAATTATAAGAAACTTCTCACTTACTCTGACAGAATTTATTGATGATACAACCTCTCTGCCTTAGGTCAAATTAATGTTGTAACATATGAAAGGATTTCCTTTTTGTAAGGATAAATAATACTCCATTGTATGTATATATCAAATTTTTGTTAATCTATTCACCCATTGATGGCCACTTAGTTTGTTTCCACCACTTAGCTATTCTGAATAATGCTGCAATAAAGCTGGGTGTGCAACTATCTCCTTGAGACCCATTTTTTCAATTTTTTAATATATAGTCAGAAGTAGAATTACTAGATCATATGACAATTCTATTTTTAATTTCTTGAGAAGTTTCTATTTTGCCTCCATAATGATTGCATAATTTTACATTCTCCAAGGCAGTGCACAAGAGTTCTACTTCTATACATCTGTGCCAATACTTATAATTCATGTATGTTATTTTATTTTATTTTGGTAACAGCCATCCTAACAGGTGTGAGATTATGGCTCATTGAGGTTTTTTATTTGCATTCCCCTGATAATTAGTGATGTTGAGTATCTTTTTATAAGCTTTTGGCCATTTATGTATCTTCTTTTGAAAAATGTCTAATCAAGTCCTCTGCTCATTTATTAATCAAATATTTTTTGTTGTTGTTGAGTCATACAAGTTTTTTATTTTCATGAGTATTAACTCCTTACTAGATATATGGTTTTCAAATATGTTCCCCTAATCTTTTGGTTACCTTTTCACTCTAGATTGTTTCCTTTGCTATACAGAAGCTTTTAAGTTTGATGTAGTCACATTTGTCTATTTTTGCTTTTGTTGCCTGTTTTGTTTGTTTGTGTGTTTGTGTGTTTGTTTTGGTGTAATATCCTAGAAATCACTGCTAAACTCAATATCATAAGGCCTTACCTCTGTGTTTATTCCTAGGAGTTTTACAGTTTAAGGCCTTAAGTTTATGTATTTAATCCATTTTGAGTTAATTTTTGTATGTTGTGCAAAGTGCAGGCCCAATTTCTTTTTTTTTTATGTGTGTGTACATAGACCTTCAGTTTTTTCAACATCTTTTTTTTTTTTTTTTAAACGGTCGTTTTCTCATTTTTTGGCTTTCAAACTCATGTCAAAATCATTTGATTTTATATGTGACAGTTTATTTCTGTGCTTTTTATTTAGCTCCATTGGTCTGTATATTTTTCTATATACCAGTACAATACTGCTTTGATGATTATAGCTTTGTAATACCTTTTGAAATCTGAAAGCATCATATCTCCACGTTTATTTTCTTTCTCAAGATGGTTCTGGCTACTCTGGATCTTTTAATAATGCATATAAATTTCTGTATGATTTTTTTTCTATTTCTGCAAAACATGCTAATGGGATTTCGATTGGGACTGCAGTGAATCTGGAGATTGTTTTGGGTACTATAGATATTTCAAAAATATTAAGTATTTTAATTATGAGCATAATTTGTGTCTTCTTTAATTTCTTTAAGCAATGTTTTTCAGTTTTCAGAGTACAAGTCATTTTGTTCCCAGAGTAAATTTATTACAAAATATTTTATTTTTTTCATGCTATTGTAAATAAGAATGTTTCTTTAATACTTTTTTGTATTGTTCAATGTCGGTGTGTATAAACAAAAGATTTTGCCTATTTATTTTGTATTGTGCATTTCTACTGAATCTGTTTATTATTCTTAACAGGGATTATTGTGGATTCCTGAGAATTTTCTACATATGAAATCATGTCATCTATGAACAGAGGTAATTTTACTTCTTTCTTTACAGCTTGAATGCCTGCTATTTGTTTTGTTTCGATTTGACTTGTTTTCCTTATCACTCTGGTAATAACTTCCAGTACTGTTTTGAATAGAAGTGGCAAGAGAGGGTATCCTTGCTGATATGGCTCTGATGACTGGAGGAATACCAGGGTCCTTGGTCTCATGCCCATAGGATTAATGACACAGACACACATGGAGTGGTTTCAGGGAGCAAAAAGTTTAATAGGCAAGAAAGAAGGAAGAAATAAACAGCTCCCCCATACAGAGACAGAGAAAGGAGGGATTTTAACAAAGAGAAAACCCCGTGTGGGGCAGAAAAGTGGCTGCTTCTGTGAGGAGGCTGGAGGAGGTGGTGTCTGATTTGCATAGGGCTCAGGGGATTGGTTTGACCAGGTATCTCATTCACATGGCGGGTGAAAAAACTGGCTGTCACATCCTAGCCTTTTAATATGCAAATGCAGTTCACCATGATGTTCTAGACACATGGGGATATGTGGGGGTGGCCATGCGGCCAGGCCCATGTTGGGGCAAGGGCAAGAAGAAGGTGGTGGAAATCACCATCTTTAGGTGGACCCAGTTTCTAAGGGCTGGCATTTGCATGTTAAAGTTTGCCAGCCTGGCTCTAAGAGCCAGGGCTCTCCTGGTAGATAAGAAACATTTCTGGAGCTGCTTTAAAAGAAACAAAAACTTCCCAAGGACCCTTTTTCCTCTCTATCTGCCTAAAATAATTTCTTAATAACTCCTATAACATTTCCTTGTTCCCAATCTTACAGGAAAAAAAATTTTAGTTTGCTATAATTGAGTATAATGCTAGTTTCCTGCTCTTCATATATGACCTTAATTATACTCCCCTTATTCCCAGTTTGTTGAAAGTTTTTAACACAAAATGATGTCAAAGTTTCTCAAATGCTTTTTCTGCATGAATTGAAGTGATCATTTTTTTTCTTTATTCTGTTATTGCACTATATTACATTGAATTATTTTTACATGTTGAAACAACCTTGGTTTCCAGAATTAAATCTCGATTAGTCATGGTGGTATAATACTTTTTAATGTGCTGTTGAATTTGATTTGCCAATATTTTGTTGAGGTTTTTTTGCATCAATGTTTACAGTTTTCTTTTCCTGTGGTGTCTTTGTATGTCTTTATCAGAATAATGCTGTCCTTAAAATAAGCTTGAAAGCGTTACTTGCCGTTTATTTTTTAGAATATCTGTTTTTTAATTTTGTAGGGATTGGTCTTCGTATGTTGTCTAGGGTGGTCTTCCCAGCTTTTGTTTATCTGGGAAGTTTTAATATTGTTATTATTACTTCTTCATTTTGGCTGGTTATGATATTCTTCTTTTGTGGTGTTTTTCTCTTTTAGCACTTTAATTTTATCATCTCATACCCTTTTGACCTATGATGTTTTTTCTTAGCAACCCACTGATAAATCTCAGGAAAACTCTTGTAATAATACCATGGGATTTTCTTTTGTCCTGTTGCTTCAACTTTTTTTCTTTGTCTTTGATTTTGGCAATTTGGTTGTAATGGGTCTGTTTTTCCCTCTCTGGGTTCCATTCATTTGTAATGTTTTTAGCTTTCTGAATTTGTATGCCCCTTTTCTTCCTCAGATTTGGAAAGTTTCTATTTTTTTCTTAGCGAAACAAAAGACACAAACAAATCCCACATATTGAAAATGTTAAATAGACAATACCGCTTTTTTAACAAAATGGTTTCTTAGAATCATAACTGAAAAACACCAAAATATAATATGTACAATTTTATTTTGACAATAGCAGAATTAAAAAATGGGGTGGTATATGCTCTTGAAATAATGTCTTTGAAATAGTTACTCATAGTATTCTTTTTTGCTCTTGTAATGATAAATGCCTTTCCATTTGGTATACTAATGCTGCAAAGATGACAATTTGAAAATATAGCTAAAAATGTTTCAACATACAAAAACTTCATTTCTGAATAATTTTATTTAAACGTTTGCTGAGTTTTATTTCTCACACCTAAATTATAACATTAAAAATATGTATGCTAAAAGCTAAAGTCGTCTAATAAAATAAAAAGTATAGAAGAATAACCCTGAGGTGCTTTTAATTTTATTCAGCTTGATATGTATAGTCGAAAACATCTTAGCTTAAGAAAAATACAGCTCAACTTTCTAATTACTATTATATTAACTGAAAAATTCCCCAAAATCTTATTTCTCAGTATCTACACTAGGAAATGAAATAGTCTTGCATCCCTTAGAAAATAATTTGAAACCAATAAGCTTCCACATTTGCTGCTTTGGTAAGAAGTTAATTCTAGCTAATTTTTTAAGTAACAATAGAGGAATTACCAGAATTAGGAGAAATGCAATTTTAGTGCCAGCATTTCACTGTAGACCCCTGGGGAAAGAGTTACATCAATATCAAAAAAATTAATCAAAACTCTACTTTTGAATAACTGCAATTTCAAGTCCGTAACTTTTCTGAAAGTCTGTTGGACAGCAATACTAAACAGAAAAAAAAGTACAATAATTCCTAGATCAAGAGAATGGCTTAAAAGCAGTCAATTTTCTTAATATGTTATATTGTATTAATAAAATTAGCAATAAAAATAATCATTTGGGCTGGGCACGGTGGCTCACGCCCGTAATCCCAGCACTTTGGGAGGCTGAAGCAGGCAGATCACGAGGTCAGAGATCGAGACCATCTTGGCCAACATGGTGAAACCCCGTTGCTACTAAAATACAAAAAATTAGCCGAGCATGGTGGCGGGCGCCTTTAGTCCCAGCTACTCGGGAGGCTGAGGCAAGGGAATTGCTTGAACCCAGAAGGTGGAGATTGCAGTGAGCCGAGATTGTGCCACTGAACTCCAGAGTGACAACAGAGCAAAACTCTGTCTCAAATAAATAAATAATCATTTAATTACTATTGTTTTTTATCTAAGAATTTCAGAGATTATACTCATTAGTTAGCTAATGGAGTTACTATGGTACCATGTATTAAAATAACCAAGAAAATACGTAAACTATTAGGGGAAAGGTGAATGAAAATAAAGACTGAGTTTCTATTTGTATTTTTGATGCATTGATACATTAGGATATACAATTTTTTACAACGCAAGCACAAAATTTAAGTTATATAATACCCCTAAAATTAAATAAAAACATTTCTTTATAGATATATGTTATTTTTAGCAAGCAAATATTGCTTGCTTCAAATGAATTATAAAAATTAGAATGGTAACAACATTTATTATGTAAATTAATGTTGTTTTTCAGCTGAAATAAATATTAATGAAATAATTGTTAACTGACTTTTATATTTATATTTGATATTTTTTGGTTGCTCTTTTTGGAAATGAATTATTTTGCTATATTTTCAATTTTGCTACATTTTTTTATTGGGTTGTAGTTAGTTACATGGCCTATATGGAATTAAATTTAAGGATATCCAATACTTTTATATGATTATGTATAGCTAGGATATTGACTTTTTGAAGGATTCCCTTAAAGAAATAAACTATTGCAAGTATTTCATTTGCTGAAGCTTTCAAAGGAAATGTTCACACAATTAAAATCTCAAACTGTGTAATTCACCCCATAACATTTATATTCATATTAGGAAAATTAATGTCTACTTAAATGCGTCTAAAAAATTTATTGTTTTTGAGCCTATGCATTTAAGGAACATTTTAGGTAAAAAAGTTGACAATTTTTTCTGATAGTCATATAACTATTCCTAAAGACTAGTATTTGGATAGTTATCAAAAATGCTGTGCGTCACAGAATTATTTGTTGTTGAAAGACATTGAATTTTAAATATAAAAGAAAAGTTTCAGTTTAACAGATAGTAGCACCTAATGAACAGATCTTAGAATTAGGGCTAGAAATTATGGCACTTGTGAGAACACCATTATAATTAGAAGCCTCCTTTGAAAATGTGACTTTTTAATCATAATCACAAAATAATAAGTTCTGCAAGTAAATGACGGCTATACAAAGTAGGATACCTTTATAAATTTATTACTTTTGATCCAAAATATCCACTATTTCTAACTTATAGCAAGTCCTATTATATCTACTATGACTTTACTACTTTTTAAAGTGATAGGTATTTATATCTGCCATAAAATTACCTTTGCAAAACCTTTGTTATATTTGCCTTTTTCATTTACTTTAATATTCCTTTGCTTTATCAGGAATTTCGTCAGTCAATATTACATGAAAATAAGCACACATATACTTATCTATTTTTTGTGTTTCAATGGCCTTTTTTTTTTAGTCACATGTCAATTTTAAAGGTCATTTGCATACAGAGATGAAAAGCAGTCATTATCTATGATTACTTTTCATAGATATTACTCTTCATTGAATAACAAAGGTAACTTTTGCTTTCGATCACATTATAAGAAACTACCTACTAAGAATCATTGCGTGGAGTAGAACATAAAACAGAAAAAATCTGTAATATCAATCCTGTAATTAACTGCTTGCCTTTTTTTGTTTTGTTTTGTTTTGTTTTGTTTTGAGGAGTCTCACTCTTGTCCCCTAGGCTGGAGTGCAGTGGCACCATCTCAGCTCACTGCAACCTCCGCCTCCTGAATTCAAGTGATTCTCCTGCCTCAGCCTCCCGAGTAGCTGAGGTTACAGGCACCTGCCACCAAGCCCGGCTAATTTTTGTATTTTTAGAGAGATGGGGTTTCACCATGTTGACCAGGCTGGTCTTGAACTCCTGACCTCCGGTGATCAGCCCGCCTTGGCCTCCCAAAGTGCTGGGATTACAGGCATGAGCCACCGTGCCAGGCCAACTGTTTGCCTTTTAACCCACCTCATTCTGTCAGAATATAGTTACATTTAATCCTTATGATCAAGTATACAAATGTTAAAAAACTTCTGACGATCTGTGGGCCATTTCTAATCAGTGGAAATGTTTATGTGTAAATATATAATTAGCACACACATTGTATATGAGAGAGAGAGAGGAGAGAGAGACAGAGAGAGAGAGAGACAGAGAGAGAAAAGATACTTGGTGACAGAATGAGAGAAGCAACTACAATATAGAGAATAAACTGACATTTATTATTTTAATTGAGTTATATTGTTTCTGCCTGGATTTAAATCTAAACAACATAATTTATTAAACTACCAGGATGGGTTGTGTAAATAATTTGGAGAAATATCAAGTTAATGTTAGCCTATGATAATCTCTGCTGTTCTTTGCTGTCTTTCTCATTGTGTGGGCAAAGTGTAAATCACTAAGTAACACAGAGTCTATTGTGAAAATGATTGTGACTGACTAATAATGGGCTTTCTTCTTGGACTAGATTGCTGGAAGAGCAATCAGGATTGACCAATAGGGCTGTTTTAATGATAGACCGCGTTACATTGTTAAGAAAAAATTTTCCGGACAAAAAGGTTGCCCTGGTATTATTGTGATCTCAGAGAAACAGATCGGTAATTTACTTTACCAACAGAAAATCCTGAATATATTATATTTGACATAGAAGAAAAGCTTGGAGGCATCCCAAGAAATATATTTAGGCTATTTCTAGATCTTATTTTTGAATAAGGTATTTTTTTTTCTCTTATAACAAAATTTTGGTCTAAAACATAAGTATTCACTTATGTATATGATGTGTGGTTTGAATTGTGACTTTTTTCAGTTTGGAACATCCATACATAGAAAAATATCAGTAAAGAGTCTGCAGGACATGAAAAAACAGAAAAAAATTAGCCCAAGGCTTAAACCCTAGCAGCATGGCGTAATGTAACACCTTTGTATTTTATAGAAATGGGCCCCAAAGTAAATATTTAAAGTGATATCATTTTGATTCTTAAAATGTTTTAAAATATAGTAAATTTTGATCAGAAATTTTCCTTATTATCAAGAAATTTTTCTTAAAAATTTGAAGATGGCCTGTAATAGTGAAAATGTTTACTTCTTGTTTGACTATTTAATGATATCCTGTAAATTAATTGTATTTTTATCAATTATTTTCTTTTTTGACTTTAAAAAGTTATGTGGTATTACAAATATAAATAAGGATTTCCTCTAGAAAGGTTAAAACAAAGACTGTATTGATTTTTTACTTTTTTTCCTTTGGAGTTCTTGAAAATGTTTCATGATGCTACTGATTATTGGCTCTCAATCACCAAACTGTTAAAGAAACAATGATTATTGTCTTTGAAATACTATTTTAAGCAAACTACCTTTTTGGGCAATTTTCTTGTACTTGGGAAGAGAAGAAAAGTAATAATAAGAAAAAATAATTGATTACAGATTATTTTATATTAAAACTCTCTGTACACAATCCAAACTTAAAGATAATTAGCCATTCTTATTATGCTTCTTATAAGGAATGATGTGTATGTTTAATTTGACAAATGGCACTTTGAGATTTACTAAACACTTCTTTTATTTATGATAAAATTTAACTAAGAGCCACTTTTCTCATGTTTTCTGGGCATATAACAGTGACTGCAGTTTAAAGTCCCTACCATCATAAAGCTTGTATTTTAATGCAGGAAGACTAAAACTAAGCAAGCAAGAATTTATTTGATATTAAATTGAGGTAAATATTAAGTTTATGGGAAATGACAAGGGGAAAGGGAGAGCATAGGCAAGAAGGTTCAATTTTACATAAGGGTTTCTTCAAGGAGACCTCCCAAATTTTGACATTTGGCATTTGAGTTGGCATTTGAGTGAACTGAAGAAAGGAGCCAGGAGGATATGTTGGATAAGGGTATATCAGGATAAAAAACACAGTAGATGGTAAGGGCAAGACACAAGCCAGCTTGTTAGAAAGAAACTGCAGTTAGAAATATAGTTTGGAACTAAATAATTGATAAGTTTAAGATTTCAAAGCATGGCTTGATGACCCAATTGTTGATCAAATTGACAATTTTATGTTCTTCTTTAATGGGTTACATGATAATAAGTATCTAAGAAATGTGAATTGTATATCCGTATCCTTTTTAGGGTATTTTTACTTTTGTATGCTCAGCTCCTGAGACGAAGTCCTTGAGCAGAGTATGTTCTATGCACATTTTTGACCAATAGAACTAAAGTTGCTGGCAATAGAGTAACAATATCTGATAAATTCACAAGGAAAACAATCATTTACTTACAAGCTGTGGTACAATCTTAAGTTTTTCTGACTCAAAGGAGAAAAACAGAAATAATATTCCTCACTTGAGAGTCTAATTTTATAGGCAAGTCATTATCGAAATTTGCATTGAGACGGTGGGTCAATATACGAAAAGCCTCGTGGCTAAACTGAGACTTATTAAATCAAGATTTCTATGCTCGGATATATAAAGCCTAAATATTCTTCTGAATTTTCAAAAACTAGCTACAAATTCCAACAAGTCCTATAAGTGGCATGTTTTGAGAGATGTATTTTACAGTCAGATTTTGTTATTTTACCAGAATTTCTAATGAACCCTAAAATCAGTTGTTTTCAAACAGAGCCGTGTAATATTATCATCTATTTATATATAATCATGTAACAATTCCTAGGGCCCATCCCAGACCTACTGAATGATAACATCCAGATCTGGAGCCTGAAGAATGTATGTTGTGAAGGTTTATTAGTGATTTTGATGCCTGAGGTTTTAAAATTGTGGTACGGAAACTACATGCAAGCACACAATGCATTCCCACACATGTATTCCATTAAATTCCAGTTATCTGAAATGTACCATGATATGCACTAGCAAATCTACATGAAATTCTGAAGAAGATATATATCATCTGTGTTTGTTAACTAAGGTAGCCTAGGTTTCACTAACATATAATCTCAAAACTGTAGTAGTTTCAGCAATTGAAGTTAACTTCTTTTATAGGATGTTCCAGACAGGTGTTCATATCAAAGCAGTGTATCTCCTTCCCAGAGTTGTATGGGAATGCATAACTGGGCTTTCAAGCAAATCAAACACTTTGAAAAACTTTTGAGATCACCTCCTGAGGTTGAACCTTTTCATGGTATATGACCAACAGTTCTTCCTGCAGATATTTATCTAAAGGAATCTTCTTGCATAAAGAGCAGAAGATGTGCACAAGAGTTTTTATAGGGATAGTGGGGAAAACAGAAAAAACTGAAAACAATTCGGTGCCCATCAAGAGAAGTAGCTGAAAAGCTTGTGTTATATTCACTTCTGAATAGTATAAGGTACTAGAAACAACATTTATTTTGTTATATTCACTTCTGAATATTATAAAGCACTCTTTCAAAAAACACAATAATATGTTTGAACTTTATCAATATAATAGTAAATGAAGAACAGTTTTATTACATTGATAAGTACATTACATTAATTTGTATGTATACCTTTACACGATATTAAAACAACTGAAATAAAATATTAATTTAAAGCCTATGTAAATGGCATAAAATATTTTTTACAAAACAATAGAATTATGAAAATACAACTAAGGATGCTTTTTTTCAGAGAAGGCAGAGGAATGAGTTAAATGGTTAAATTAGGTTGGATGGTAATCAAGTCACCGTATTTATTGTATTATGCAATTGCATTAGCTAATTAAGTAGCTAATTACATAAAAAAAGTAGACCATGGCATAGCAATGGGAGTGTGTCATGAAAAAGGAATTGTAATTAAGCCATTTCTGGCAACCAACTTTCGAAAATATTGCATAAGAAAACTTTCAATGAAGAAAGTATAAGAAATGAATATATTTATGGATCAACAGAGAATAATAATTATATAGGCAATTATATATCATTACATTACATACTCTATATAAGTATAAAATATTTTTATGTATAATATATAATACATATAAAAGAAATATATACATATACAATCTATATAAAAATGCTTAATGTTGAAAACTTTATGGAGCTACATTGGATTGGCCAGTGTTGAGATAGAAAAAATCTTTCAATCTCTACAGCCTGCATAAAAGAAAAAGCCTTGGGTCTGAAATACTTCTTTTCTAAGAGACAAAGAGCTGCCTCTGCGGGGGTTATTGCCTAGCATGAGAATTTCTTTCCCTGTTTCAGACTCAGTGTGTACTTTGTTCTGCTTAAGCATGTGCTAAATGTCGTGTGCCACCTGGTCAATCCCACTACCATATCTGTTCACAGAGAAAGAGAATGGGGTCTTGCCTGCAGGACAAGAGGTATCATGTATACTATCTCCCTGTGTCCACTTCAGGGCCAGACCCACTGGCCATGGAGACCTATGCCCACTATAAAATCTGATCTTGCTCTGTCTCTTAGTGAGTAGAGCTGTTGATCTGTTTATCATCTGAGTAAATCGTGGACTTCTTGGCAACTTGATGCTGCAAAACCATGCAGTGTGATCGTATCCTGGGGCTGCTGTTTCTGGTGGTAGACAGGAAGTGTCACTTGTTCAACAGCTGGGATATGTTTATTTCAGTGGCATAATGTAACATAGATAAACTTCAGTTTTCCATTAGAGATAGGTCAATATATCATGCCAAAAACTTCAAAATAAAAAGGCATGTCATGCTATTTAAAAACATGAAATTGACACCAACAAAAATTGATAGATATAAAAATGGGTTTACATGGAGGTTCAGGAATTATAGTGAGGAACAGTATAACAATGGATGCGTTTTAAATTGTTATTTAATTTTTGAAAACATAGGAACGTGTATTACATAAAAATAATAAAAATAAAATAAAATTAGAAGTAAATTAACTCACTAAAACATTTTTCCTAAAAATTCCTAAGAATCTATTGATTTTTCTCTTGGTGCCATTTTAACCATATTTCGTTAGCTTTGCATCAATGATTAATGAATGAGGATTGTGAATGGCATGGAAAATGAATTGTTAAATCTCAACCAAAATTCTCATAGGGTTTTGTTTTTGTTGAAATATTTCTTGCTTAGAAGTTTTTAAAAAATCTAATAGGTTCATAGATTATTTTTTAACCTCCAAAATGGAAATAACAGTGGTACTGTATTTTACAAGAGTGTTGAGTATAAATTATTAGTGATAAACCTAGCACTCAATATTTTTACACATTTCTACTTCTCTTGACACTCTCCAGACTTTGAGTCTTGATTTTAAGAGCTTCAAGTTTCACAGAAATGGCATCCAAAGGAAGGGAATAAAAAGGAGTTGACATGTTTATGTCAAAATCAGTATAACCTCAAACAAAGAACATATCTAGGACTTCCCAGTGGCTGCTTTGCTTGTGATAGGATCCACTCCATTTTAAGCCAGCTCAAACAGTTCATGAACAAGCTCTCTGCAGTAGAAAATGCTTTCTCCTTTTACCAGCTGTGGCTACCCACTGACTTTTGCTTTATAAAAAAGGTTTAAGTCTGAAATAAAACATACAATTAGAAGTTCATATACACATAGTATTATTATTTCACTGCATGGACTTTCCACAAAATTGCACACTAAATGGCATCTTTTCTTGGTTCAATAAATATAAACATATGGGGGTTGGTTAATTACTAAAAGTGGTAATTAATTAACTGTATATATGGCTTTCTTTGTAGATTTCCATGTAACTCACAACTGGAATTTTAAGCCTGCACATTTATTAAACTTAACAGATTTCTAAATACTGCTGATTTTCTCCTCACTGTTCTTTTGCAAAGAATAAGCTGTATACAACATGAACATAAATCTGATTTATTTTTATAGGAGCTCTGACTAGAATTCTAGAGTTGTTTTAGTTAACTTTATGCCAGGATTTCCAATAAAAATTCCTCTCTAATGTATTTGCTATTTGGTCATTACATTCATTTGGATAAAAATGATTTAAATTAAATGTGCTTCTTAATAAAGAGAAGTTTCAGTGATTTTACTTACTAACATTGAAGATTTTCATAAACTTAAATCAGAGTATTTCTAAGCTACCATTAGAGGAAAAATATTGCATTTAACAAGCAGGTATCTACCATAATGGGCTCCGACTGCTTTGAATAAAAATGAAATAAAAATGCCCTAAATATTCAGTAAAATGAAATCACAGTATAATGTATATGCTGTCAAACCTTTTGAACTAATAGAACACCAGAAAAAGTGAGAAAGATTAAAGTAAATTTTAAAATATGCTTTTCAGTCTAGGGCATAGGCAGGGAGCAGTGGCTTTCAGAAACCCAAACGCTTGTTTTTGTGGCTCTTATTCAGACATATCGCAGGTTTTACTAAATAAAAAATGGCACCTTTTTTGAATCCCATTTACTCTTGTCTCCCCTAGTAGGGAAGATTTTACTGGTTAAGTGAACATCCTGAATATTCCTACCATGACAGAACTCATGCCAGCTTGTGCTCAGACCCTAGGGGATGCTGCCCAGAGCCAAGCTCGCATTCATGAAAAGCTTTGCTATGTGGTAAGCTTATTTTTTCTTGTCTGTTCTATGTGAAAATGATCCAAAAATCTAGACTTGTATTGTCTGCTTACACATGGCTAGCCATGATATCACTAATGTTTGCTGAAACTCGTTGATAGGGTCACTCCATCAAAATTAACATGGATGGTTTGGGCAGCTTTCGGTTTGATCCATATCCATCATGATGTCAAGTAAAACTGAAACATTTATATTTGCCACTCTCTCACATGAAATGTTAAGCTACAGATATTTTAATGGAAACTGGGTTGTTTAATTAATCTTAATCATTTTAGTAAATTAATTCTTGATTGTAACATTCTAATAGCTTGACCCCTTATTATTCAAATATTCCCCTCTGTCAAACTTCAGCTTATTGTCTTCTTCTCCACTACTCAAAAGAATAAATTCCAACCCTCCATTTGAGCATTCAGCACAGCCTGTCTTGCATCACTTGTTGTTTTCCTACCTCTTATTATCTAATGATGTAATATTGAACTTTGAAACCAGTTATGTCTTTCTCTACAGCTAAATAGTTGTGTAACACAGAGTAAGCAGTGAAAGGCTTAAAATCTTTTCTACTAATATACATAAACAATTAAAAGGATACCTTTGAAACATTTTTTTGTAATGGCTGAAGGGAAAATTTTAATGGATGAAAGTGAGGGAAAGTAATAAAGACAGAATTTGTTTTACTTACCTTGACATTTGCCTTCCTATCTGTTCTCTCAGCTCATCTCAATTCAAGCTCTTCATTGTAGCTCTTGTTCTAAAATACAAATTGTATTATGCCTCTTCTTTGTTTAAAACTTTTCAATAGTTTGCCTTTAGTGCAGAATAAATTTGAATTTTTGAGTAGCTGTCTTCTTACCTCATCAAATGCTATATCATTAAAGCAAACCACAGTCTAAATTTTGTCATACATACAATGCGTATTAGAAAAATATTCCTTAGAAAGCAGGGATAAACAGTCTGTAAACTTGTCCACTAAACTTGTTTTTCATGCACTATTGTCACTTTGTGTGGAAAGTTCAGCCAAGATAGATAAGGCAGCATTCCATAAGCTGGGTCCTATAGTCTTATAGTTGGGGTCAGGAAACAATTTCTCCAAACAAATAGCAAGAAACAATGCTGATGATTAAGCTCTGATTTTGGTAGTAAAAAGTCATATCTGATATTTATCATACTAATAGGTAAACCTTCATATATTGACGGAATATGGCTAGCTGAAGGGAGGACAGCGATGCCTCTCAAGTGTGTACTTCCTGAAATAATGCCAATTGACTGTCCCTATGTTAAAGATTTTCTATAAGGGCCACTTATTTCCTTAGATTTGAATCTCAAGTTACTAAGATATGCATAATGCCATACTTTATATGGTGAGGTATGTAAAATTATAGACATCTAAAAATGCTTTTGAATTATTTTCTGTTTTGTTAAATTTTATTCATAAAACTATAACATGCTTTACATTATGCATTCAAAACTAAGAAGAGTATTACTTTAAAAACAAAAGTCCTACTCTTTCACAATTACCCCAGTTTCTTGCTGTTAGTTCACAGGCTTAAAAAACTGGATGCCAAAGACAAGAGAATAAACAGGAAAAAAAAAGGTAAATTGTCAAAAATAAGAGCATTGCATGAAACAAAATAATTTAGAAGGTTTGGAAGACAGAACATACAGGAGAAAATCATTAGCCATACTTTTAGGACCAAGGCTGAAAAGCAATGGGTTTTGAAGCAATGGGATTAATGAAAACAAAACCAAAACGTATGATTTAATTTCAACATCTGTTTTTTGAAAAATCAATATGGACATGTTTTGGTACTATGAAGATTGTCAAGGTATTCAAGATTGGCCATGATAAGATTAATCTTTACGATAGCATATTCTTGCTAATGTTTTGGAGAAATTTAAGTATTATGAATATAATCTCCTATTATAAAATAATTTCTTCATTGGTAAAAATGCTAGACAATAATTATCTTTGAGAAATTGTATAGCTTTGGTAATTATTTTAAAAACTGATACATAGTTGTACAGATTTTGAGGGTACATGTGAGATTTTGATACATGCATGCAGATAATTACAATCAGGGTAATTAAGATATCTACCACTTCAAACATCTATTATTTCTTTTCATTGGAAACATTCCAAAACATCTATTCTAGATATTTTGAAACATACAATAAAATTTTGATAACTATAGCAGTCTTACTGTCCTATTGAACACCAGAACTTATCCTTTCTATCCAACTGTAGTTTTGTACCCATTAACCAATGTCTTTTCATTCTATCCCTTTCCCTACCCTACTTTGGTGGCCACCATTCTACTCACTGCTACTCACTGAGATCAAAATTTTTAACTCATACATATGAGTAAAAACATTCAATATTTGTCTTTCTGTGCCTGGCTTATTTCACTGAATGTTCCATAGATCCATCTATGTTGCTGCAAATGATAGAATTTCAATCTTTTCTATGGGTGAATAATATTCCATCATGTATTTCTACATTTTCATTATGCATTAATTTGTTGTTGGACACTTAGGTTAATTTCATATCTTGGCTATTGTAAATAGTACTTCAAAAGACATAGAAGTGCAGATATCTGCTTAATAAATTGATTCCCCTTACCCCCTTTTTTTTTTCTTGGATATATAGCCAGCAGTGGAATTGCTGGATCACATAGTAGTTCTATTTTTAGCTTTTTCAGAAAACTCTATACTGTTTCCACAGTAGCCGTACTAATTTACATTCCTGCAAACAGTGTACCAGCGCTCCCCTTTCTCCACATCCTCATCAACATCTGTTATTTTCGGTCTTTTTGATAATAGTCATTCTAACGGGAGTGAAATAATATCTCATTGTGGTTTTGATGTTCACTGATGATTAGTGATGTTGAACATTTTTTTCATACACCTATTGGCCATTTGTATGTCTTCTTTTGAGAAATATCTTTTTAGGTGTCTTGCCCATTAAAAAAATCAGATTACCATTATTATTATTTTTGCTATTTTGTTGTTTGAGTTCCTTATTATTAGGGAAAATATATGTAGATATAAGTCATGAAATTGGGTGGTTCTTCACTTGTAATGGCTCAGTAAAGAGTCTTTCACAGGAATCTATTACTATGAGAGATAGAAAGGTCAACAATGTGGTCTTACATGTACGCATTAACCGTCCTTATCTATATGTGGGTTCCTAGAACTTTTTATTCCCATTGGACATTTTGGGTAATTTTATGCAAATGCACATTCCTATAAAATGAAAATGATCTATTAATATGATTTTGTAAAAAGCAGTTTCAAAGCAATTATGTTACCATGATCTTATTTAATCCCCAGCCTAACTTGCTAAAGCCAAAAGATATTAACAATTTAATTGAATCAACATAACTCTGAATACAATAATAGGATGAGAATTATGACTATTTATTAACTCAATTACCTGATATGAGGAGTAGGGAGGTGAAGGCAGTGATTAAAGCACCCCAAAAATATCACCATGCAAAACCTATTTTCTCTTTAAATTATAAGCCTCTCTTACTTATATTTCTGAGATTGTATTTTGTTTGTTTTAAAAAGCCTGCTGATAAGCTTTCAAGCCCTTGTCCCTAGAGTAGTGAGCCAATCAGGCTCAATATTCTCATCCCTTCTCTA
This sequence comes from Homo sapiens, assembly GCF_000001405.40. Classification (NCBI taxonomy): domain Eukaryota; kingdom Metazoa; phylum Chordata; class Mammalia; order Primates; family Hominidae; genus Homo; species Homo sapiens. The sequence continues at coordinate 43,170,163 of NC_000014.9, read as the reverse complement.
TTTTATCAAAGCCAAAAAGCAACACAAGAATCCCTGGAGAACAGCCCCAGTTATGAAAGCCAGCCTAGTTGTATAGCTGAGAGGAAACCCGTAGGGTCCTGTGCAAAATTTTTTACACAGAATACATTTTCACCACCCACAAATAGCTTGTTTTTTATTAGGCTATTTTTATGGCTTTGTTTCTTGCTGCTTTAAACATCAATATGTTGAACTGAGCCATTGACACTGCTTTAGAGAATACTGCACGCTATGGGAACTGAAGCTCTGAGAATGTATTACCTTTCTAGCATGTTTAGTAATTACTAATTTCTGAGATTTTGTTTCAGTGTTTCATTTTCAATATGATTTTCAGTTTTCAAAAATATAAGTCATGTTTTTATGTTTAGATGATGAAATGACTATTTTAATATTCAGATATTAAAATAACTAGGACTTATCATGTATAGAATTGTATACCATTTACTACCATAAATGTATTGCTTACATAGAAAGGCCCTTTTAGGTTAAATTTATGACTTCGAAGGCAGAGTATTTTAGTAAGATCCAGGTTCAGGTACCTCCTCTAAAAATTTTTAAAATAATTCTGGAAAAATTAAGTAAGTTTTCTATGTTTTAGTGTCCTTATTTACCGTGTTAAGCATTATTACTAGCATACTACATTTTCCAATAGACTAACAATTCAATGGGATCTGAGTTTACCCCCAAAACATAAACTCTGTGCAAATATGGTATTATCAGATGCATTTTCCACCCAATTTATCTTCTAAAAATAAATTTCTCTATAAACAGGACAAGCAGTAGTATTGGTCACTTGGCAAATACATCAATCCTTGCTTCTCTTTAAGTAAAATGAATGCAATAAAGTTGTAACCTTTTAAACTCCTAAAATAATGTTTAAATGTTACTAATTTGTAGGCAAGCGTAAAACTTGAATAGCTAATATGTGGGACAGAGTATTAAAAATTCCAGTATAATTTTTTAAAGAAAATGAACAAAAATATTTATATAATTAAAAGGCAGGGGCCTAACAAATCCATGATCTCAAATCCTTTTTTCCCCCAAGAAAAGTAGCTAATGCTTTTGCATTCAAAAGTTGATTATTGCTCTACGTGTACTAGGAAGTGCTTAACTTGTTTTGACTTTGTGTGTGTGTGTGTATATCTTCTAGAACAAGAAATACTTTCTAGTTTCTATATTTGCTTATTGTTGTGATTTATGATTTATAAGGAATCAGGACTGCTCCAAGTAATTTTTTAAGTTTCTGTTAAAGGGTAGTGCATGTATAAAAAAGCACATGTGCCAATAACTATAGTTTACTTTTGATTAAATATATGTCATACTTAACTACTTAACTACATCTATAAAGTGGTTATTTTAGTGTCAAAAAATGTGAAGGTTTTGAGATATTACCCTACTCTCAAGCTAACAAGATATTACCCTACTCTCAAGCTGTCACTGTTTCATGGATGGTGGCAGAAGTCGTGAGACTCTTAAAGCAAAAACAAAGGAACATTTATTGCTCACAACAATAGCAGTACAATATGATCATTTCCCATGTTTCCTGAGCTTTGATTCCCACATGGTCATGTCACAAGGGCTCAGTGACATTTACACATGCAGCAAGTTGTGAACTAGGTAAACCAGTCTTCCATAAAAGGGGTTACAGATTAACCTACTCAAACTTTTTCCTGGAGAGAAGCATTATCTTTATTGTACCAGTCAGGAAACCAATCTTCTCCCAGCCCCTAATGGAGCTATTCCTTTATCTTCCAAGGTCACTTCAATATTAATATTTTAGAAAAGATAGTCTCTGAAAAGGCAGCTAGTACCTGTGCCCTTAAGGTATACAAAAATGTAATAGATCTGTAGAGAATTGTCTCACAAGATGTTATATATTAATAACATTTTTCCAACTGAACACACCTATGTAACTGACAGTCAAGAAGAGAACATTAGCAGCAATCTTGAAGTTCCTCTAATTTCCCCTACGATATACCCCTCTTCTGCCAAGTATAACTACTATTCTGAAACCTAAGTAAGTTTTGCATATTTTTTTCCATTTACAATAAATGAATACACACACACACACAGTGTGTACTCTCATGCCTGGCTTTTTACATTCAAATTGTATTCATAAGATTCATTCATGTTGATGCATGTAGTTATAGATGTTGATTTTCATTACTGTATAAATGTTATCGAGTGAATATTATACCTCTAACTTTCAATGAATATTTTAGTAGTTTTTTAACTTTTGGCTCTTATGAACATAGAAGTAGTTTTATATCAAACAGAGATAATTTGACTGCTGAATATCTAATCACTACACAAGAAAACAAAATAACTGAGGGCAAGAAATATGAACAGCAAACACTATGGCTTTACTTTTGAGAACAACAAATAAATGATATAATATTATCTGTATTCTTTAATTTTAGCAGATCTTCTGATAAAAATGATTATTTCAGCCTATACCTAAGAGCTGCTAACCAAACATATCCCTAACTTATGCTGGGATATTATTTTTTTCCTTTAAGCAAACATGTGCAACTGCTAGGAGAGAGAATCATTTCTGTCCACTCTGTGTGATAAGACTATGGTGACTTAAGTATTTGCCACAGTATAATGTTATTAACACCTGTACTACACCTATGATAAGGACATGTGATGACAATATATGCTTATTGATATCTTGTTTGTCACCAATACTATTAATTAAAATTCCTTAGATTTAAATTATATCAACAGAATCAAAACCTTCATGAGAACATCACGGTATATACTGCAGAAACTGTGATGTCTTAAATGTGCACTTTTCAGGATGTATCAAAGTATAATTTTTGAATCCCTGATGGTCACAATGGATTCCTCTAAAGTTTTGTTTTGTTTTGTTTTTACATAAGCAAATACCATTTATATAGTAAAACATAGAATGTGGAAGTTTCTATCAAAACATCCTGCTATAAATACTAGAAGAAATGTATATACCCTGTAAAACAATGTCCATAAATCTTCTACAATCTTAGACACCAGAATCACGCCAATAATCCAATTCAGTTAGCGAAAATTGGTTCAGATATGTTTCTTTCAAAATATCTGGAATGGTTCTTTAAAATAGGGATTTCATTAAACAGTAAAAGTGATTGGCTTCAATGTTACCTTAAATTTCTAAACTAATATAGTCTGTACTCCAGGTCTTGATAGATCCTCCCAATGAGTACCTCTGCTAAGATAATTTTCTTGCAGTTATAAGAATTGGTTAATCATAGAGTTTTTGGTACCATTGTCTATGTACCCAGTGGGGACCCTTCTTATTCTAGCCTTGTACATTGTGGGCCTGACTTGTGTTTATTCTAACCTCTACCTATTCTTTCATTCATGGCTTGCAGGTAGATCAATTTACATCACCATCTGTTCCACAACATTATGATAATTTTATAATTATGTTTCTTACTAATCTGTTACATTTTTAACAACGTCAGAATATATGTCAGTGTTTCTCTAGGGGACTGGGTGAGAAAAGAAACATTAAAACCATAAAATTTATCATCTGAAATTTTCTAGTGTTGAAGTAAGATTGACAATTTATAAAAAATATAATCTTTCTCCTAATATCATAAAAGTTGAAAAAATATAAATTTAATCCTTGTAAGAGAAGGTTTAGAAAATGAAACCAAGTGGCTTATTTCTAATCAATCATTCAACACAGACTTAAGGAGACTCTGCTTTTGGTTAGTTATTGTGGTAAGTGCTGGGAATAAACATAAATTTGTCATCATACATAACCCCAAACCTTCACAGCTCAGAGGAATAGAAACTAACATTTGCATAGTTAATAACATTCTACTCATACGTTCATGTAAATAGACTCAATTCATACCAATAGCAAACTGAGGAATTGCTACAGCTTTCATTTAATTAATGAGGAAATGGAGACTGAGAAATAAATGTCATAAACAAATTCACACACGTAGTAAATAAGAGACTTAGTAATGACTCAAACTTCCTTCTCTTGTTGAAAATTCTATTGTTTTGCCTCTAAAATAAATAAATAAATAATAACAAATGGATGGCTAGAAAAAAAAACGATGGTTTGATCTGCCTTTTAGATAGTGGGGGTCTCTTCTTGTCCTCAGAAAACTTGGTCTACACTGCCATTTCTTGTTATTATTATTGATATTGTGTTTTTTTTTTCTTTTTTATTCCTATTGCTATATCTGGCAATGGGCTACAAGGACTTTGGGAAATGTGTAGGAGGTGTCCTGAGTACAATCATGCCTTAGAGATACTGTGAGTTTGGTTTTAGAACGCTGCCATAAACCGGCTGTTGAAATAAAGTGAGTCATGCAAAACTTCTGTTTTCCCAGTACAAATAAAGTTATGTTTACAGTACCTGTAGTCTGTTAAGTGTACAGTAAGATTATGTCTGAAAAACAATATACATAACTTAATTAAAAATGCTTTATTCTTTAAAAAAACTAAAGACCATCTGAACCTTCAGTGAGTGATAATATTTTTGCGAATGAAGGGTCTTGTCTCAATATTGATGTCTACTAACAGATCAGGGTGGTGGTTGCTGAAGATCGAGCTGGTGGTGGCAATTTCTTAAAATAAGAGAGCAAGAAAGTGTGCTGTCTCGATTGACTCGTTCTTTCACGAAACATTTTACTGTTGCATGAGATGCTGTTTCATAGCATTTTTACCCACAATAGAACTTCTTTCAAAATTGGAGTCAATTCTCTCAAACCCTGCTGATGTTTTATAAACTAAGTTTATTTAATATTCTAAATTCTTTGTTGTCATTTCAACAATATTTCCAACATCTTCACCAGAAGTAGATTCCATCTCAATAAACTATTTTCTTTGTTCGTCCATAAGAAGCAATTCTTCATCTGTTCAAGTTTTATCATGAGATTACAGCTAGTTATATCGTAAGGCTCCACTTCTGATTCTGGTTCTCTTACTACTTTCACCACCTATGCAGTTACTTCCTCCACTGAAGTCTTGAACCCCTCAAAGTCATCCATGAGGGTTGGAATCAACTTCTTCCAAAGTAGCGTTAGTGTTGCTATTTTGACCTGCTCCCATGAATCGTGAATGTTATTAATGGCATCTGCAATGGTGAATTCTTTCCAAAAGGCTTTCAGTTTACTCTTCTAAGATCTATCAGAGGAATCATTACCTATGTGGCTAAAGACTTAGAAAATGTATTTCATAAACAATAAGACTTAAAAGTTGAAACTTTCATGGGCTGCAGAATGAATGCTGTGTTAGCAGGCATGAAAACTATGGGAGGCCGAGGAGGGCAGATCACGAGGTCAGAAGTATGAGACTAGCCTGACCAACATGGTAAAACCCCGTCTGTATGAAAAATACAAAAATTGGCGGGGCATGTTGGTGCGCGTTTGTAATCCCAGCTACTCAGGAGGCCGAAGCAGGAGAATCGCTTGAACCCAGGATGGGGAGGTTGCAGTGAGCCAACATCCTGCCATTGCACTCCAGTCTGGGTGAGAGCGGGAGACTCCGTCTCAAAACAACAACAACAAAAATGGACAAGACTATATTTTCTAGTTAATTGCTGAAAAGAAGTTTTAATTTGCATTCACATTTTCAAAAAACACAAATCATGATGTGGTTTTAGTTCAGAATATAGATCTGGTACTGATCTGTAATTTGTGCTATGCAAAATAAAAACATGAGGAAGCAAAGGGGGCTGGGTCAAAATGTCAAAATATTTGACAATTAAATACGAATAATTTTTCTCACCTAATGATGGGAAATGATAGGTGCATTATTAGTGTACCTTTTTCCATCCTTCCCCCATCTGACTTTCATTCCATACCCCAAGGTACCGTTCAAAGCTGCAAAACTAGACATTCAAAATCTATGTTCTGAGGCACACAGAAAAGAGTCTTTGTGGGAGACACATTTCAGAAGTTCTAGGGGCATTCTTGAAGATCCAACCTTAATACTTTAGTGCCTCTTCAGAATCATAAGTTGTAAAGTTTCTGTTGCTAGAAAATTTTCAAAAAAAAGTATATTTTCTTCAATCTGCTCTTTTCTGCACTAAGGAGATTTATACTGAACTTTGCTTTTAAAATAGTAGGATGGGAGTATTAGTGGAATGGAAGGATGAAATAAGCATGAGGCTATTAATTAGTCATGAATACATTCCATTAACTGACTTCGCCTTTAAATGGCTTGCTTGTCAAGACTACCTCTGACATAATTCTGCTGACAATTAGTAATCAAAAATAATCTGAAAGCTGTAAGTATTCTCTTGTTATATCATAGACATGATAGGAATTTTCAATTACAAACTAACCAGGAGAATAAACTGAGAAACTAGGATAGAGAAAAAATATATATTTAAAGAAGATAAGAGAACATCTGTAACAAGGAAGATGGTTAGAGTGTCCTAGATATTTGAAAGATCAATTTGAAAGTACTGAAACCAACTAGAGTAGTAAAAAAGTAAAATGAAATTCATTTCATGATTCTGCCCAGATCTCATCTGATACAAATTTCTATTTAGAATTTAACCTTATTAACAGTATGAATAAGCTCTGCGATTATAATCACATCTGACACAGTAATATTTTTTAAAAATTAAAGTCGATGCATATTTCAAAGACAATATAAGAGAGTAGATTTATTCATAATATAAATGCCGTTGTTTGGAGGTCATTAACATAGGAAGATTTAAGTATATTTTAACCTTTGTATCAAAAGCAAGTGAGAAACTTGCTACATTACAAAACAAGTTATGTAGCTAGATATTGGGTTGAATCTTTTGATATTTTAAGAAACTATCCACACAGATCAGAGAGTTGATAGACGTATTAAAACATAGTGATGAATTATCTGGGAGATCAGTCTCTGACAAACTTCAAAATACCAAATCTGATGAGTAATGTGGAAATTAATTTATCTAAGCAATGTGCTACACACAAACCTTACTGTGTCTTCAGGGCTGAGTTTAAGTGTAGGCTTTTGCATGTTTGTTATGATTTGAAATATATTACTAAATTCTAACTTCGTTTTTCCATTTATTCATTAATTCTTTCAGAAAACACTTATTGTTTAATTTCCAATTACTAATGATGTTTCTCATAAAGATGGCTTTTTTCCCCCAACTTTCGTTGAGAACAAAGAAAGCTGAAAATATTACATTTCTAATCCTAACAATAAGAAAAAGGTATATAAAATTAAAACAATCACTTCTATTAAAGCCATAATAAAGTTAAGATTACACTGTAATCAGCTACTTTTAAATTGAAGGACAGACAGATGCCACCAAGTAGAGGTGGATTGCAAGCACTAGATTACACAGCATAGTTAAGAAGATTTTGGCTAAAATTTTTTAAGCCACTATTCAGATAGTTTGAGTTACTGTAAGGATATAGCATCCCTGGGAGGTGCAAAATTAAGGCAAGTTTCCCCCTGATCCCCATACTTGCAGGCTCTTCTCCACAGATTCCACTGTCTGCTTCTAAGAAGGATTGATGGCAAGAGGAAAAATGGAAAAATTCTCCTAAGATTAGAATTGGGTAGGGGAGCAGTCACCACTATGGGAAGGGCAAAAAAATCCTACTCAGAATATTATGACCTGAAGAAAAAGAAGGCTTAATCTTGATAAAAGGCAGCAAATACTAATGTCCTAACTGCATAGGTAAAGAACCATTTGCAGCCTGGAAAAAAAAATACTAAAAAATATAAAAAAATTACAACATCTGAGGAAAGGGCAGGAAAACATACTGGGTGCAGACTATGAGAAATGTCCTAATGCTGCTAAAGGAGCGGGATCACTGAGAAAGTGGCACACCAAAGGTCTGACAATCCAGGGTCTGCTTACATCAACAGAAGATACAAGGCATTCCCCTACCCCCAATACACATTAGCAAACCTTGAATTTATTATTTTGCTGTAACAATACCAGAGACTGGGTGACTTAAACAATGAAAATTTATTTTCTTGTATTTCTGGAGGCTAGATGTCCAAGATCAAGGTATTAGAAGGTTTCTCCTGGGACCTCTCTCCTTGGCTTGCAGATAGCTGCCTTCTCTCTGTGTCCTCATATGTTCTTTCCTTTTTTTGCATGCATTCTTGGTGTCTTTTTGGATGTCTAAATTTTCTCTTCTTATAAATACACCAGTTATATTGGATTATGGCCCATTCTAACATCTTAAATTGAACTTAGTTGCCTGTTTAAAGGCCTTTTCTCCAAATACAGTCACATTCTTAGTCCTGGGTGTTAGGATATCAACGTATGAATTTAGTGGGGAGATACAATTCAACCCATGAAATACTCAGAAACTAGAGAAGTAAAACAGTAAAGCAATCTACCATTGAGGAAGGGGCAAGAGGTTGAAAGGAAACCTTCTGTGAGATATAGACAAATAAGAAGTCAAAAGCTGAGATGGAAACAGGAATTGAAAAAATATCTCCAGCAACCCAGCCCATACACGAAGTGAAAGTTAACATTAGAGAAATTTTAAGTTAATAGTAAATGCAAAGAAGGTAACCATAGCTACAACACCTAAATTCAACGCACTACTGGGTTGAAATAACTCAGCACTTTCTCATACACATTAAAGTCCTGGCAAAGAAGTGGCATGCCAGTTTACCACTGTAAATAATATTACTTAATTATCGACTTTCCTACATACAATGTTACAAAATCAGATAAAGACTGTAAGGTCTAAAAATATAAAATCACACACACACACACACACACACACACACACACACACACATATTGCAAAGAATTAATTTATGTATACTGTTAGATTGGGCCTCAGTTCCTCATGACTAATTGTCCATTCCTTGGACTAACTCTCCATTCCTTGCTCTGTAGACCACTTCACAGAGCATCTCACAACATAATATCTTGACTCATCAGAGTAAACAAGAGAGAGTGTATGAGAGAGAGAGAGACCTAGCAAGATCAAGTCACATCCTGTTACATTCTAATCTCAGAAGTGAAGCCCTATCACCTTTATCATATTCTGTTCATTAAAGCCAGGCATTAATTTCACCCCAAATTCAAGGAGAGGAGGTTACACAAGGCCATAAATACCAGGAGGTGGGGATCAAAAAAGGTCAGCCTAGGAAGCTATCTACCACAGATATAATATTTATTCTGTATATAATTTTCAAACAATAGAAGAGAAGAGAATATATCCAAATGTTTGATGAAGCTAGGGATACTCTGGTATTAATAAAAGACAATCATTTCAGAAAACAAAAACACTAAATTAAGACAAATATCTTTCATGATTACAGACACAATCTTCCTCAATTATATAAAGCAATTCAAATTAACCAATATTTAAAAGGGTAACTCATCAAAAATAAGGAGGATTTATTTGGGGAATGCAAGATATTTGACATTCAAAAATTGATCACTGAGATGCGTCATTTTTTAAAAAAGAAAAGGATATGATAATGTTTAGTAGTCATATAAAGCATTTGGCAAAATTCAGTATCTATTAATGATTATAAAAAAAGATAATTTAGGAATCCAAATAAAATACTTCAACCTGGTAATGGACATCTATGAAATACTAAACTACATTTATAACCACACTTTTCAGTGAAAAGCACAATCCATATGCATACACAAAATGATAAATTGGACTTAATTAAAATTACAAATTGCTGCAAAAAATAAAAAAAGACTGCTAAGTTTTTGCAGTGATTGATATGTTAACTAGTATGACTTGGTTATTACACATTGTATTCATAAATAATAATACCACTTAGTACCCCATATATTATACAATTATTAATTGTCAATTTAAAATTTAAAAAACAAGAAAAGGGGCACAGACTAGAGAAAAATAATTGTAATGCAAATTCCTGAGCAAAGTCCTATAGAAGTTTCAACTTCTTACTCTCCCCTTTCAAATGGTGAGATTGATGGAAGTTGAAATATTTTCACTAATTTAAATATAGCTTATGTCTAAAACATGCAGTCTTAAAAGGACTGGTAGATTATGGTTGGCAGAAATTGAAAGTCACTGTTCTGAATTACAATTCTCTTCACTTGAGATGTGTGAATCCATTTTGGCCTTTAGTACATGAGAACAATTCCAGACATTTAAAGAGAATATCTTAAGAAAAAAAGAATGAAAAGATAAAGTGATGCAATGGAAAATCCAAGTTATTTGTTTCTGATGTTTGATAGACATCCTTTTTTATAATCTTACTCAGATGTAGTATGCTGTTCCATATGTTACTCAAATGTATGCTTTAGAGTCTAGATTTGTAGGACTGGAACTTTCATCTCATATCTGCTAAAAAATTCTTCTCAAGGGTTTATATATCTGATAGTCAAATCTAACTGATTTCTATTTGCTCTTGAATTAACACTCTCTAGAGTGCCCTGTATTTGCTTCTTTTCCTACACTTGAACATCTACCAAATTAGGATAAATCTTTTCCTTGATCCTGTCTCCTACTACTAATAAGCATAGGCGCTAGGTATATGGAGTTAAGTTTTTAATAATAACAATAACAGTGAGTGGATATATATCATCAATATAAACTATAATTCATAATGAAATGTCTTTTTTCTTAACAATGCCCTCATCTACTGCTATAGTTTGGGTCTTTGTTCCCCAAAACTCACGTTGAAATTTGATCAACAATGTTGGTGTTTGAGTGCCAGGTGTTTGGGTCATGGGGTCAGTTCCGTCATGAATAGATTAATGGCCTCCCTAGGTGTGGGTGAGTGAGTTCTTGCTCTATTATTTCCCTCCAGAGCTGATTGATAAAAATAGCTGATTGTTAAAAACCTTCTTTCCCTTGCTTCCTTTCTCACCATGGGATCTCTCGTCACTGGCTCCCCTTCACATTTTGCCATGATTGGAAGTAGCATGAGGACCTCGTCAGAAGCAGATGGTAGTGCCCTGCTTCTTGGACAGCCTGCAGAACTGTTAGTGAGGAAGGGTCTTTTCTTTATAAACTATCTAGTGTCAGGTATTCCTTTATGGCAACACAACGGACTATGACACTTGCATCTGCCGTCTGGGTTTCCAGGTTCCTGACTAATCTATGTGTTTTATTTTTCTCTTTCTTCCTCCTTTCTCCCCTTCTTCCAAATTTCTACTTATTGTGATTTTCTTTTCTTTCTTTTTTTAAAAAAGTTATGTCTTGTCAGTCCCACTTTATTTTTTTTAATTTTTATTTTAAGTTCAAGGGTACAAGTGCAAGTTTGTTGCATATGTAAACTTGTATTGGGGGTTTGTTGTACAGATTATTTCATCAACCAGAGATTAAGCCTAGGACTCATTAGTTGTTTTTTCTGATCCTCTCCCTCCCCCAACCTCCACCCTTTGAAAGGCCCTAGTGTTTGCTGTTCCCCTCTATGTGTCCATGCGTTTTCATCATTTACCTCCCACTTATAAGTGAGAACATGTGGTATTTAGTTTTCTGCTCCTGTATTGGTTTGCTAAGCATAATGGCCTCCAACTCCATCCATGTTCCTGCAAAGGACATGATCTTGTTCTTTTTTATGGCTGCATAGCCTTCCATGGTGTATATGAACCATAGTTTCACATTTTTTTTTAACAGATGACTTCCACTACTTTGATTTTTCTATTGTTTAAATACCCCAGTCAATTAAACTCATGGCCTCTGCTCTTGAATTTTCTTCTACATGGGTCACTCTGACCTCTGCCACCTGCAAAACTCACTGTCAGAGAACTGAGGTTTACATGTGAACAATATTTTCTTGGCAAGATAACCTAGCCACGATTTTAAATTGTATTCATACATTTTATTGCTTTATATTCCCCATAACACTTATTATCTAATATATATGTATATATTATTTATTTTGTCTATTTTCTCTCTTTCTCCTATACTAAACTGTAAACTCTGAATGAATATTGAGTTTTGAATTTAGTTCAAGTGCTTTTTTATTTTAAACTATTTCAGGGCCAAATGTTGCTCCTACATCCACAGATTTAATATTTAAATGTAACAGATGTCTACCATGTATGGTTTCCTTGCATTACTTTTCTAAAACAAAATTTAGTATTGGAAAGTGATAAACATAAAAAACGTATGTGTGAATAGCTTAGTCAAAATACATTTTGAAAACATTAAGATATACTGTGTTGGTCTACATTACTGAGGCTTGGTACTGGTAAAATTTTAAAAATTTCAAAAGAAAACAGAATACATAGAGTTAAATGTTAATATATTCATATGATTTTATATATTCTTTTGCATAAGCACTGGAATGTAAACCGCCTAATTCATAGTCTGTAATTTTTCAGAATCACATTATTTTTCTCTTTGAAATTGGCTTAAACTCAAACAGTTTAGCCCTTAGAAAAAGCAAGCAGATTGCATTTATTGCTTTAAGAATGTATTTAATTTAGTTAATTATGACTTACAGGTTAGATGTTTTTCAATAGCTCGTCTTCTCAATTTCCATTATATAATCAAGCTAATGAGACTGAAATAATGGTTAATTTGGTTTTGATCCAGTGGAACATAATAACAAGATTTAAGTAAGTTTTAAATAACTTCTTCTAAAGGTGAATTGGATTGTTTTATCTAAGGAAACCTGTTTACGTGTAATACCTATTATTTCAGTAAATGTTCTTAACATTAAAAATTAATTGACAATAGATGATTATTGAGAGCTCACAACCTACTAGGTAATCACCATTCAAAGTGCTAGGGATTCAGTGGCATATAAGGCGAGGTTTACCTTCTCATGGTAAAGGATTCTCTTCTTTGGGAGAAAGATCAATGAATCATTACATAGATGATTAAAAATAAGATTTACTAAGCCATAAGTCATGTTTAACTTATAATTATTATACTCCCAAAAAGTGAAGTACTTTAAGACTTTTGATTGCTATAGTAATTATGTGTGAAAAACTCTGGAATAGAAATCAGAGCTGGGCGCAGTGGCTCACACCTGTAATCCCAGCACTTTGGGAGGCTGAGGCGGGTGGATCACCTGAGGTCAGGAGTTTGAGACCAGCCTGACCAACATGGAGAAACCCCGTCTCTACTAAAAATACATAATTAGCCAGGCGTGGTTGGCACATGCCTGTAATCCCAGCTACATGGGAGGCTGATGCAGTAGAATCGCTTGAACCTGGGAGGCAGAGGTTGCCTCCCTCTGCAGAGCTGAGATGGTGCCATTGCACTCTAGCCTGGGCAACAAGAGCAAAACTTCGTCTCAAAAAAAAAAAAAAAAAAAAGAGAAAAGAAAAAAAGAAAAAAAAATTAGAGCAGCACAGGGAGGTAACCTCTGGTAGTGCGTAAGTTGAAATAGATTTTAACAATATTCTCATAGAAATAGAAAGTGAAACAGAGGATCTAGAGGCTGTGAAAGGTAAGGAGAAGAAGGGCTAGGGAGAGATTTGTTAAAGGATGTAAAGTTACAGCCAGATATGAGGAATAAGTTCTAGTGTTCTATGGCACTGTAGGATGACTATAGTTAACAATATTATATAGTTTTAATAGCTAGAAGGAGGAGATTGAATGTTCCCAACACAAAGGATAAATGTTTGTGATGATGAGTATCTTAATTACTCTGATCTGATCACTATGTATCAAAACATCACTATGTACTCAATATATACAATTATTATGTATCAATTAAAAATAAAAGAAAATTTAAAGAAAATAAAATTATAAATTTCAGTGATTTCTGACTGTCTCATAAATCTTATAGTAATTTATAAAATGATACACACAAGTAAGGGAAAAGGTAACAGATTTTACTGAAACTTATGATTTCTACCTGAATAGTATATTTTTTTTTACAAAATATACATTGAATACCTTCTGTATCAGGTCTTATGCCAGTTGCTTCGGTTATGAGTTTGAACAAGACAATCACTTTGCCTGTTTCCTTAAGAAAAAAAAATTATAAAAATTACATGTGTTCTGAGTGTACAAAGTAGAAAAAAGAAGAGACTTATAGGTGTGTGTAACACAGGGAGCTAACTTAATCTAGAAAACAACTTTGATAAAAAAATGACCTTTCAGTGAAGGTGAGAATGAAGACTAGGGAAGGAGTAAATTAAGTACACTGTAGGCGAAGAATAATGTGGTCAGAAGACTCTAAAGTAAAAAAGAAGTAAGAGATAAATAAAAGAGAAAAAGAAAGACCAGCATAGCTAGCACATAAATATGATGATGAATTAGATGATTTAAGAGAAGAGTCCAATTATAGTGCCATGTTAGACATTTTGTAAGTATTGCATTGTAAAAACAGGGAGACATGGATGTTTTTTAAATAAGAAATTTCATGACTAGATTTATATTTGATTAAACAATTTTATAGCACTATGGAGAAAACATATAAGGGATACCATATTTGAAGGGAGAGTATTTGAGGTTGTAGCATGAATGTAGCCTTGGGTGCTGGCAGAAGTAATGAAAGGTAGAAACAAAATGCAATGTTGGATTTACTAAGATTGATTTTGAATATGCTATGGGAAAAGGAGGAATCAAGTCACAGGTTTTTGACTTGAACAACCAAGTGGTTGTTTACTTCACAGAAATTTGTAAAGAAAAAACATGATTGGAATGTTGAAGCAAATTACTACACTTTGGACCTTCTAAGTAGTACATATCTGACACCAATTAAAAATATTGCTCAAACAATTGAATGCAGAGTTCAGCAGAGAGCTTTCTATAGGAGACAAGAAAATGAGTCATTAGACTGTGTAAGGAAGTCATAGACTGGTTGAGTTACCAAAATAAGAGCATATAATGAACAGGCCAGTATCTCAGGATAAAGATGTAAAAATCTTTATTGTTTACACTGTTGGTGGGAGTGTAAATTAGTTCAGTCATTATGGAAGGCAGTGTCGCAATTCCTCAGATACCTAAAGAGAGAAATACCATTCAACCCAGCAATCCCATTACCGGATATATACCCAAAGAAACAAGAAGCATTTTATTTTAACAACACATGCACGTGTATGCTCATTGCAACACTATTCACAATAGCAAAGACATGGAATCAACTTCAGTGTCCATCAGTAACAGACTGGACAAATAAAATGTGGTACATATACACCATGAAATACTATGTAGCCATAAAAATAAGTGAGAACATATCCTTTGCAGGGACATGCATGGAGCTGGAGGCCATTATCCTTCACAAACTAACAAAGGAACATAAAACCAAATACTGCATGCTCTCACTTATAAGTGGGAGCTAAATGATGAGACCACATGGACACATAAAGGGGAACAACACACACTGGGGCCTTTTGGAGGGTGGAGGTTGGGAGGAGGGAGAGGATCAGGAAAAATAACTAATGGGTCCTAGGCTTAATACCTGGTTGATCAAATAATCTGTAGATCAAATCCCCATGATACAAGTTTACCTATGTAACTAACCTGAACTGGTAACCCTAAACTTACAAAATAAAAGTTAACAACAACAACAAAAAAAAAAAAAAAAAAAGAAGAAGAAGAAGAAGAAAAACAGGACTGTGAATCATTGGCCAGAGAGGAAATATAGAGGTTGTGGTATCCTGGCAGATTTATACATTGGCAGGATAAATTGCCAACTTTATTAAATGATATTGAGACGTCTAATGGTTAAAAATGATCCTCATTGGGAAATACAGAGAGAACAACTTTTTGTATGTAAGAGATGTGTATCAAAATGGAGTGATTTGAAGTTAATTCAAGTTGTGAAGATAAAAAAATTAGAGTGTAGGCCGGGTACGGTGGCTCACGCCTATAATCCCAGCACTTTGGGAGGCCGAGGTGGGTGGATCACCTGAGGTCAGGAGTTCGAGACCAGCCTTACCAGCATGGTGAAACCCTGTCTCTACTAAAAATACAAAAATTAGCTGGGTGTAGTGGCGGGGGCTTGTAATCCCAGATACTCTGGAGGCTAAGGGAAGAGAATCGCTTGAACCTGGGAGGTGGAGGTTGCAGTGAGCTCAGACCACGCCATTGCACTCCAGCCTGGGCGACAGAGCAACACTCTATCTAAAAAAAAAAAAAAAAAAAAAAAAGAGAGAGAGTGTAAATAACACGTCAAAAATTAAACTGTGAAGGGGAGAAGAAAGAAAAAGCAAAGTAAGGCATATACAATAAAGTGGTAAAATGTAAGGCAGATAAATTGGGTTATATTCTGGATCATGCATTGATATAAGTCTAACATTTAAACCAAGCTTCACTCAGTATCATGTGAGTTAGTTTATTTTATGTGAACTTGAGTTTTATGTAATATAAATGTTGACAAAAATGCCCCCTCCTTAAAAAATATTTTGAAAAGTAATTAGATAGGGAAAATAATATATCCTGCTGGAAGTATGTTTAAGTGTTGACTGAGAAAAAACAGAGAAACAAAAAAAAATGCCAGGAGGCCCTGACCTTGTGATTCCCTGACACAAAGATAGTTTGTTATTTTTTTTGTTTTTGTTTTTCCAAATGGAAACTGAAAGCAGAAAAGTTGGCCTAGAATCAATAATTCAATAATATGTATTAAGCACTTACTACAGGCAAAAAATGACTACAGAAGTCAGGCATAAGAATCTTTGTAAAGGCATTATTTGCCATAAAAATCTAATAGCTTTCTTGAGAAGACTGACAAGTATATAGACAATTTTCAATATCTTTGAAATTTTCAATGTCTTGTGTGTGGATCAGACCATTATAAAAACACACGTCATCTTCTTTACAAACAAACCCCTGCTTTTTAAAACATGTATTATGTGAATTTATACTGTAAAACCAAGCTTCCTTCTTAGAGATATATATTTCCTAAATGCATGTATTAGTCAAGGTTTTCCAGAGAAATACGCAAAACCAATAGGGTATCTATGTGTATGTATGCATGTATGTATGTATGCATGTATGTATGCATGTATATGTATATACATAGAAACAGATCATATATATATATAGTCTGTCTCTATTTTACAATTTAAAAAAAAATAAAATGTAAATATATATAATCTTTCTATACATACAAACACACACACACATCTCTCTCTATAGAGAGAGAGAGATTGTAAGGAATTAGGTCCCATGATTGCACAGATAAAAGTCCATAATCTGCAGGGTAGAACAGCAGGCTAGAGACCTAGGGAAGAGTTACGGTCTGAATCCAAAAGCATTCTGCTGGCAGGATTTCTTCTTGCTTTGGGGAGTTCAGGCTTTGCTCTCTTAAGGACTTCACCAATTAGACTAGGCCCATCCTTATTATGGAGGATAATATGCTTTATTAGGAGTCCACAGGTTTAAATACTAATCTTATCTAAAAAACATCTTCACAGAAACAGCCAGATTAATGTGTGACAACATATCTGGACACTATGGTTTAGCCAAGTTGACACACAAAATTAATCATTATATACAATACTTATTTTCTTATAAAATTTTATGGTAAGATTTATTTTAGATTTCAGCAAGATTGTGACTCTTGTTTCAGTCTTATATATTTTGATTTTTTAAATGAAAGATAAATTCATAGTATTATACAATATTTATAATGTTTTTCGTCCTCTAATACTGTTTCACTGAAAGCACTTGCTTCCTTTCAAAAAAGTTAATTAATCAACATTACCATACATCAACACAAGTTGAATAAAGCTATTTATCTTTTTAAACCAATATAGTCATTATTATAAATTGAAACAGGCTCTATTCTTAACAGAAGATAAGGAATTCAATGTAAGCACTGTAATTAACTTAGCTGCACTTAGGGAAGTAACTGAAAATATATGAAATGAGACGCTATTAAGCACAGATAGCGTGAAAGTCTTATAACATCTGTTAGTTAAGCCTTCAATATTGATTAGACTTTTATGAGACTAGGTAAGTATTTCTTGCATAGCTAGTTGGAGACTATTTGCTGTCATCTACACATTTAAGGTCAAGAATCGCAGCTGTGATGCAACTGATTTCTTCTGACTTCACCAAAACAGCATGAAATAGCTCAATAAACATATTGACTCTCATTCAGCAGTGTATTCTAAGATAAAATCATCCCGCGTTGTACTTAAATTTATGTCTGAGATTCTAGATTGGCTTCCTTTGTACTACACGATGAAGAATTCTTAGGGATATAAAATCGGTGTGTTGATCTGTAAGCATTTTTAAAACAAAAAATAATACGAATCATAAAGACTAAAAGACAAACTGTTTATGTCTATCACTTAATTTTTAGAGCTATTTTCTTTACGACAATAGCAGTAA
The DNA here is from genome assembly GCF_000001405.40 of Homo sapiens. Taxonomy (NCBI): domain Eukaryota; kingdom Metazoa; phylum Chordata; class Mammalia; order Primates; family Hominidae; genus Homo; species Homo sapiens. The sequence goes on along the minus strand of NC_000014.9, from coordinate 43,151,960 downwards.
GGATAATTAGTATACCATAACTTCTATAATATACTATTTAAAACCGAATGGGATCTATTTTTTAATGTTTGGAGAAATTCAGATAACAAAATGTCATATAATATGGTTAATGATTTTTTATATTAATGCTGCCTTAAAAGACATTACAAAGCAGTCAGAGTCCATAAACAACAGATATTTGCAGGGAAATGGAAAAGAGTGCTTTTGTGGTTTAAAGCATTCTAATTTAAATTCATTATCTGTGATAACAAATACTATTTAAAATACATTCTATATACCTCAATTCCCAGAGTTCATAACTTTATTTTGTACAATGTTCAATTTACTGAGAAATGAGGAATGTCATTTGGACTATACAATTCTGAGTGAAATACTTGAGGCAGACAAAACTAAGTGATCAGAATCAAATTTCAGTCTTCGCTCATTTAGAGGACAATTGATGTATACCTACTGCTATAGTCTGAATATATTTCCCAATCTCATGTGCTGGAAACTTAATCACCAATGCAACATTGTTCAGAGGTGGAGTCTATTATAAGGATGGCTCTGCCCTCATGACTGGATTAATGCTGGAATAAAAGGGCTTGCTGGAGTGGGTTCTTTCTCTTCTCTTCCACCTTGTGAGGACACAGTGTTGATCCTCTCTGGAAGATACATCAACAAGGAGCCATCTGACAACCAGAGAAAAGGGTGGTCTATTAATCTTGGACTACCAGCCTCCAGGACTGTGAGAAATAAAAACGTATTTATTTATAAAGTACTTAGTCTCAGGTATTGTGTTATAGCAGCATAAAACAGGGTAAGACACAAACCTATTAGTTTTCTTTCTGTAAATGAATAATTAATATCAATGCCAAGTTATAAAGCTTGGATATCATGACCTATTCTTACTTTACTGAGCTCATGATTAAATATTAGATGACTGAAATACAGGACATGTCCTCAAAAAGCATATATCAAATTTCAGGAAATATTTTTACCAACCCATCTACACTTATAATATAGAAAAAAAGTAGAGCATATGAAGCATTTTTTGATAATAGTCCTTAAGCTTGAAATGCAGTGTCCTATGACTTACACGCATAAGGTAATGGTGAGATTGAACAGGATGTTCACTCAAACTCTATGAACTTGGAACCAAGGATGGGTAATATATTGCAGATTCCTCATAGCATAGTTAGACTAAGCCACAGAATTTTTTTTTAATACATATGATTCAGTAGCTTAATTTAGTTGGAAGTTTAATTTTTCAGGTTAATTTCTCATGTAAGCATAGGTTGGGGAACAAAATGTCAGCAACAATGAAAGGGCCCCTAAATTTCCTAACATTTCCCCAAGACATAAAAAGATATTTAATTTTTCTCCAAAATTCTCTTAAGATCATTATGAGGATGGTTTATAAATAAAGTTTACTGATAGCTGTGGTGTTAAAATAAAAATTGTGAATTATATGTTGTGTGTGTGTGTCTAGAATCTAATATGGCATAGCATATATTGTCGTGTATCAACTGCTCGAATTTTGACTAACAGATGCTTTCAAATACAATCTGTTATTTAGTGTTTTTACCTTTTCTAATTATTTTTTCTCTTTATACGGTAGCATTTCTATTTCATTAGTCTGTTTTGTTTAACTTCCTTTATATTGTGATACAAATGTACCCCCAAATTATCATACAAAAGAATCTGAATAAAGGATCAATTAATAGAGAAGGAGTCGATGATGTGTTTGCTAAGCTGCCTTGAGCCATGAATTTATTATAATCATTTTCTATATAATTTTTCTAATAGTAATAATAATCAGTGACAGATTTTTAACATAGAAACTAGAGCTTTGAAGTAAAGAATAACAAAAAAATTATTCCTTTATTAAGCATCAAATAATATTAATATTTTTTGTTTTCACTAGTGTAATGCACACATTGTACATACAGACAAACATACTTGCACACACACACACACACAAACACAAATACACACTCATCTTCCTTCCCATGTAGTTCAGGCAAATGATCAGGGGGGAAGACCATGAACTTCATAGATCTTGGGGTTCTCCAGAGAAACAGAACCAACAGGACAGATAGGTAGGTAGGTAAATACATACATACATACATAATTGTATAGATACATATATTGACTGCTACATAGATGCATAAATATACCTATATGTCTATCTACATACAGATATTTATCTAAATGATTTTAAGGAAGAGCCCATGGGGTCTGACAAATATGAAATCTGTAGGACAGGCTAATAGAATGGAGATCTGGCCAAGTTGACACATAAAATTATCAATATGTATAAATAAATTATTGCTGTTGGTAACATCTTTGCTTACTTTGTCGATATTTGCATGTACAAAGATTTTCTATGAGTAATGAATATCAGCAGCTACTCTGGATGATTGTTGTCTGTCTCCTTAGGTCCTCCCCAGGACTACCAAAAGAGAAGTTGATATACTTCAAATGATGTATATTTTAAGTCAGATCCTGTCAAACATAAATCACAAAATTTGATGAAATGTATCTAGTTGCATTCAGGTATTTTTAACAAAGATAGCTGATACTTTTATATAAATAAATATGTATTAATTATATGAATATTGTCATGTGGAAAGAGAGGTGATGCCTCCTCCATCAAAGGACACTTGAGCAAAACTCTTTCTCCAGTGTGACTAAGCGTAGTTCATCAAACTCTGAAAAGCTTTCACAGAATCATTAAATCACTCAATAACAAGGCAAGAGGCAAGTGCAGCAGAAGACTGACCAGATTTTCTGGTACTTGCTCCTTATAACACTGGGAATACACAGCAGATCTCCATGGACAATGTTCACACCTATCCACGCTTCCTCTAATAAATTCCCTAAATTCTTGTTTTATCTAATCAAAAAGCAAACCACATGACCTACAAGCACTAACAGAGTTTAGCCCCAAATTAGTTCCCCAGTTTATCCTGAACGTGGCCTTCTTCCATAGCAGTGTATCTGTTCTTCTTCCAAATATGGTAGTTTTACATAAGCTCCTTCCTCTGCCTGACATCCTCTTACCTCCCTATTATCATCAAATTATTTCCATTTTTAAAATTTAATTTTTAATATTAACTTCTACAGAATACCTTGACTTCCTAACTAGATGAAACCTCTTATTACATTTTCTTATATGCCTCTTGTTTGTAGCATTATTTACAATTGTAGTTATGAATTAATTTGTGTGATTATTTTAGTATTTTTTTCTTCCAATAGACTACAAGTTTCAGAAGGGATCTTCCTTACACCTTTATACTTAAATGTCCATGTTTAATGTAGGGTCTCTAACAACCAAAACAATATTTGGAAATGGTTAGTATTCAAAGCTTATTTGTCAAATGGCAAGACAAATACAGTGTAGAAAATTCAAAGAAAAGAAGGCCTCCAGAATAATGTAACAAATTATTTTTTTCTAATATATCAAGATAATGCTTAAACATTCAAATAAAAAGTAATGATATCTGAAAATATACTCCTGTGTTTAATATTTATAGTAGGCTATAAGCTCTGTGTACATGTGAATTTTACCATTTAAAAATGTAGGTATGTAAATGTGTATATGTCTATGTAAATATAGTTTGTATGTATGTGTGATATATGTATCCTTAAGCTAATAGTTTTAATAATAGAGCACATTTTAAATTTCATATAATTAAGTAGTTCAGTCTCCAATATTTATGCTGAAATTTTTATATAAACTTAGGGTTAAAATTACTTCCAGAATTGTACAATAGTACTCGAAGTGAAGGGACTCAATTGAAAATTACAGCCTTCTGGTGTTTATAATGTTTAGATAAAACAATCTCCACATATAACTATACCTTTAAAAGGTAAGTTCCTATTTGGTTATATCATTTAATACAATGCTAAGATCGTCTTATCTTTTCTCTCTCTGATAGTATAAAGTTCATCTTCCATATCATACAGTTGCTTTCCATTTGCCTCAGAATCATGCTTGGAAAAGCATAATTTTCTTTTTCCTAAATTCTCCATATTGAAACTCTAATTGGCATTATTAACATTGCTTCATCCCTGACTTATCTTTTTATTTAACAAACATATTTTTCACAATCTTTCAAAGAGAACCAAATTGTCCCTAGTCCTTTTTAAAGCTGATTTTCCTTCCAGAAAGCTAGAAAGAAAGCTTGCATTTCTTTCCAGTTCTGGTGCAAATATAACTAAGCTTGCTTTCTACTACTGCTATATCGAATTACCAAAACTTGGCCGCTTACAATGCCCATTTATTGTCAAGCAGTTGATGTATGAGAGAAGTCTTGCTCAACGTAACTGGATTCTTATGTATCATCCTCAGCTCTATTTCTTATCTGAAACTCTGGGTCTTCATTAAAGCTCACTTTTGAAATCAGTGATAATTAAGTTTTTAGAAATTGTAAGAATAAGGAGTCCAAAGCTTTAGTAGATGGCACCTCATTTCAAGTCAACTTCAGTGTGTTAAATCTTTCTCATGCTTTAAATCTACTTCTTCAGCTCCCACTCTGCTTTTTAGTGATCATGTGATTACACTAGATTCACCAGAAGATCCAAGATAGCCTCCCCGTTTTAAGCACAACCAACTAGTAATCTTTTTTTTCCACCTACAACATCCCTTTCACCATGTAAAATAACATTCATGTGAATAACACCAGGTGGCGGAAATCGTGGGAGTGAATATTCTGCCTACTGCATTCCTAATTATATTTACTTCCTTGGCTTATATAAGTATCTGTATACTCCCTAAATAAGGAGAAAATTCCCTTGATTACATCTTCGGGTCTCCATTTCTGTTCTTATAGTTGCCCAATGTCTACCTACAATTATGCTTAATATACCAGAGGACTTAGCAATTCTCAACTCTTAACAACTACATATCTATTGAAAGAGATAATAACTATTTCAAATCTGAACACGAGCTAAATTAGTTCACTGATTTAATCCTTAAGATTCTTCACCATCTTATAACCTGTAAAGAGATGTTATCCAATTTTCTAAAACTCCACAATTTTCATAACCCAGGGATGCAATGAAGAATTCATAATGTTTAAAGGAATGAATGATGGGATCATAAAAAAGGATAAAATAAATTTTACTTAAAGGAAATAGAGGAGTACATTTGCTGGTGTTCTCTATTATTCTGTGAACATCACTGAATTTGTGTAAGATATATAGCAAAAGACAGTAGGATAGAGTGGAGGCCTATGCTTTCCACAAAGTAAATTTACTGTTTTGGTGAATTATTTTAAAAGGAAACCACCAAAGATGAAGTTAGTAAATAAAGCCTCCAAAGGAAATAAAGAAGGCATCTCTTCGTATTATGTATGATTGAGTTTCAAGGTACTAATATTCTAGGTACTAATATTCTAAGTATTATTTTCTTAACTGAAATTACGCTAATACCCTGATATCATTCATTCATTACATGATTAGAAATAATGTTCTTATTGCCTACCAAATGACAGAAATACTAACAAGAACTGAAATTATAAACAGGACACATTTTAGAAATATCTTATAAATTACAGAGTTAAATTAAAATTTATTTTTTAAATTATGGAAATCCTTTGCATCTTTAGTAAAATAAAATTTAATATTATTTTATTATGCTTTGTTTAAAGATGTCCTCTGTTATTTTGTTTCTGCTTCTACCAAAACTTTAAAATAAAAAAGATATTCCAAATGAAAATAATTGAAGGCAATAAAAATAGCTGAATATTTAAAATATGTTTTGTACATTTTCCTGGAATAGATATGTTCAAATAAAAATATAAAATCTTAAGAGCTAATTATCCCTTATTACACTTATTACAAAACAGGTCAATGACATTCTTTCTGGGACAAAATAAAACAATGTAAAAATGTAGATATTTCTCTATGTGAGTTATAAAATCAAACATTCTAATACTTTCATACTTGACTGTGTATCTTTCTCTGCTTTCTACCCTAACTATTCTCAAATAATGAATCAACTAAATTCATACTGAAACCTAGATAAGGTGAAAATTCCTTGAAGAAATAATCGTTGAACTTTGAGGAAAATTCTGAGTGTAAAACATAAACTTTTCACAAAATATGATATTAAAGAGAAGAATAGTATATGTTCTGTTGTCATTATCAAAGGGTCATATTCTTTCTCTTTCCCTCTATCAGTCTTAATATATTCCTATAGATTAAACTGCCAACCTAAAACCACATAACTAGGATAAGTATTAAATAAAATTAAAATGGTTATTGACTAATTAATTATATCTATGTTATATAAATATTTCCTGAGAGATGTTACAGTATATTCGTACCTGACATATGCTATTGGAATAACACATTAAATCTATTAAAATCTGTGTTAGTCATCTAACTTGGGACTGGAAATATTTTGCTCAATTTCTTAAACATTACTCTCAACTGCATGTCTGACTCAATATCACGTAACAAGGCAAAATAAACAAAATAATTTAGGAGTAAAATCTATTCTTTAACATTTATTCAGGGCTGTGACTTTACACCAGTGTTTTCCAAGAAAACTGTCTTAAGTGGCTTAAATGTTCCATACCTGCATTGTCCAAAGAAGTAATCTTTACACACATATGGCTATATATTCATTGAAATATAGTTAATGTAGTTAAATAATTGAATTTATAATTTTTAAAACTGTTAATTAAAATTTAAGTTGCAACATTTTGTGTGTATCTACCTTACTGGACAGCGTAGCTGGAGTCCTCTTAGTAAAGTGGGGTTTTTTTCTCGTTTTTGTTGTCTTTAAATTTTACCATAACCTTTGGTAAATAAAGACATATTTTTAGAACTGTATGCCTATATGCAGGCATACAAAGCCTCTAGATCTATTTATAAATATAGACATAAATACAAATATATAGAAAAATTTTTAAGTTTAGTAAAAGTAATTCTTACACGTACTTTACTTCATGGTCTCAATCCTAGTCTTCTCTATTCCACATTATTCTACTTATTTCTTCTCTAGGATCACATCAAGATTTCTTCTACATAAGAGTTTGGTATGTACTGTTTCTGCTACCAGTAATGCTTTTATAAACCTATCACCACATGCCTTTTTTTTCTTTTCAGCATCAGGATAGACACAGCTTTCTTTTGTCTTTTTTCAGAAATGACTTCAAGTACCTTTGCTGAAGTATCACACACACAAAAAACACATCACCCTGGCCCTTTATTTTCCATTACCCAGTTTTATTTGTGTCATAACGATATCAAGTATATAAAATTGTCTTATTTGGCTCTTTACATGTTTCTCACCTTTATTGCCAATAATTAAGAGTTATAAAAAGCTCTTTTATTATTCACTGTCAAAATTCTCTTTACTTTTAATTTAAAAATCTTTGCTATTATAAATGAGTAAATAAGCTAAGAATTGAATTATGTATTTAATCAATTCTATGATCTACATTAGTAAATATCTTGATAGTTTGTTATAAAGACCAGTAAGCCAAGAGGTTTGGCTAAAGGCTGATGAATGTTTAACTGAAATGTCTTATGCAACTAATGTAGACGCTATACGAAAAAAGGAGGTATAATAATTGGCAAAAGCAAGGGCTTTTGTAGTTTTCAAAATATTAAAAATGGGCTGGGCGCAGTGGCTCACACCTGTAATCCCAGCCCTTTGGGAGGCCGAGGCAGGCGGATCACCTGAGGTTGGAGTTCGAGACCAGCCTGACCAACGTGGAGAAATCCAGTCTCTACTAAAAATACAAAATTAGCCAGGCATGGTGGTGCATGTCTGTAATCCCAGCTACTTGGGAGGCTGAGGCAAGAGAATCACTTGAACCCTGGAGGTGGAGGTTGCAGTGAGCCGAGATTGCGCCATTGCACTCCAGCCTGGGAAACAAGAGTGAAACCCTGTCTCAAAAAGACAAAGAAAAAAAAAAAAAAAATATATATATATATATATATATAAAATGTCCAAAGTACATTTTGTGATTCTTATCTTAAATATTCTTTAACATTACTGTTAATGTTAAAATGCATTGATATTGTGGTTTACTACTTCAACATGTAATTTCCAAACATTCGCATTGTCCTATGCATCTAACATATATTTTCTTGAATCTATATTGTCTATTTTAAAGGAAAAATTTCAAAGAATATATACAAGTGTTGGACTAGTGACAGCTTCAGCATTACTAGCATAACAGTGACAAATGTACGAAGTAGCTCTAGGATATTGGCCAAATATACCTTATATTTTATAAAAATTTATTTTCTTTCACTTTTTCTTGCTAACCATTACTTGGCTTTCTAGCCAATGATGTATCTAATAAAAATAAGTAATCAAGAGAAGATGTCTTTGCAATTTTAATATATTGTTCTCTATGGTGAAAAATATATTAAACATCAGTGTTTTCAATCAGAATATTAAATTTGGTATATCAATATTATTTGGTTGGATAATGGAAAAAAAGAAGACTTTAATAAACATGTTAAACACTGTAAACATGTAAACATGTTCTTAGCTTCTGTAAATTCCCTATTTTCCAAGCTTCAATAAGCTCCTGAAGCAGAAATACCGTGGAAACAATAGTGATTTAAACACATCATTATATATTAGTCCCTATACAACTCATATTCATCTGAATGGTTGTTAAAGCTGACAACTACTGCCAGAGCCTGTCAAAGTGTTTGCCTCTTTACAGCAAGGTAATTTCACTAAATCATGTAAATATAATCACGCAGTTTTAGTGGAAGGTGAAATTGGTATAAAATTTGAACTGTCACTATTATCCACTATCCTTTGTTTGTCTTAAAAAATAACCATGTCTGGCAAACCATAGACAGTATACAGTAAGGACACTTATTTAAAGGAGTCCTGATATATTTACATGCCTCTTCCCTTTTTTATATACAATGACTTGAGGATTCAAGCAGAATAAAAAAGCGAAGTGAAAGCTCCTTTGTAAATTCACTCACTAAAATAACATTTGATCATTTTATATTTTCTTATGACATAAAAGAAAATTCATTGAAAAGCACCGCTTCATAAATTATATTTAAAAAGAAAATAATAAAACGATGTGTGATATGATGTAAATAAACCTGATTACAGTTAAAGTATTTGGTTATAGTTCTGAACCAAGTTATTATGTAACTTTAGGTTAGAAACTTAAACCTTGGTTACTTTTATAAATAAAGGTGTTGCACAAAACAGTATCGCATATTTTTTATAAAAAACTCAGGATTTTAATTCCAGTAAGATGAAGGTACTTTTAGTAATATTATCAGAAAAAAAAGATTTTACAGAAAAAGTTTTTTAAATTTTATGATAATTGTTTTGGTCACTGAAATATGCAAGCTCTAAGTATATTGCATACACTTAGAACTTGAAGCAGCCTTAGGGATAAAACCATAAGCCATTAGAGTGTTTTAAAAAAGAGAATACAAAATAACACAGAGTAATACAAATAACAGCAACTCACATTGATTTAGTACTTATTTTATTGAAGGCATTTTGCTAAGGATGAAAGAGTAATATATGTGTGTGTATACTGTAATATGTGTGTATATATATAGTAACATGTATATATATAGTAATATATATATTTCATTTCTTTATATGATAGTTGTTATAACACAAAGAATAAATGCTTGATACTCCATTTTCCATGTCATTATTACACATTTCATGTGTATATCAAAATACTTCATGTACCCCATAAATATATACATCTACTGTGCACCCACAAAAATTAAAAATAAAAAAATAGAAAAAAGACATAGGAACATAATAAAAATTGTAAAACAGTCTTGTACATGTCAAATGGTTAAGAAATTCTAAAGAATACAATTGATACAGAAGGCGGGTACGAAAGTACTGGGTAGAGAAGGGTGGGTCCCTGGCTAGGGCTCCATCCTCCGGCTTGTGCCCACAGACCCAGGTGACGACAGTCATTTCTGTTTTTGTGCCCGAATGGAATGTTGCATTTCCCAAGACCACCCTAGCCTGCTACGCCCCCATTCTGTGCCTATAAAAACCCGAGACCCTAGCGGGCAGAGACACAAGCAGCTGGACGAGAGGAACACATTGGCGGAAGAACACAAGCGGCTAGGTGTCGAGAGAAACACACCGACAGAGGAGCACACCGACAGGCACTGGCAGACGCTGGCAGGCCATTGACTGGCAGAACGACTTGGAGTTTGGCTGGTGAGGTTGGAGGAGAGAGCCCAGCTGCTGAGAGGCCTGACTCCAGGAGAAAACCACTTTCCCACTTGCTCTTCCTTCTGGCTCCCCATCCATCTGCTGAGAGCTATGTCCACTCAATAAAACCTTGCGCTCATTCTCCAAGCCCATGTGTGATCCAATTCTTCCAGTACACCAAGGCAAGAATCCAGGATACAGAAAGTCCTCTGTCCTTGCAATAAGGCAGAGGGTCTAATTGAGCTGATAAATACAAGCCGCCTACAGAGGGCTAAACTGAAAGAGCACACTATAACCTACGCCCACTGGGGCTTCAGCTGTGAACATTCACCCTAAACACTTCCCTGGGGTCAGAGCCCCATAACCTGCCTGTCTGCATGCTCCCGCTAGAGGTTTGAGCAGCAGGCACCAAAGAAGCAAGCCACAGCCGTATCACAGGGCCTGTGGGGGATAAAGGAACTTTTTCCATTTCACAATCAATAAGGCAAATTGCTTTAAACAAAAAAGCCCTGTTATACCAATAAGCAAAACATATTTGAAAATTTTAAACGCCTCATTTAAGATGAGGTGACTTATACAAAATTTAATTTAGCTTTGTCAATACCTATAATCTATGCTTTAGACCACTGCTTCTTATTTGCCTAGATTCTTCCTATTTCATACCGATGGTTGCCACCATCTTTTATTTTTTTACCTTAACTTCTAGTGCTTATAACTAATACCCATTAATATTTATTTTGGACTAAAATTGATTAGTAATTTTGGTCTTTAAATTTGAGAAGTAAATTTGTTTTCCATGTTTCTAAGAGTAATGATTACCTCTGATTATTTCTAAAATTATAGAATGAGGTTGGCTTTGAGTAAAAGAAAAATCAAACATAGCAATGCCTTCAACTGTAAACAGGTTTATTTTGATAAATTTTTTACCATCTTAATCAATCTGGAGGTAAGAAGTCCATAGTTAGAATAGTAATTCTGCTCCAGGACTTTCTCAAGGACCCAGGTTCCCCACAGCTAATCCTCCACCAATCCTGAAACATGACTCTTATCCACGTGATCCAAGATTTTGCATCAACTTTATAGATAGCAGAATGGAAGAACATGGAAGAAAGGGTAACTATATCTTAAAAGTGCTGACAGAAGTCACTTTGGCTTATACAGCTTTGGCCAGAATTTGGTTACATGTTCACATTTAGCTACAAGGATTGTTGGCAAACGTGATTAGCTATGTAGTCTGGGGGTTGTGTGTTTTGGTAAAAGTACTTCATATAGAAGAACAAATATTATCTCTGTCACATCTCACAACATACCTGAACTAGGAACTTTAAAAAAGGGATAAGAATTAGAAAATTTCAAAAAAAATATTTATTTGGCAATTATTTTTGTAAATTATTATTTCACAATGTTGACTCAAGCACCTTGAACCTCAAACTCTTGTTCTAATTTTCTTAGTCTACCTTATTGCTCTTTTGGCTGTTGCTGTTCCTTCCTCATTCAAATGAGGTTTAGATTTTTGTCTTAGACAATTTATCCTGTCTACACTCACTGCCTGGGTACCGTTAGTCCCTGTGGTTTTAAATAATTCATATAAATGGCCATATTTCTATTTCCAGAACTTCTGTCTCTCCTGAACTCTGAAACTATATCTCTGTTTAGTCAATGTTTCTACTTATATGTCTACAGTAAATTAAGCATCACATGTGACATGATGGAACTTACGGTTTCTCTCTTCCTTACATACACCCAATCTTAGTTTGTTTTTCTTATCTTAATATATGGCAAATCCACTCATCTGTTGATAAGGCACATAATTTTGAATACATTTTTACCTCTTTCTTTCTACAACACATATCTAAACACATATCTAAATTGTATTAGCTTTACCTTAAATCATTCTATAAATATTTATTTACTAGGCTTAAAATGCTTCCAAAGCCCTACCGTTCTACTATCACTCAGGTCTTGTCCATCATGATTTCTCACTTGAAATCTTGGAGTTTCTTTCCTACCGTATTTTTCTCGCCTTCTCTGTACTCCTTTGTACTCTATTTCTCCATAGGAAGTCAGAATAGTTTTATCTTTATATACAGAGGCCATTATTTCCCTTTGATACCCATTCCCCAGTGAATTCCTGTCTTATTTGGTATAAAATATAAAACGTTAACATTGTGGCTTGCTTCATTTATCATCGTATATCTTAGTACACTTTAACTTTAGTACACTATCCACACTGTTTTTCTTTCCTTCTTCTGCCTTATAGTCTATGTTCTGTTCTCTATTCCCGGGGGAATCTTCTAGTATTTTGCTGGCTCACTACTCTACTCAATCTGCATCTCCAGTCAAATGTCACTTTCTTGATGGTGTGCTCATCTCTAAGCATCCTATGTAAAAAAGCAACACCTCTTCACCTTCATTATTTTATTCTCATTCTGCTTTTTTTTAAAATTATGACTGAAAGAGTATATAATACTTGTTCATTTAGATAATGTCAACATCCCCCATTATCTAATTTTTACTGATAGAACATCAAAATATAATCATTATATGATAAATTAACGAACGTTAATCAATTAAAATTGTATCAATATGTTCTCATATTGCAATAATAAAAAACAAGTTTAAGTTAACATGATAAAACACCTTTTATAATATAAAATATTTTGAATAAAATTGAATGATATATTTGCTTCTCTAACAATTTTTAAAATACCTATTATTTTCCTTAAAATAATAAACGATATCAGGCATTACCTGTCAGTATCATATACCTGCTCATTTTATGTTTTTTCTTTCAAGTTGCCTTTTCAGTTTGTTTATCAGCAGGATCCTGTTCATGCTAAAATACCCACATTTTTATCTTCATCACCTCTTTACTTCATTGATTCAATGTTGTCCACATCATATTAATTTGGTTATTTTGATATCAATTACCTTTCCTTTGTGAATTTTTACCTTTATGACAGTAAATTCTATGTCAAAATCTCAATTTAAAAGAAAGTTCCCCAGTTTCTTTGACCAAGTACCAAACTGCCTGCTGCATCTCTTCACCTGGATGGAAAACAGGAAGCTCACATCCAACATTTTCTCCCCATGAAACTACAGATTCTGTATTTCTATGTCAGTTGTAGAGAAAACAAGTATCCTTATCATTCATGTTAGATTTCTCTTTTTCAAAATTGCAAAGCCATGTGTCTTTTAGGTTAGCATTTTAATGTACTGTTTAAAAGCACAAGCTTTAGGATATAACCTCTAGTCAAAATTATGTTTCTACTGCCTTATTTGTATTTATGTGAAGTATTTCACCTCGGCTTCACTTGTTTCCTTAATCTATAACACATGAATATTCATAATATCAAGGGTTTCAAGAGGAGTAAATAAGTTTGTGTGTGTGTGTGTGTGTGTCTTTACGCACTCCTGAACAATGTGATATAAAATTTTATGATAGTATTAATGTTGATAAGTATTTTAAAACAATAGATTGTAAGGATATTATTATTATTTGACTTTTCAAACATTATTTTTCACATTCTTATTTTTCTGTTATTTTATCACATACTGGTAAAGTTTTTTATTAGTTACACCTGAAATACTACAGCATCTCCTAATTTATTTTTCTTCTATATCTGTTTGGACTTTCTTAACATAGACACTGAGATGTAATAGTAGTGCAAAATGTTTGTTGTGCAGTAACTCCTATAAATAAAAGGATGTGGGAGAGAGGCAGGAATGAGAAGGTAAATTCCATCTGAGCCCTGGGACAGGAAAGATAGGGAAAAACAGAACTGTGCACAGAAAGTCTCCTACAGCCACCCAGATATGGCAAAGTCATGAGCAGTGCAACAGGGAGATTTGGAGCAACCATTGTATATGAGTCAAAAATTAGGCAGAAATGGCCTGGTCCTAATAAACCATATTGTTCACTCATGGCCCGAGGGCTTTCCAGAAAGAATAAAATTGTTTATTGAATGCTGTAATATATCGCCAAGACACTGCTGCTGGATACTCTTATCAAACTAGACTCTGACACAGTACATCTTTTTTTTGAAGAATATCTGAGCAACATCTCTTCTTGCCTACCACACCTTCCTAACATCCTGCAGTTCTTTAATACTTCTCTCACGCAACTACTATTGAACTAAAAGGTGACCTTTACAATAATCCATATCAACTAAAACACTTAAATAGCTCCCTATCAAGTAGAATTTAAAATTGATATTCCAAATATGTTAATAAAGAACTCTACTTTTTTGCTCCTATCCACTAAATGGCTTTGACTTTTAATTTGAGCTAAAATAAGTCTAAAATCATTGCTGTTTTTAGTATATCACACTGTTTCAAGCCTACTTGTATTTGGTCTTGGTCTTGTTGTACCTATCCCTTTGTGTTCTCTATTGATTACTACTCATCTCATGAATAATTTTCTCCAATGACTTTACCTCCACAACACCTGACTGCATTAGTCACCCTACTCTGACGTCCACAGTGCCCTGCAGATATTAATGAACAGAGGGAAAATAACTCCATTAAAAGCTATTTCATGTTGTGAAAGTCTCACAAATTTCCTGAAGCAAAGGTCATTACTACCTTTGCAGAAGATGTCCACATGTGGTGTCAGGGAAAAATGTGAAACAAAAAAGCATACCAAGAGCAATTATATGGCACTGACAGATACTTCTAAATACAGAATAGCAGGATGATAATTATTTCTTTGAATTTTAACAGTTCTGTTAAAATAAGTGTGGTTTATAGGGATTTTCCTGCATGTTGATATGCATATCAACAAAGATTTCTAAGAAAATGAAAAGAACATATCTTTACATTTGATTCTTTCTGTGTGTCATTTTAAGAGAAATAACATTGAATGAAATTTTACATTTTTACCACAAAGAATTGATTTATTTATTCTACCTTCTGTGTTTACAAACTGGCTAGCCCCATTAAAAGTGTTGTTTAACAGTCTTTGGCAGGCTGACTGAGAAAAGAATTCCAGTTTTAATGGACAGTAATTTTGCATATGTGCCTGTGGAAGCACTGCAAAAAAAAAAAGACTATATCTTAGTACGTGAAAGTTGCAACAGCATCCTGTTTGCTTATCCACGTGGTTCTTTGGTTCCCAATGTAACCATGGGAAGTTTCATCATCAAGAAGAAAAGAACTGTGTTACAATTTAAGAGGTTCCAGAGGCAATGTATGGTCATATTTTAACCTTTTGCCAACTTTACTAATGTAAGAAAACAGACAGAATGGAATGTTTCTACTTGTGTCCATTGGCGGAAGATCAGTGAATGAGAAATGCATGGTATTGAGAGGTGACAACGTGCTAGCAGCCCTCCCTTGCTCTCAGCACCTCCTTGGCCTTGGCTCTGGCAGTGCTTGAGGAGCCCTCAGCCCGCAGCTGCACTGTGGGAGCCTCCCTCTGGGCTGGCCGAGGCCGGAGCCAGCTCCCTCTGCTTGCAGGGAGTTGTGGAGGGAGAAGCGCGGATAGGAACCCGGGCAGCACAGGGTGCTCCTGGGCTAGCGAGCGAGTTTCAGGTGGCCATGGGCTTGGCAGGCCCCACATTCAGAGCTGCCAGATGGCACCACCGGCCCGGGCAGTGAGGGGCTTAGCACCCGGGCCAGCAGCTGCAGAGGGTGCACTGGGTCCCCCAGCATTGCCAGCCCGCCCATGCTGTGCTCAAATTCTCGCCAGGCCTCAGCCGCCTCCCTGCGGGGCAGGACTCAGGACCTGCAGCCCACCATGCCTGAGCCTCCCCCAGCCACCGTGGGCTCCCGTGCAGCCCGAGCCTCCCTGACAGGCACCACCCCCTGCTCAGCAGTGCCTGGTCCTATTGACCGCCCAAGGGCTGAGGAGTGCGGGCGCATGGCACAGGACTGGTGGGCAGCTCCACCCACAGCCGGGGCCGGGATCCACTAGGTGAAGCCAGCTGGGCTCCTGAGTCGGGTGGGGACTTGGAGGACTTTTATTTCTAGCTGGAGGATTGTAAATGCACCAATCAGCACTCTGTGTCTAGCTCAGGGTTCGTGGATGCACCAGTCAGTGCTCTGTGTCTAGCTAATGGTTTGTAAATGCACCAATCAGTGCTCTGTGTCTAGCTAATCTAGTGGGGACTTGGACAACTTTTGTGTCTAGCTAGAGGATTGTAAATGCGCCAATCAGCACTCTGTGTCTAGGTCAGGGATTGTAAATGCACCAATCAGCACCCTGTTAAAACTGACCAATCAGCTCTCTGTAAAATGGGCCATTCAGCAGGATATCGGTGGGGTCAGACAAGGGAATAAAAGCAGGCTGCCCGAGCCAGCAGCGGTAACCCACTTGGGTCCCCTTCCATGGTGAGGAAGCTTTGTTCTTTCACTCTTCACAATAAATGTTGCTGCTGCTCAGTCTTCGGGTCCGTGCCGCCTTTAGGAGCTGTAACGCTCACTGCAAAGGTCTGCAGCTTCACTCCTGAAGCCAGCGAGACCACGAACCCACCAGAAGGAAGAAACTCCGGACACGTTCGAATATCAGAAAGAACAAATTCCGGACACACCATCTTTAAGAACTGTAAGCTGCAAGGGTCCGCAGCTTCATTCTTGAAGTCAGCGAGAGCAAGAACCCACCAGTTCCAGGCACAGTATCTCTTACCATTTGCTTTACTGTTCATTTCATCTTCTAAGTTACTCCTCAAGGGGAGTAACGACTGTGAATTTTGTCACAGAATATGTGTAGACCAGAAGGGACTTGGAGAGACTGTCAATTTCTTGAGCAATTAACTGTTCTAGACCTACCCCAAAAGTAGACTTCTCTAACTATAAACTTTGAGAGGATGGGCACCATGGTTTTTTGTGTTTGTTTGTTTTACTTAGCATTCTATCTGCAGGCACACAGTAGGCAATAATTATTGAATGAACGGGTACGTAAATGAAATAATAAAGTCATCAAAATTTTAGGCACATGTTGGACTTCGGAAGCTCTTTGTTGACTTTGGTATTAAATATGCTAGGAATAAGAAGAAATAGTGTTGCAGAAAGACAGAGAAGACAAAAGGACGTATAGCACGGCAATCAATACATATACTTTAGGAATCAAGTAAAACATTTTTTGTGCCCTCAAGGAGGTAATTATGAACTAGACCTCCCAAAAATTGTAACAAGGAAAGGAAAAAGAAATTAAAATTATTATTTTATAAGTTTTAATATATAACACTCATATTGTGATAGATATATATCATAAATTTACCCATTACACACTTCTGTGACAATATTTAGTAACTTTATGTGGGCAACCATCACCACGAATCAATTTTAGAACGTTCTATACCTTTAATAAGAATTCTTACGTCCATTTACAACTAATCCTCCTTTCTATGCCTAAACCCAGGGTCCCATTAATGTTTGTTTCTTCTAATTTGCCTTTTTCTAAGCATTTCATGTGATTAGAATCAGAACACTATAAACACACAGGTATAGTTGTATATATACGTATGAATTTTATAATTTAATATATATACATATAAGTATATTCAGTTAATTCTCATTATTCCAAATAGTTACGGTCTATAAATTTTCTGTGAACATAGAATGAGTGAATTCTGAACCACTGTTCTTAAGGGAAAGATACACATATAGACAGATGGATCTATCTCACATATATTATGATCTTAACTCCTAAAAAGAACTCATCCTGGTAGATTCTATTGTTTCAGTTTTATAAAAGAGAAAACAAGGTTCACATGCGTTAAGTGATTTCCCTGAGACTGCTCCACTAACAAGTGTCAAGTTAGGTTTCGTATTAGTCAGGGTTCTCTAGAGGGACAGAACTAATAGGATAGATAGATAGATATAAAGGGGAGTTTATTAAGTATTAACTCACATGATTGCAGAGTCCCACAATAGGCCATCTGCAAGCTGAGGAACAAGGAGAGCCAGTCCAAGCTCTAAAACTCAAGAACTAGGAGTCCACTGTTGGAGGGCAGGAAGCATCCAGCACAGGAGAAAGATGTAGGCTGGGAAGCTAGGCCAGTCTAATCTTTACAGGTTTTTCTGCCTGCTTTATCTTCTGGCTTTGCTGGCAGCTGATTAGATGGTGCCCACCCAGATTAAGGGTGGGTCTGCCTTTCCCAGTCCACTGACTCAAATGTTATTCTCCTTTGGCAACACCCTCACGGACACGCCCAGGATTACTACTTTGCATCCTTCAATTCAATCAAGTTGACATTCAGTACTGATCAAAATAGGTTTTATACTTGCCTCACCTGGCCCCAGAGCCAGAGATTCTTACATTACCCTACACTTCTCCTCCTATCTCCATCCTCAGGTCATCTCTGCAAAAATGTGGAGACAAGAAGCCAGAGCAATGCCTTGTTCCATTTCAGCTGAGAATTTTTCACCATTTTACGAGATAAATTTCAAGATGGTAATACACATATATAATCTATATATGGTCAATTCTCATTACTCATATATTTCATATTTATAAATTTCACCACTCATTACAATTTATTTTTAAGCCCCAAATGAATATTCAGGGCACTCTTGCAGTCATTTGTGGATATGTCCAGAGCAGTGAAATATTTGCGTTGCCAGACATGCCCTTTTCCACCTGAGGTAACACAGTGTGACACTTTTTTTTGTTTTAGATCTCATATTCAAAACAGCTGTCCTTTTTGGAGTCTGTTTAGTGCCATATTTTCCACATGTATGTGCTTTTTTGTTGTTGTTGTTGTTATTTCACTGTCTATATTGGCCCCCAAGAGTAGCACTAAAATACTGTCTAATGTTCCTCAGCACAAGAAAGCTGTGATATGTCTTAGGGAAAAAAATTTGTGTGTTGGATGAGCTTTGTTCAAGCATGAGTTAGAGGTGCTATTGGGTGTGAGTTTAAGGTTAATTAATCGAGCCTATCTAGAAAGAAGAGGAAATTCACAGATTTCTATACGAGGCTGCTCTATAAAGTGCTAAAGTAACATCTATAGTGAATTATGAGGTTATGAAAAAGATAGGAAAGTGGCCAAATTTGTGTGCTCCTAAGAGAAAGACCAATACTAAAATATGTCATGGACAGCATTAAGGAGTGGACCCAAGGTCATTCCTGCTGGATGCCTCGATATTCTGGCATGTGTCCTCTTATCCTCTAGTAATTTACACTGGATTTCTCACCTCATGTTACCAAGTTTCCAAGAACATGAGAACAGAGGCTGCATGGACTCTGAATTCCTAGGCTCTGGAACTCATACCACCTCTCCTCTGCCACATCATATTGGTCAAAACAAGTTTCAAGATCTGCCCAGATTCAAAAATACAAATAACTATTTCTTGATAAGGAGAATGAGAAGTGATATGTTTCAATAATGTTTGGACATAAAAGGATGTATTCCCTGAGGGCCATTGTGGTAATCATTAACTACACTGGGCCCCCTTCTCCATGTGCTGTGAAAACGACGCAATAATTTCTCATTCCATCTGAAAACATGCTGCAAGCAATGCACACTGCGACTATGTGAACTAATGTGAATCTTAGGTCTCTCTGAAATCAAGATAACCTAGGTTCTTATCTTTAATTTATAATATAAAGTGACATCTAACTTAATTAGATACTTCAGGCTATGAAACATGCGAATACTCTTTTTCTTGTTATTAAATTATTAAATCTCTCATGTATGTCTATACATATAATGTGCATATATATGCATTATATATACAGAAAAAAAGTAAGCTAAAACTTTGACTCCAAAATAAAAACACTGAAAAGACCTCTATTAAACAGAATATATAAATCACTGATTAAAAACGTACCACAAATACAGTTAGTCATGGAAGTATTTATATAAAAAATATTATAAAAATGATTAAAAGAAAGATATTCCTCAATGCATTCTATGAGGTAAGTATATTCATAATACCAAAATAATAAAAATACAATAAAATAAAAAATTAAAATCCAGTTGTAGGCATAAATGTAGATGCAAAAACTTGTACACAAAAAATTTCAAGCTATTATAAATACAGTGGTATATAAAAGCATATTCTTTCAGAAATGATGTGGCTTATTCTACAAAACCAAGGATTATTTTACACAGAAAAATCTATAAATGCCATTTACCACATTAACAAATAAAAGAGAAACACATTGATGGAGGAAAAATTTATTTAGTACAATTTACATCTATTTATATATTTTTAAAATATTGGTCTTAGTAAACTAGCTATATCAAGGAATGTTGTTTCACAAAAACTGCAAAAATTATGGCCACAACTTAGACATGGACTTCATAACTTTCAAAAAAAAATTAACTCAAATATGGAGCATAAACCTAAATGCAAAATGTGAAAAAACAAATCTTCCAGTAGCAGATGTAGGAGAAAAAAATCTATTTGATAATTGGTTTTGTGATGAGTTTTTAAATAATTATCTAAATGCACAATACATAAAAATAAAAATTGATTTATAGGAATTTACTAATGTTAAAAATATTCTGCTTTTCAAAAGTCATTGTTCAGTCAATATAAAGACAATTCACATTCTCGGAGAAAATAGCTGAAAAATGAATATTTGATAAATATCTTGTATCCATATATACAAATAATTCTTAAAACTAAATAACAGGAAAAAGAACAATAGACAATCAATATGAAGTGACACCTCACCCAAATAAAAAAAGTACACATATGCAAATCAGAACTGATTATCAAATCAAGTGTTATTAGGCAATTTTAAATTAAAACTTTGAGATACTTACAAATACTTATTCTAAATAGCCAAAATACAAAAATCCAGATTGTTAGGGTTTTGTATTTTGGCTATTTGGAGTAAGTATTTGTCAAATTCTGGTGAGCATAAAGAACAACAGAAGCTCTCACTTATTTTTGGTGGGAATACAAAATGGCACTGCCTATTTAGAACACAGTATGATAGATTCCTACAAAGTAAAACATAGTCTTATTTTGTTATCTAGCTGTCACACTCCTAGGTATTTATCAAAGTGATTTGAAAACATGTCTACCCAAAACACCTCCACATAAATGTTCACAGAAGGTTTATTCTTCATGGCCATAAACTGGGAACAGCTAAGATGTTCTTCAATAACTAAATTGTGTTTAAAAATCTGTGTGATATCCATATGATGGAATATTATTCAACTATAAAAATAATGAGTTATCAAGCTACTGAATGACATGATGAATGTAAAATGCATATTGCTAAGTGAAAAAAGCCTGTCTGAGAAAAATATATACTGTATGATTCCAATTCTATAACAGTCTGGAAGAGACAAAACTCTAGAGACAAGAGAAATACCTATGCTTACTAAGAGTTGGGGAGAAAAGGACTGAATAGATGAAACACAGGAATTATTTTTTAGAGATGTTAATTTCTTTTTTTTTTTTTAGTTTCAACTTTTATTTTAGACACAAGAGATGCATGTGCAGATTTGTTACATGGGAACATTGAGTGATGCAGACGTTTAGAGTACAGCTTTTATCACCCAGTAGTCAGCACAACACCTGATAGGTAGTTTTTTAACCCACCATCCTCCCCTAACCTTCTAGTAGTCCACAGTGTCTATTCTTCTTATAATTATGCCCATGTGTGCTCAATGTTAGCTCCTACATATAAGTAAGAATATATGGTATGTAATTTTCTGTTTCTGTGTTTATTTGCTTAGGATTTTATGGCCTTCAGCTCGATCCATTTTGCTGCCAGTGACATGATTTATTCTTTTTTCATGACTGTGTAGTATTCTATTGTGTTTTTGTGCCACATATTCTTTATTCAACCTACCATTGTTGGGCACCTGGGTTGATTCGATATCTTTGTTATTTTTACTATAGCACAACAATGAACATACAAGTGCATGTGATTTTTTGGTAAAATAACTTATTTTCTTTTGGATATATACTCAATAATGTGATTGCTGGGTCAAATGGTAGCTCTGTTTTAATATTTTTGAGAAATCTCCAGACTGCTTTCCATAGTGGCTGGGCTAATTTACATTCCAACCTATAGTTCATTATAAAGCCACACACTTACAACCATCTGATCTTTGACAAGGGTGACAAAAATAAGCAAAGGAGAAAGGACTTCCTATTCATTGAATGGTGTTGGGATAATTGGCTAGCCACATGCAGACAATTGAACTGGACACTTACATTTTGCCATATACAAAAATTTATTCAAAATTAATTAAATATTTAAATGTACATCCTCAAACTATAAAAATTCTGGAAGACAACTAGAAAATACTTTTCTCAACATAAGCCTTGGCAAAGAATTTTTGGCTAAATCCTCAAAAACAATCACAACAAAACCAAAAATAGACAAGTGGGACCTAATTAAGCTAAAGAGCTCCTGCACAGCAAAGGAAACTGTCAAGAAAGCAAAGAGACAAGCTATAGAATAGGGAGAAGATATTCACAAACTATGGATCTAACAAAGGCCTAATATTTAGAATCTATAGGAAACTTAAATCAGTGAGGACAAAACAAATAACCCCATTGCAAAAATGGGCAAAGGACATGAACAGACACTTCTCAAAAGAAGACACTCAAGTACACACAAACATTAAAAACTGCTCAGCATCACTAATCATCAGAGAAATGCAAATCAAAATCACAGTGAGATACCATCTCACACCAGTCAGAATGGCTATGATAAAAAGTCATAAAACAACAAATGTGACCAACGGAACTGAACAGAGCCCTCAGAAATAATGCCACATATCTACAACAATCTGATCTTTGGCAAACCTGACAAAAACAAGAAATGGGGGAACGATTCCCTATTTAATAAATTGTGCTGGGAAAACTGGCTAGCCATATGTAGAAAGATGAAACTGGATCCCTTCCTTACACCTTATACAAAAATTAATTCAAGATGGATTAAACACTTAAATGTTAGACCTAAAACCATAAAAACCCTAGAAGAAAACCTAGGCAATACCATTCAGGTCATAGGCATGGGCAAGGACTTCATGTCTAAAACACCAAAAGCAATGGCAACAAAAGCCAAAATTGACAAATGGGATCTAATTAAACTAAAGAGCTTCTGCACAGCAAAAGAAACTACCATCAGAGTGAACAGGCAACCTACAGAATGGGAGAAAATTTTTGCAATATACTCATCTGACAAAGGGCTAATATCCAGAATCTACAATGAACTCCAACAAATTTACAAGAAAAAAAACAAACAACCCCATCAATAAGTGGGCAAAGGATATGAACAGACACTTCTCAAAAGAAGACATTTATGAAGCCAAAAGACACATAAAAAAGTGCTCATCATCACTGGCCATCAGAGAAATGCAAATCAAAACCACAATGAGATACCATCTGACACCAGTTAGAATGGCGATCATTAAAAAGTCAGGAAACAACAGGTGCTGGAGAGGATGTGGAGAAATAGGAACACTTTTACACTGTTGATGGGACCGTAAACAAGTTCCACCATTGTGGAAGTCAGTGTGGCGATTCCTCAGGGATCTAGAAATACCATTTGACCCAGCAATCCGATTACTTTGGGTATATACCCAAAGGATTATAAATCATGCTGCTATAAAGACACATGTACACATATGTTTATTACGGTGCTATTCACAATAGCAAAGACTTGGAACCAACCCAAATGTCCAACAATGATAGACTGGATTAAGAAAATGTGGCACATATACACCATGGAGTACTATGCAGCCCTAAAAAATGATGAGTTCATGTCCTTTGTAGGGACATGGATGAAGCTGGAAACCATCATTCTCAGCAAACTATCGCAAGGACAACAAACCAAACACCGCAAGTTCTCACTCATAGGTGGGAATTGAACAATGAGAACACATGGACACAGGAAGGGGAATATCACACACCAGGGCCTGTTGTGGGGTGGGGGTAGGGGGTAGGGATAGCATTAGGAGATACATCTGATGTTAAATAACAAGTTCATGGGTGCAGCACACCAACATGGCACATGTATACATATGTAACTAACCTGCACATTGTGCACATGTACCTTAAAACTTAAAGTATAATTTAAAAAAAAAAACAAATGCTTCCAATGCTGAGGAGAAAAGTATTCTTTATGAAACTCTTATTGCAGATATATAACATCATGCCATTGCCAAAGCTCATTGAAATATTCAGCATAAAGAGTGAACCTTAATGTATGCAAATGGAACAATATTATTTAGGCAATTTCTTAGCATGGGCATCAGAATGTTAAAAAAAATGTATTACAAATGTATTTAACAACCTCATTAAAGGGGGTACAGGAAAATGTACTGACCTAAATAGCAATGTAAATAAATGAAATCTTTCAAACTATAGACAAAGGAAATTGTACACAAGCACTTTAATCTATTTGATAATGACATTTGCACAGGAGTACAGGTTAAACATTTTGACACTGCTTTATGTGTGTGTAGAAATTGGACAATTGAGTAAATGAATGGTAGAGAGTGAGAGCCAGTTTTATTATATTTGGACTGGGCATTTGTACATAAGCATGGGGTGGAGGCTGTAAGGACCCATGGAGTAATGGATTAGGGTTGGAAAAATCAGGATGAACTCATGTATACAGATCGTTACATTAAGAAATTTTCATAGTTATATTACATACACATAGGTTATCAACATACATAATTCTCAATGTGACCAA
Organism: Homo sapiens; assembly: GCF_000001405.40. Lineage (NCBI taxonomy): Eukaryota > Metazoa > Chordata > Mammalia > Primates > Hominidae > Homo > Homo sapiens. The sequence goes on along the minus strand of NC_000014.9, from coordinate 43,127,160 downwards.
GTAATTGAGATGCATTTGAGCTCATTTCTCCCCAAAATTTATTAAATTGTCCTAGTCTTTACCATCTGATTATTCATATTTCATATATATATATACATATATGTACATATATATATATGCACATGTAGTTTGTCTCTAGTATGAGAACCTCCTCTCTGTCTTTTGTTTATTAGTGTATGGAAAGACAGTGCTCCCTAGGATAGTATAAATAATCTAGACCTGAGGGCACATGTTGCCTTTACTTTACCATATTTTTGCTGTATGTATGTCTCTATGGATGATATTTAAACTTTTAAAGATTTATTATTTTTAATGGGACAATAATTACCATACTGATTATAATAAGGCACATTATCATTTCACCCAATCATTGTTGCTCATCCATTATATAACAGACGTTATCTGGGACTCTAAGATAGATAAAGAATTAAGATATGGATCTCATTTTTGGGTTGTTTGTTGATAAAGACAGGTATGTGTATTTATTACTGCAATCCAGCAAATCTAAGTTTCCAGTGATCGTGACACAATAATTGTACTTAATGGTGAGAAAAAAAAGATACTGCCAATTAAAACTGTGACTTGATGCTCTTATCACATCAGTTATAACACACATCCAGATTTTTATGGTATTATATGTGAAAAATATACATTTAGAATTTTTGAAATATGAAACTAGCACCAATAAGTGTTTTATCAAACTATAGCCATAGGACAAAGTGAGACTAGAAATAGGTAAAGCTGACTTTGCTTAGGAGAGTGGAGGAGGGAATATTTAAGCTATCTCATAAAAAATAAGTAGTATTTAAGATGTGTCATAAAGAATACTTAGGGATCTTTATGGCAGCATGTTTAAGTAAAGAAAATAATCCTTACTCTTTTGTGCCCAAATTCTTTTTTTTTTTAACTTTTAAGTTAGGTGGTACCTGTGCAGTTTTCTTGTGTAGGTAAACTTGTGTCATGGGGATTTGTTGTGCAGATTATTTCATCACACAGGTGTTAAGTCTAGTACCCCTTAGTTATTTTTTCTTATCCTTTCCCTCCGTCCTCCTTCCACCCTCTGATAGGCCCCAGTATGTGTTTTTCCCTTCTATGTGTCCATGCATTCTCATCATTTAGCTCCCACTAATAAGTAAGAACATGCGATATTTATTTTTCTGTTCCTGTGTTAATTTGCTAAGGATAATGGCCTCCAGCTTCATCCATGTCCCTACAAAGGACATGATCTCTATAATCCTACAGTGATACAAAAGTAAAAAGTATTATTACAATCATGATTTGCATTCATGCATTTGATGTTACTGAGTGCTACTCTATGCCTGCTGTAATAATTCTACTTTTATCTCCGCAGACTGTAGTTTTAATAGCAATCAGATTATTTTATCTCTTTCTTGTCCATTCTGCAGACTATACTTTTTAACCTCAGAGAGATAAATTTGTATCTCTCGTCTCTGTTGTACCTGTTGTAACAGTTTTTAAACTACCATCAGCTACTAGCTTTCGAAGTTGACATTTCATACTTTTGTTGTTGTTGTTGTGGCACTGAAGTATTTCTCTAGCAATTTCATGTAGACATGCCATAATTTAATTCTTATGCTGAAATTCCCTAGACAGTTTTCTACCATTCTATTCCTATAATGTACAACTAATTTACTCAAAGAGTATTACAACAAATATACTATAGATGAAGGATTCCCTCAACACCACCCCCCCCATCTTCTTTGCCTCAGTTGGAAATTTTCTGCCAGAATTTGATGTGGAACTCAGGCATATTAATTATACTGGTGAGATAAGTATCACATGTGATTTTCATAACCTTGAATTAGATCAAGAGCAACAGCTAATTTCTTATGTTCATCTATATCTATTTGTATATATTGTCCACTTATTTTTTTAAGAAAAAAATTACCTTCTCAGTGTAGACTTAGTTAATACTTAAATTACTTTCCCCAAAATATTTTATTGATGCACAAGAAAAAAGGGAGAAGAATTGCTAATTTGGAACAAGTAACTATAATAGACATGCCAACAGAAAAGTCATAGCATCTATTGATGAAAAAAACCCATGTTATTCTTATGCATTTGAAACGATTTACAATTAACATAAAAATGTGATTTAAAATCAGTATATAAAGCAGATTTGAAGAGACATTTTTAAATCATGATACAATGTCAACAGTATGCAAAGTTACTTCATTGAGAATCTCCTTCAAAAACTTTAATAGAAATTTCTTTCCAATTCTCACTGAGAAGATAATGACTAATTTTCATGTTAATGCTATGACCCTGATAGAGGGCAATTATCTATGAAAGCCAATCAAATATTCATTAAAGCTGAATAAATTTGTTATTTAACTTAACTGCCTTTTTTGAATCCTAAAGGCCAAATTTAAAATGATCTTATCAGGGTATTTTACTGCATCAGCTGACCCATGTTTTAAGGTGTTCTCTCTATATATACTCTAATTTATTAGAGTTATTTTAACTTCTAGATCAAATTTACATTAAATGGTCATAATCAATATGATGTATGAGAGCATAAAAATCCAGAATGCAACTATAGTAATAACAGTGAAGTAAAATTTGATACACTACCTCCTGGCTGGTCATGCACAAAGAAAGATGGTATTTAAGCAGTTGCTAATAAAATCAGCTGAAGCAGGTCCTCAAATAGGCTGATTCCGCCTTGTGATAAGCTGATAAAATGGAGAAGTAAACGAACCTGCATGCATGATATGTTTGTAACTGCATAATAATATATCCAAAGAGTCACAGGAATAAGAGATTGTATGTCATTTTTTCCCCTCTGAGTTAACTTGCACGTCAGATTTTCTTTCTAAAGAATAGCAAATACAGAATTTCTTCTTGAAGCCAAACTATATGAAATCTTGAAGTGAATTTTTCTGTGGAAAATTTAAAAGTGGTTGCTACAAAGTATACATCTTTGATAAATTTGTTCAGTTTTCTTTTATATATTTTTAAAAAAGCTCCTTTGACATGTATACCTGTGAACCCATAACCTATCTTAAAATGTAGAACATTGCTATTGCTTTGCATATATTCCTGTTATCTTTCACTTGCTCATCTTCTCTTCCTCTAAGTCAGAGATAAACACCAGCTGGAATTCTGTGTTTACCATTGCTTTTGAAAAAAATGTTTTACTGCATGTATTTCTAAACAACAAGCCATTGATGTGTATTTGTTTATCAATTTTGGAGAAACTGTATCACAGTATGTAGTATTTTAAAATGTCATATTTCATAGAAAATAAAATTTCCAAGATTAATCTATATTGAATATACTCCTTCATATATGTGGGTGTTCTTTTACATATTTCAATTTTTTAACATAATGGATGGGCAATATTAAACATTTTTGTTATTGGTATATTTCATTATTTAAAATGCAATCATATGGTTGTACAACTAATCTCCAGAATTCTTTTCATTTTGACAGACTGCAACTTTATACCCAATAAAAAATTCCCCCTACTGCCTCTCCCTTACCCCCAGCAACCACCATTCTTTTTTGGTTTCTATGAATATCTCTACTCTAGGTAACTCATACAAGTGGAATCATATAGTATTTGTCTTTGGGGGACTGGCTTATTTGATGTAGGATAATATCCTCCTCCAGATTCATCCATAATGTATCATGAGTTAGAATTTTCTTTATTTTTAAGGCTGAATCATATTCCATTGTGTGTATATACCACATTTTATCTATTTGTCCATTGATAGACACTTAGCTTGCTTCCACTTTTAGCATAGCATAAATAATTTTGCTATGAATGTGGATGTACAAATATTTCCTCAAGACCCTGCTTAAAATTCTTTTGTGTATATATCCAGAAGTATAATTGAGAAATCATATGGTACTTCTATATTTAATTTTTTAAGGTTCCTCCGTACTGTTTTCCTTAACAGCTGAACTATTTAGAGTTCTAATTTTTCTATGTCCTTTTCAATACTTATTTTCTGTTTTATTGTGTTTTGTTTTGCTTGGATATTAGTCATCATAATGGGTAGGAAGTATGTCATTATGATTTTGATTTCCATTTTCCTAGTGATTAATAATGTTGAGCATGTTTTAATATGCTTGTGGCCTTGATATATCTTCTTATGGAGAAATGTGTATTCAATTACTTTACCCATTTTTAAAATTGTATTGTTTGTTTTCCTGTTATTGAGTCATAGTTTTTTATATATTATGGATATTAATTCTTTATCAGATATATGATTTGGGAATATTTTATTCTGTTTTACAGGTTGACATTTTATTACCTTGATCTTGTTAAATATATTAAATATTTCAAATGGTTACAAAATAAATTTGTTTTATATTTTAGCAATCAGGGTATGGTGCATATATTGACAGTGCAGATTTCAGTGCAGTTTTCACATTTAAGATGTTGTATATTTGCATTTTATTTTTGTCTAATTATGTTACCTAAGTCTTCTGAAATAATAATAGTTAGAAACGTGATAACAATAAACCTTATGTTTTACTGATCATAAATAAATATTTCAAACATTTTTCTTCAATGAATATTATTTTTCCAACAGGTGCAGGATTACTGAAAAAGTGTAAACTTATTAAAGAGAGTTCTCATATACCCTGCACTTATTTACCCTCATTAATAACAACTTAAATTATTATGCATAATTTTTTGAATTAAGAAACAAATGTTAATATATTATTATTAACTAAAGTTCCTACTTTATTCATATTGACTTAGTTTTTATCATTTATTCTTTCTTTCTGCTTCAGAAATCCATCCAGGATAGCACATTACATTTAGCTGTCATGTTTCCTTAGGCTTGTTTTATCTATGCCAGTTCTCAGATTTTCCTTGATAGTCCTTAGACTGACTTACCTTGAAGGTTTTGAGGGATTCTGGGTAGATACTTTTTATGGGAATTTTCTATTTGAATTTTTTCCCAATATCTTCATCATAATTGGAATGGTGTTATTGGTTTTTGAGTGAAAGTCCACAGAAGTAAGTATAAACCATTAAATCAAAAGAATATACCATTAACTAGACTTATCGCTGTTGACATTGACCTTGGTTACCTGGCTAAAGTGTTTGTGAAATTTTTTCAATGTAAAGTTACCCTCCACCTCCCTTTTCATTCTGTGCTTTTGGAAAAAAAAACACTAACTAAAATCCACACTTAAGTTGTGAGAGGTTATGATCTATTCCCTTTAGGGTAAATTATGTACATGTATTTTTTGGAAAACTTATGCATGAAAGATTTATCTGTTCTCACCCATTTATTTACTTCATAAATCTATTATATATAGATTATATATAGATACTCATATACATTATATATATAATCTATTATATATAGATTGTATAGATATATATAAAGAGATTATGTAGATTATTTATATTGGTATATATATCAGTATGAACTCATGGATATTTATTTATATTTTAAATTAGAATTTAATACTACTTTATTTTATTCCTCAAATTCTTACAGTGTTGGTTATCAGGAGCTTTTTCATTAGGCTCTTTTATCCTTTTGATATATCACCCTCAGTGTGTCTGTCTGTGTGTATGTGTTTTGAGCTCTGTATTATCCTGTGCCACTATGAGAAGCTCTAGGCCCATTTTGTAGTTTTCCTTCCACAGTCAGACTCAACCCTTTCTCCAAGGAGTATCCTCTGTTGGAGAACTGCATTAGAAACTATGACCTTGATGCAAAGTATGATCATTACCACTGGGTTTCATTGCTTCCAGCAATGAAAAGAGGACATTATTAATTGTTATATGAGTACAACATTTATAAATGAGAACTGACTCAGACACATGTATATGCTTGTGTATATGTGTGTGTGTATGCATGTGTCTGTGTTTATGTATGTATGTATCTCTATCCTCACTCAGGATACTTCAGTGTGTCAGAGAAATAATAGAAAAAAAATTTATATGCATGTTTTTCTCCATTTCTACATTGATCACTTTATTAGGGATCTTATAAGCATTAGATGTTTTAAAACAACTTTATTGAGGTAGAATAAACTGTACCCATTTAAAGAGTACAAATGAAGTTCTTCTATAGATGTATTGATTTGTGAAATTATTACCACAATAAATATACAAAACATTCTTATTACTCCCATTTACATTATATTCATTCCTTCATTGATATGGGTTAGCTCTGTGTCCCCACCCAAATCTCCGCTTGAATTGTAATAGTCTCCATGTATTTTGGAAGGGACCTGCTGAGAGGTAATTGAGTCATGGGAGGAGGCTTTTCCTGTGCTGTTCTCATGATAGTGAATAAGTCTCATGAGAACTGATGGTTTGATAAAGGGGAGTTTCTCTGTAGATGCCTTCTTGCCTGCCACCATGTAAGATGTGCCTCTACTCTTTCTTCGAATTTTGCCATGATTGTGAAGCCTCCCTAGCCAGGTGGAACTGTGAGTCCATTAAACCTCTTTTTTTTTTAATAAATGACCCAGTTTCAGGTATGTCTTTATTTGCAGCATGAGAACAGACTAATACAGTAAATTGGTACTTGTTGAGTGGGGTACTTTTGTAAAGATACCTGAAAATGTGGAAGCAACTTTGGAGCTGGGTAACAAGGAGAGGTGGGAACAGTTTGGAGGGCTCAGAAGACAGAACGTGTGGGAAAGTTTGGAACTTCCAAGAGATTTGGAGAGCTCAGAAGACAGGAAGGTGTGGGAAAATTTGGAACTTCCTGGAGACTTGTTGAATGAATTTGACCAAAATGCTGATAGTGATATGGAAAATAAAGTACAGGTTGAGGTGACCTCAGATGGAGAAGAACTTTTTGAGAACTGGAGGAGTGGTGACTCTTGTTATGCTTTAGCAAAGAGACCAGTGGCATTTTGCCCCTTCCCTAGAGATTTGCCAGACTTTTAACTTGAGAGAGATAATTTAGGGCATCTGGCAGGAGAAATTCCTAAGCAGCAAAGCATTCAACATCTGACTTGCATGCTATGAAAAGCATTCAGGTTTACATATTCACAAAGATATAGTTTGAAATAGGAACTTATGTTTAAAAGGGAAGCAGAGCATAGAAGTTTGGGAAATTTGCAGCCTGATGATGCAGTAGAAAAGAAAAACTCATTTTCTGAGGAGAAATTCAAGCTGGCAGCAGAAATTTACATAAGAAGAGGAACCAAATGTTAATCAACAAGATAATGGGGAAAATTTCTCCAGGGCATGTCAGTCCTACAAGGCACCTCCTCTCATCACAGGCCTGGAGGCCTAGGAGGAAGTAATGGTTGTGTGGGCCTGGCCCAGGTCGCCCCTGCTGTGTGCAGCCTAGGGACTTGGTGCCCTACATCCCAGCCACTCCCCAGCCATGGCTAAAAGGGGCCAAGGTACTGGTTGGGCTGTGGTTTCCCAAGCCCCAAGCATTGGAAACTTCCATGTGATGCTAAGCCTGCAGGTGTACAGAAGTCAAGAATTGAGGTTTGGGAACCTCTGCCTAGATTTCAGAGGATGTATGGAAATGCCTGGATGTCCAGGCAGACATTTGCTATAGGGGTGGGGCCCTCATGGAGAACCTCTGCTAGAGAAGTGCAGAAGGGAAATGTGGGGTTGTAACCACCACCAAGAGTCCCCAGCGGGGCACTGCCTCCTGGAGCTGTGAGAAGAGGGCCACCATATTCCAGACCCCAGAATGGTAAATCCACTGATAGCTTGCATGGTATGCCTAGAAAAGCTGCAGACACTCAATGCTAACCCCTGAAAGCAGCTGTGAGGGAGGCTGCACCCTGCAAAGCAACAGGGACAGAGCTTCCCAAGACTGTGGAAACCCACCTTTTGCATCAGCATGGCCTGGATGCGAGACATGGAGTGTAAGGAGATAGTTTCAGAGCTTTAAGATTTGGCTGTTGACTGGATTTCGGACTTGCGTGGGGCCTCTAGCCCCTTTGTTTTGGCCAATTTCTCCCATTTGCAATGTGTGTATTTACCCAATGCCTGTATCCACATTGTATCTAGGAAATAATTAATTTGCTTTTGATTTTACAGGCTCATAAGTGGAAGGGACTTGCCTTGTCTCTGATGAGGCTGTGGACTATAGACTTTTGAGTTTATGCTGAAATGAGTTAAGACTTTGGGGAACTATTGGGAAGGCATAATTGGTTTTGAAATGTGAGTATATGAGATTTGGGAAAGGCCAGGGGTGAAATGATATGGTTTGGCTGTGTCCCCACCCAAATCTTACCGTGAATTGTAATAATCCCCACATGTCATGGGAGAAGCTTGGTGGGAGGTAATTGAATTATGGGAACAGGATTTTCTCATGCTCCTTTCATGTTAGTGAATAAATCTCATGAAATCTAATGATTTTACAAAGGGAGTTCCCTTGAACATGCTCTGTTGCCTGCCACCATATAAGATGTGACTTTGCTCTTGCTTCACCTTGATTGTGAGGCCTCCCCAGTCATGAGGAACTGTGAGTCCATTAAACCTCCACCTCCTGGGTTCAAGCGATTCTCCTGCCTCAGCCTGCCAAGTAGCTGGGACTACAGGTGCATGCCACCATGCCCAGCTAATTTTTGTATTTTTAGTAGAGACTGGTTTTCACCATGTTGGCCAGGATGGTCTTGATTACTTGACCTCATGATCTGCCCACCTCGGCCTCCCAAAATGCTGGGATTACAGTCATGAGTCGCTGCGCCTGGCCAGTATGCTCAATTTCTATGTTTATTCCATATAAATGTAAACATCTATTGTATGGGACGATTGGGCTGGTTTCATTAACATGATCCCACATGCTTTGCATTTTCTATAAATGTCTCACAATTTATTTCTGCTTATCATTATTTTATTCTAACACTATTTCACATTTATTTTTGTATTAATTATATATTGTATATCATAAGTTTGGGGGGATTAGCAAAAATGTGTTTGGTGTACTCCACATGTTTTAATCTATTCCACATAAGGTATTTTATATACTAGATAAATGTTGTGGGAAACTTGACAATAAATGGTGTTTTTCTAAGAGGAGAGTGGTGGGAGATAGAGAATGACATATTCGTGACTAGGAAACCATTTTAGGTATGAAATGGTTAAGACTTGTACCTGACCCACAGCTGTAGGTGGGTCAAGGCAAATGACTTTCAAACACTTGTAGGTTAAAATTTGTGCATGGATAATAAAGAAGTTTCAAGGCATACATTTAGCAGACTGAAACATTGTTTCATTTTTATTTTAGATAACAAAGAAAAAATTAGAAGTCTTATTTTAGTTTTTTGTTTTGTTTTGTTTTGTTTTTTTGAGATGGAGTCTCACTCTGTCGCCCAGGCTGAAGTGCAATGGCATGATCTCAGCTTACTGCAACTTCTGCCTCCCCAGATCAAGCGATTCTCCTGCCTCAGCCTCTTTTTGTAATGTAACTCTGTAGTCCCAACTATAGTTATCAGCTGAGACTACAGAGTTACATTACAAAAAGTTATTTTTTGAGTGAATTATTGTATTATAATTAATACCGTAATTGGTGTGGTTCAATAGGAATTTTGGGCCGGGGGGAGAAAAGAAGAAAAAGGTAGAGAAAATGAAAACCAGGAAAGAAGAGAAAGTAAATCAAGCTACATATTGGGACCTTCACTGAGAGGGTTATTTTGTGGAGTCTAATAAAGGAATATAAAAGGAAATGTAAATACAGGCATCGGGAACTTAGAAAGCATGTTGCACCTATTTTCAATATTTTCCTGATTTTACAATGTGCTTCTTAAAATGCATTTAAAAAACATAAAATCTTAAACATTTTTAAAAAACATCTAAGAACAATTTTCCCTAATATATGCCATGTCACACTTCATGGAAACTAGTGCTTCACAAGTGATTAGCGACCTAATGCAAATATGCTAAAGAAGAGTTACTTAATAACACATGGCCCATCTTAGCTGATTACTTAATTATATTTAGGAGAGGCAGATGTTTCTTGATGACTGTCTCTCAAACAGAGTATGTTATTTTTATTTGATGTTTCTCAATCTCTTTTTACTACTAAGCAATTTGATATGCTTTGTATTTAAGGTGGTAGTTACATAATATGTAATATTTTCACAATAAATATCTGAATATTAGAATTAAAATGAATAATCTATGATAATTATGAAACATTTCACCAAGTATTAAAATAGTAAAATAAATTAATTAAATGATTATGGATCTTAACATTGTTGAGAGAGAGTAAAAAAGACTTACAGATACTGAAACAAATCCTCTTCAACAATATACTTAAGTGAGATATCAAGCACCAAGGTAAAATATTTCAGATTCTTGTTATTTATTATTTAAAAATATCTAAATCTTAGTTTAAAATATTTCAAATGTGAAAAAATGTTGATTTTATCATTTTTATATCTGTTTATCTTTTGGAAAATTGAATAACTGAACAATGAAATTATTAATATTTAAATGCTGATGACTCATGATATTTTAAGACTTTAGGATGTGTAGCATCACTCGTTAGGAGAACTTGTTGAAGGATATCCCATCATAAAAGTCTTGGTAGACTGCTCTATTAATGATTAAATGTTCCTTCAGCACAGAATCAGCCTGACGAGTTTTTTGGAAGGCATGATTATCCCAATCATTGTTCTGTTTGTTTTGAGGTTTCTCCTCTAGATACCATGGTTTCCACTGTTCATGCTCTGATGAATCACAAGTCTCATTTGTCTTTTCCAGCTCCCCATGTTCTGTTTTTATTACTATCTCTCATCTGCTATCGTTTCTTGTTAAAAATTCATCCTGTGTGTGGACTGAAACATGGGGATAAGGTAGAGGTATTACTTTCCATGTGGCAATTACTTTAAATAGGTGATGTTTCCTAATAAAACATAAAGTTTGATAACTTAGGATGAACTGAAACGCTAGTATTTACAATTTTAAAAAATGCTCTGCCACATACAATGGCTCCACTTTGTAATAATTCTGGTGAAAAACAAAAAATAAAATTCATAAGACAGCCTGGCTAATGGTTCTTAAAGTCATAATCATAAGATTTCAGAGCGTTGACTGAGTCAACAGAAAGAAAGAATAAATATTTGTTTCTTCATATAAAGAGTAGATAAGTAGTTATTGTAGTATAGAGGCCATTTTGTCAATATATCAAATTCATGCAGTCATATTTAAATATTTCTTAACTCAATTTCTTAAATGGATTTTGGTATACAATATTTCTTAATATTAGAAACTAATCATAATAAGCAAAATAAGCATAGATGATCTCTTTATTTTCTCTAACTTTTTTTGTGTTACTCTTTGCTCTATCTAAACTCATCTAGTTTTCTTCAATATCTGAACATAATGTACTTTCTAATAATGGTTCTAAACATTTCATTTTCACTTACTCAAAGTAGAGAAAATATATCTTTCATAGTATATATTATTTTTTACAGATATCAGAAGTACCATTACAAAAGATATCATTGAGGAGGGTTTTATGCTGAGTTGAAACTTTTAAGAACTATATATTCTTTAGCATATGCTATGTTTAAACTATTATTTAAATATTTGAGATTATTCTAAAAACTGTCTATTACTACTTCTTCTCATAGATAGTCCAGGGCAATATATCTATTTCACCAAATGATATAGGTAAGATGAGGATAACCTTGAATTATGCACGATATTAAAATAATATTGCAACATGATTGAGGTTTTACTTCTGGGCAGCCAGGAAGTATCAACAGTATGAAATCTACATATTGACATTAGCATAAGTAGCTGTATAATTTTAAAATATTTGATAATATTTTAGAAAAACATTTTAAAATACATATTCGAGTTATTCAGCTGAATGAGTTTTGACAATTATATACACCTCCATAATACTATCCAAACAATATGTAAAATGTACCCATTCTCCCAGAAAATTCCCTGGTGCAATTTTTAAACAATTTCCCTGCCTCATCAACAACCATTTATAATTTCTATTACTGTGGTTTAGTTTTGCTTTTTCTTGTACTCCATATGAATGAAATGATACAATAACATGATTTTAGTATAGCATTTTCATAAATTTAAGATTCAATAATTTAGCATGGCATGGCAGTCATTCCCAGAGTTCTCAAATTGGTTAATACATTCAGTGCAATGACAATAAACCTGAGCAAGCATTTTAGAAACAAAAAGCACAGCCTATTTTATAATTTATTTGAAAAGTTTTAAATCTTGCTTAGTCAAAACAATACTGAAAAGGAAGAGCAAGGTTGAAGCTCTTACTATTCCCTGTTTTAAGACCTGAATAATTAATAATGTTGTGATACTGCCAAAAAGAAAAACATATACATCAATAAAATATAAGGGAATTCCCTAAAATATAGCCACATTTATATTATTAAAATAATTCCTAGCAAAGTTACAATTTGATTCAACTGATAATTAAATATAAGATTAGCATTTTAAATATTTAAATAAGATAATTCTAATGATCTTATAATGAAAGATAATGATAAGATAAACCTTTTAACAAATGGTGCTGAAATAACGATATGTAGGCAGGCAAAAACATAAAATAAATCTCAACTCTTACCTCACACCGTACATTAAAGTAATTCAAAATATGTAATAGATTTTAATTAAAAAAACTTATTAAAACTCTGAAATAAAACACAAAAGAAAATCTTTGCGACATAAGATTAGCCAATGATTTCTTAAATAAACCTAAAAAGACCATTAAAATGTTGATTACTTGGACTTTATCAAATTTAAACTTTTGTACTTTGAAATAAATAATGAAGTATGTTAGATATCAGCAACTGACTGGGAAAAAATAGCAATGTAACTGACATAAGAATTTTTTCCAGAATACAGAAAAAACTCATAACTCAAGAAGACAATTAATTTAATTTTAGAATAGGCAAATAATTTGAACAGACACTTACCAAAAGAAGATATATGAATGGCTAATACACACAGTAAAAGGCACTATACTTGACCAGTCATCTGGTAAATGACTAAAACCAAAATGAGATACTAGCACACAGACACTAGTATAGCAAACATTAAAAGAACTGACATTATCCATGTTGGCAAGGATGTGAGGCAAAGGTATATATTGCTGTGGGAAGTAAATTTGCACAATTTTTGTGAAAAACAGTTTGACATTTCATAAAATGTTAAACATACACTTACTATATAAACCTGAGATTTCACTCCTAGGTATTTGCTCAAGAGAAATGAAACATTTGAGTTGATACAGAAATTATAGTGATAGTAGCAGGGCAGGTGAATTCCTATGCAGGAAGGGATGGATGCCCCCTGTAAGTCGACCTTCAAGCCAAGAACAGTCTAAAGCCTGAAAACTTAGGGGCCAGTTCTGGATAGAATCCATGGACCAGAGTGAGGACTACCACTCATGTTTGGCAGTCTTCCTCCCATTTAGTCCTTACCTTTCACCTATTTCACATATACCTATCTTTGTGTGATTGGTCATGGGCTGAGTCTTCATTTCCATAGTCTGAAATGTCACTCCAGCCCCTGAATGGTTGCCGGCCAAGACGTCACTTGTCACTTCTGCCTCCAGTTGGTTCGTTGCAGTATCATATCTCTTTCTGAATGATGCTTTTTCCAAAACGGCTCCCAGACTAGTCAGTGCACGTCTCTTCCTTCCCAGTCCAAAAAACCCCAGAACTTAGCCCTGTACCTGGCAACCCTCTTTTGGGTCCCCTCTCTGCTGAGAGCTTTTTCTGTAACTTAAAAAATCCTATTCTGCCTTCCTCAGTCTCCGGTGTCCATGTGCCTTATTCTTCCTGATCATGTGCCATTACAAAATGTGATCAAACTGTACCTTTAAAATAAGTAAGTTTTATTGTTTTTTCAGATTTGTATTATTTATTGGATTATTTATTGTTAATTTGATTTATTTTCTTTTTTAATTTGTAAGGGCTCTTTATTATGGTTAAAATGCTTTTATCAACTCTATGCTTGTCTAGATGGTTGTCAGATATATTTAAATTATACTTAAATAAAGCAAAGAAAACATGTGAGTATGGTAAATATTCTGGGGTGGAAACCACTAAGTAATTAATGTTGGTTCACAGTTCACACAGATGCACAGTTGTGTGTGTATGTGTGTGTGTCTAGGTTGGGAGAGTGTGGGAAGAGATGAAAGGGTTTTGCATGGTAGAGAGATTATTTCATTTTAATTTATATACCTTTGCATTTTTATTTTTCTTTAAACACAGTAACCTTAGTGCTGACTATTGGTCATCTTGTGTACCTAATTATGCATGTAAATAAAAAATTATATGTATGTTGTATTTTCCTATCTTTAAACTGATAGTATCTCCTCCTTACAAAGTGTAAATGTGAAGATTAATGAACACCTAATCAAATAAAATATATACTGTATAATATTTTGTAATCCAAGTTCTACAAACACATTTTTAACATACTTACATAATATAAAAATTAATATTAATTGCATAAGCCCTGAAAGTGGTAAGCTAAATCACTCAAAAGTGAAATACAAGTAAACTATTTGCCAGTGAGTGAACTTACCTATTATAGGAACAAACACAATATTTATTTTCTGACAACTGATTTTAATTTAATTACTTTTAAAAATTATTATTTTTACAGTCGTTTCTGATTTCTTTTCTAAGTTGGCCTATATACTAGCTAAGGCAGCAGTCCCCACCCTTTTTGGTACCAGGGACTGGTTTCATGGAAGACACCTTTTTCCACGAACTGAGGTGGGGGTGGGGATGGTTTTGGGATGATTCAAGCACATGTTTATTGTGCATTTTATTTATATTATTATTGCATTGTAATATAATAATAAAATAATTATATAACTCACCATAATATAGAATTAGTGGGAGCTCTGAACTTATTTTTCTGCAACTTAGATGGTCCCTTCTGGTGGCGATGGGAGACAGTGACTGATCATCAGGCATCAGATTGTCATAAGGAGCATGCAACCTAGATCACCTGCATGACTAGTTCACAATAGGGTTTGCACTCCTATAAGAATCTAATGCCAAGGCTGATTTGACAGTAGGTGGATCTCAGGTGGTAATGCGAGTGATGGGAAGTGGCTGTAAATACAGATGAAGCTTTACTGGCTTGCCAGCCTCTCACCTCCTGTTCTGTGGCCCAGGGGCTGGGGATCCCTAAGCTAAGCTATGTTGGGTAAAATAAAATCCAAGAATGCTTTTATTATTACAAACATCAACATATATCGCTATATATTTAAAGACGTTAGGGATAATTTACAAAAAGATAAAAAGTAAGCTTGTAATAGTGATATAAAAAGGAAGGCATTTGAAAGTTAAAATTGTCTTCAAACAAAATATATATTTGCTTTATTGCATTGAGAAGAGATCCAGACACAATTTCAGTTTGCTAAGTAAGTTTTTCAAGATCTTCTGAATACAGTGAATCAAAAGATCACTTAAAATTTCCTATCTTTAGGTTAGCCCATATTGAACTAAGAGCAATAATTTTTTACTCCCCAATTTCATACTCCTTCTAATCTACAAGGAAAAGTAGGTGTTTGTGTGTTTGTGTGTGTGTGTGTGTATGTGCTTGTATGATGTTTTTATAGAAATTTAAAGGTTAAATATAGAGAATTCTCTTCAGAAATATTCGTTTTCATAAGAAGTTTAATTTAGTCTACATCTATGTTTAAATTGATGTGTTTTTTTTTTTTTACCTGTGAGTTGGGGGCAATTTTTCGGTATATTGTATATTCTACTAATTAAGAATGGAGAAAAGATTAATAAAGGTATCAGTGACACGTCTTTTGGTCATGGACTTACTCTAACTACTGGAAATTTGTCACTTGCCATGGCTAGTGTCTTTTCAAAGGCAAACAATTTCAAAGTGATTAAAAGTACCTAGCATGATTGTCCACAAATATGAGGACCAGATTAACACAAACAAACAATTTTTGGTCAAAATAAGACATCCCAAGTAATTTTTTGTGTACTCACTTTTGTTCCCCAAAATAAGTCACAGGGCTGTGAGCAACTAAGGAAGCAGAATTTCTTAGAAACAGACTATATTTTTTCTGTTCCTAGGCAATAGAAATGGAAATAGCCTACATTCTCTCCACATTCTTATGATATATATTCTGTGAGCTACTTTCTTCTCTTTTGATAGAATCTTCTCTGGAGAACCATGTCAGTACTTAAGCAAAACTGCCAAACAAAAGATTATTTTGAAACAATCACAGGCTTTACAAAAATTATCAATTTAGTCTGAACACTAATCAGCTTATTGACAAGCATCTTGTAAAGTAAAATGTTACTCCAAGTTTCTCAAAAGAATATTTAACAGTAATTCACCCTCTTCAAAAATAGATTAATGAAAGAAGAATAAGAGAAATGACAAGGGTAAAAGGGTAAGGCTAAGGGCAAGGGTAACAAAAAGTTACTGGCCACCATACTGATGGTCAATGATCGCTCATTGAAGGAGTAATCACACAGGAAAACTCCACAGATTAATTTTAAACAGAGGCTATCAAAATTTTGAAAGTAAGTTTTTCATATGTATAGAAAGTATCCCTTTTCATTTTAAGCAATTTTCTGAAATAGGCATGCTTTCTATAATATCAAAGAACAATATTTATCATTTAAAAAGATAGCACCATTAGTGAATAGTCATCAAGTACAACTTTGAAAAATCAAATTACCTAAGGAATAGACACTTTCACATGTATCAAGGCAATTTACAAGTTGCAAATTAAAGCTCTAAAAGGAAACCAATTAAAAGGCAACAGAATTAAATGTCATTATTTTCTTATTAACTATAAGTGCTATTTTAGTACACTGAGAGAAAATTACATACAAAGCAAAACCAAAACTATGAAATTCTAGCTTATCTTTTAACAGAATATGAGTCTTGGAATTCTTAGTTTAGGTTATATTTTATGATATGAAATTACACACAAGATCTTCATAGTTCAGTGGATATTATAAAAACATAATTTATTTTTGATCCTGGAAATAGAATATTATTTTTCTACAACATTTTCTCAGTAAAATGCATTTTAGTTGCATAAACTTTTTAATTTAATATTATAAATATTTTTTATTTGCCTAAGTGAACAGAATCAAAATAAAATGTAAACACTATTCGGTAACAGTAGTTAAACAATTATAATAAACCCACCTTCATTATTATCTTTTTGTTTCCTTACATCTAAAAAAAAAATTAAACCACCTTCTTCTCATGCCAGGACATTCTCACATAACTTGAAATGTGATTATGTATTAGGTGTGTTATCATCAATGGGAATGATGGCATTTTATGATAAAACTCAGTGATATAATATTTTTATTTTTAATGGCCCTATATGTATGGATCAGAACTTATGTAAACAATAACCTGTATTTATTTTTTGTGTTCGTAATGCCATAACCACTGCTGTGAAGACCCTGTTTTCAGCATAACTTCGTTGTTGTATATTTGATGAGAGTGTCAAGAATAGACAATAAGGAAAATATGGTCTTCAATAAATAGTGTTGGCAAAACAGGATATTTACATGCAAAGGAATGAAATTAAACTCATATCTTAAAACATATACAAAAATAAACTTGAAATTATTTAAATATTTAGTGTAAAACCTAAAACTGTAAAAATCCTTGTGGAAATCATACAAAAAAAACCTCCTTGACCTTGACCTTGGCAATTATGTCATGGATATAACACCAAAAGCATAGGCAATGAAAGCAAACATAAGCAAGTGGAATTGCATCAAACTAAAAAGCTTCTCCACAGCAAAGAAAACAAAAAAATAAAAACTAAAAAGGCAACCTAAGTAATGTGAGAAAATATTTGGAAACAGTATATTTGCCAAGGGGTTAATATCCAAAATATATAAAGATCACACACAACTCAATAGCAACAAAACAAATAACTCTATTAAAATGAATTAAGGATCTCCATGTAAAATTTTCCAAAGATATACAAGTGGCCGCCAGGTATATGAAAAGGTGGTCAACATAACTAATCAATAAGTAAATAGAAAACAAATTCAAAGTGAGATATGACACATATTAGGATAGCTATTATCAACAAGACAA
Organism: Homo sapiens; assembly: GCF_000001405.40. Taxonomy (NCBI): domain Eukaryota; kingdom Metazoa; phylum Chordata; class Mammalia; order Primates; family Hominidae; genus Homo; species Homo sapiens. The sequence continues at coordinate 43,109,123 of NC_000014.9, read as the reverse complement.
GAGATAAAAAGCATTGTTAAGGATGAGTAGAAAATAGAAGGCTTGTACATTTTTGGTGGGAATGTTCATTGTAAAAGCATTTTAAAGAAAACAATATGAAGATTGCTAAAAAATGTAAATAGAACAACCATGCATTCCAGCAATTTTACTTCTGGATATAAACGTAAAGAAAATGAAATATGTATCTTAAATAAGTATCTACATCCTCATTTCTACTGCAACATTATTAGTAATATCCAAAATGCATAAACAATCTAAGTGTTCATTGATAGATGAGTGGATAAGGAATAGGTGGTATATTCATACACTGGAATATTATAAGAAGGAAATCCTGTTATTAGCAACAATATTATGAAAGATATTTTGTTAGCTGAAATAAGTCAGACACTGAAAGAAAAGTAATGCATGATCTCATTTATATGTGGAATTTTTTAAAAGTCAAACTCATAGAATCAGAGAATAAAACAGCTATTGACAGGATGGAGGATAGAGGAAACAGGAAATGTCGAAAGAGTACAAATTTTGCTTATAAGATGAATAAGTTCTGGAGGTCTAATATACAGGATAGTGACTATAGTTAATAATAATGTATTGTTTACTCAAAATTTATTAAGACAGTAGGTCTTAAGTGTCCTCACTGCACACACATGCAGATATACAAGGGAATGGCAACTAAATGTGGTAATTACTATATTAATTTGATTGTACAAATAATTTCATAATGTATATGTATATCAGATAATTATGTATATCTTTAATATATGCAATTTGTATTTGTCAATTATGTCTTAGTAAGCTGAAAAGAACAAAAACAAAATAAAAGGAGTAGCGATAAATTCTTTTAAAGCAGTAAAAAAATCACTTATTTTATGTGCTAAAGTGATTCTTTTTCAGAATTAAATAATTTCTATAACCTCAAACGTGTTTTTGTTAATTCTCAAATAGATGTTACATTTAGAAAATTCACCCAGTGTTTAATTTCTTCAAGTTAAAAGTTTTGTAAGGCTATAAATAGGAAACTATACATTCATTCAAAAATATTAATTAAATGTTTATATGTTTGTGTGTGTGTCCATGTATGGAGTTGTTTTTTTTTTTTTGAGACGGAGTCTTGCTCTGTCTCACTCATCAAAAATATACTTTTCTTTAGTTTTTGCATGCATTTGTCTTTAATTCTTTGAACATATTTTCCATTAATTACTCTAAAATATTTATAATATCTGATCTTAAGTTTTCTGTCTGTAAGAGCTAACTCCTTGGATATCTCAGGGTGAGATTCTTTCTTTTTTTGTGTCTTTGTTTGAGAGGGAGCCTTGCTCTGTTGCCCAGGCTGGAGTGCAGTGGCACAGTCTTGGCTCACTGCAACCACCATCTCCTGGGTTCAAGCAATTCTCCTCTCTCAGCCTCCTGAGTAGCTGGGATTACAGGCGCCCACCACCATGCCCCAGCTAATTTTTTTTTTTTTTGGTATTTTTAGTAGAGACAGGTTTTGCTATGTTGGCTATGTTGGCCATGTTGACCAGGCTGTTCTAAAACTCCTGACCTCAGGTGATCTGCCCACCTCAGCCTCCCACAGTGCTGGGACTGCAGCTGTGAGCCACCGCGCCTGGCCCAGACTTTCTTTATGAAAGAAAAACAGATTTACTATGGATTACCAAGTTAAGAGAAGGTGAAGAGCAGAAGTCTGAAGGAGTTGCGCAAACCATATGGACATGTGGACACCTGGAAAGGACATTTTAAGCAGAGGTTACAGAAGTCCGAAAGCCCCTAAAACAAGCACATGCCTGAAATATCGTGAGGATCAGGAGGCCTGCGTTAGCAATGTAAGCCAAATTCTGTGAGAGAAGGGAGAACAACAGAAAATTAAAGCAAAGCTATAACAGAAGCAATTGCTGGATTTACTCTAAATGAGATGGGAAACCATTAGTTGTATTTTGTCAGAATAATGATATTATGTGACTTAATTTAGGGAAGAATCATCCCACTTTTTGTATTGAGAACAGATTTGGGGAAGTAGTGGCAGGAAAGTGTAGAAGTTGGAAGATCCTTTAGTAGGAATATCCTCTTGCAATAATACGATGTTGATCCAGGATCTTAATTATGGAAGCATTAAGTAGAACAGATTTGAAGATGCACTTAACACAATTTGCGGTGCACTCTGAAAAAAAAATGAAATGAGAGAAATTAAAATGACTCCACAGTTGCTGTCCTGAGTATCTAGAAGAACGAAGTTGTAATTTACTTGAATGGAGAAGACAATTCGGGGAGCACGTCTGCATGAAAAATGAATCATCTGGTTTGAATAAGTTAGGTTGAAGATCTAAGAGAGACAAGTACTCATAACATATTAGTTTAAAGTTCAAGGGACAGGCAGGGGTAGAGACCTCAAACTGAAAATCCTTTACATCATGTCACGAGGAGACCAAATTCAGATTACAAAAAATTAGATGTAAGTGAGCTGAAGAGAAACCAGCAAAGAAAACAAGAAAAAGAAAATACAAAAGAACAGGAGAAGTAAAATTGTGGCAGAACAAAATTTTCTTCATTTTACATAAAAGGGGATATAACGAGGCAAAAGTTAATCTGCAATTCTCATATGAAATATTTGAATTAATGTAGAATAATAGCTCATATTACATGAAATAATTTATAGGTGATTGCCAATAAATATTACTCATATTCTGAAAGAAATATTAGGTCCAGCCCTCATTGAGCATCATCTTCATTGACTAGAAACTGGATTTTTAAAAATTAAGTAATCTTATAGTAAATATCTCAAATTGTAATTATGAGAAGTAGCATCAATAATACTAACAATTGTAAATATTAAATGGCATGAAACATTATTTTTAGTATAAATTATATGATTTCTAAAGCAAAACTGAGTAAGAAAAAAATGAACAGAACAACATAATAATGCCCCAATGTACTACAGATTTAGCATCATACTGTCAGAACAGAAGGCATTACATATGGGAAACAGAACTAGACAATTTCTGTATTTTATATTATTAAAGAAATGCAATTATCATCATAAGCACTAACTTAAATGATTGGTTAATACAGCTTTCTCCAGTAATTGACAAAAATCTAACAAAGTATTTTCCTAATAATGCAAATCTTTGATCCTTTTTTCTCTTAAAATATTTATGTCAGCAATACAATGAATAAATAATAGACTAGAAATGAAGTAAGATATAAACTGTTTTCAATATTCTGCTAAAAAAGTAGTAGTGTGATATTGAGGGTGGCTATTAATTACTTTTCTCATTTTAAGAAAGAAAAACAGACACTTAAATTTCTAATGATTCATCTATAAAATTATTAGGCAATACATGTTAACAGTGACTTAGAATATCAGAAATACATACTTACAAACAAACAAATAAATATAATTTTATTTTAGAGTGAGATACAGAAGGTAATGACAGGCTTATGCCCCCACTGCAACTATGGAAGGTAAAGGGATAGTTGCCAGGAGTGAGAAAGTCTTCAGACCATGCTACTCGTGTGACACTAATATGTGAAAGGACAGGAGGATGTGTAGGAAGAATCTCAGGTTGTGATATAGATCTAAGGAAGTCTCAGTGATAAAACTGAGTAGTCCAGGAGGAAAGACTGACTCAGCAGGATCTAGTGTGCTCAATCGTCATGGGAGGGCTGCCTGTAGAAAGCATGGCCTTTGCTCAAATGCCCTGATGATTCCTCAAAATGCTGCAGCTGGATGCTCTAAGCTACCTGTACTACTCATGGCAGCTCATCTATTGAAGTAATATCTAGTAAAATCTAAGCATTGGATCTCTACATCTGATGAAGTCAATAATTTCTAAACCAAACTACATACTTATCCTATGACTTATCATTGCCATTTCTTGTTATTTACTGAAGACTAAGATATTATGTCTACAAAAAGACTTATGGAAGAATGGCAAACCAAAAATAATTAAAATGCCTGTTATCAGGAGGAGAGGAGAATAGATACAAACATAGTATTATATTCACAGAATGGAATACATTTAAAACAAATAAGTAAACAAATACATATATGTAAATAGATAAATCTGATAAACAGCTAGAAATGTAAACATACATAAAAAAACAAACTACTAATACTTAGGACAACATGAATGGATGACTCTCAAGTACATTGTATTGAGCACAAGAAGTCAAGTACAAGAATAATTTATGGTAAACGAATTCAAATAGTGGCTCCTTCCCCATGAAAGTAGAGGGATAGAGAAGAAACAAAGGATTTTTGATTGACCAATGTCACAAGGGATAAAAATGTCTTCAAATTAATTAGGATTGCCTGAGGATAATCAAGAAATATGTGTAAAAATAATAAATAATGTGAGGAGTAACCTTATTAGATATTATGACATAATAATTATACTGATATCAACAATTATATATATATACACATAAACACATGTATATATCTGTGCATAAATATACCTGTATGCTTCATGTATATGTATGTAAATGAACCATTGAATTAAAATAACAAAGCAGAAGAAGAACCAAGCATAGATGTTAATGAAACATGTGTGTATGTATACCTACATATACACGCAAATGAAGATATATCATTGCATAGCATAAAGATATGAACTCCAGACCCAAACAATGTCACTTTGAAACCTAACTCCATCATTTCTTAACTGTGAAAATTAGGCAACATGTTTAAATTCCCAAAGGTCAGTTTTCTCATTTACGTTATGGGAATACCATAATTGTTAACTTTTGTGAATTGAATATTCTGTTCTCTTGATCTATGTGTCTGTATGCATACCAGTACCACACTATTTTGTTTACTTTCATTTTGTAGTATGATTCAAATTCAGGAAATGTGATGCCTCCTGCTTTTTTCTTTTTTTTCTGAGAATTGCTTTGGCTATTCAGGCTCTTGTTGATTCTGAATTAACTTAAGTATTTTTTTCTAAGTCTATAAAAAATCATGTTGATAATTTAATACAAATTGTGTTGAATCTATAGATTGCTTTGATCATTAAAGTCATTTTCATGATATAGATTCTTTCAATCCATAAGAATGGGGTTGTGTCTCTGTTTGTATCATCTGTGATTTTTTTCATCAGTGTCTTGTAGAGATTTTTCACCTTCTTGGTTAAATGTAAGTTTTTAAAATTTTTTTATAGCCATTGTAGATGAGAATGAGTTCTTAATGTGCTTCTCAGCTTGAACACTATCAGTGTATAGAAATGCTACATTATTGTACATTTATTTTGTGTTCTAAAACTTTGCTAAAGTCATTGATCAAATCTAGAAGATTTTTGGAGGACTCTTTAGGGTTTTCTAGTTATAAGATTATGTCATCAGCAAACAGAAATAATTTGACCTCCTCTTTTCCAATTTGGATGCTTTACATTTTTTTTTCTCTTGCCTGATTGCTCTGACTAGGACTTACAGTACTATATTGAATAGAGGTGTTAAAAGTGAACATCTTTGTCTTGTTCCAGTTGTTAGGTGGAATGCTTTCAAATTTTCCTTGTTCAGTATGATGTTGGCTGTGGGTTTGTCATATATGGCTTTTATTATTTTAAGGTGTTCTTTTGATACCTAGTTTGTTTAGAGTTTTTATCATGTTGTATTTTATTGAATGCTTTTTTTATTGTAACATGAGTTTCTTAATTGGAAATCTTTCTATACTTCTGTTGTAGGCATTTAACACTATAAACTTTTATTTTAGCACTGCCTTTTCTGTATCCCAGAGGATTTGGTATGTTTGTCTTTATTTTCATTTGTTTCAGATTTTTTTAATTTCTGCCATGATTTCATTATTTATTCAAAGATCATTCAGGAGCATATTGTTTAATTTCTATCTACTTGTGTAGTGTTGAGAAATTGCTCTTGATATTTATTTCTAGTTTTATCCATTGTTGTCCAAGTAGATACTCAATCTGATTTTGATTTTTTTAAAATTTATTGAGACTTGCTTTATGGCCAAGTATATGGTCTATTGTGTAGAATGTTCAATGCACAGATGACAAAAATGTGTGTTCTGCAGTTGTTGCATAGAATGTTCTGTAAATGTTTATTAGGTCCATTTGTCTAGAGTCCAGTTTAAGTTCAGAATTTCTTTGTTGATTTTCTGCCTCAATAATCTGTTTAGTGATGTCAGTGTGGTGTTGAAGTCCCCTAGTATTATTAGATTTATGTCTGTCTCTTTTCTTAGGTCTAGTAGTATTTGCTTTATGAATCTGGGTGCTCTGGTGTTGGGTGGACATATAATTAGAATTATTCTATCTTCTTGTTGAATTGAACCCTTTATCATTATATCATGACATTATTTGTCTGTTTTGTAGTGTTGGTGGTTTAAAGTCTGCTTTATCTAATATAAATATAACTATCCCTACTCATTTTTGGTTTCTTTTTGGATGGAATATCTTTTCCACCATATTTTTTGAGACTGAAAATGTTCTTACAACTTAGGTTTCTTGAAGAAAGCTTGTTTTTTTTATAAACTCCATCATCATTCTATATTTTTATGTGGAACAATTATTTATGTTCAAGGTTAATATTTATATGTAAGGGGCTTGTTCCTATCAAATGTTAGCTGTCATGCCGATGCTTTGTAGTCTCAATTGTGTAATTGCTTTGGATCTGTGACCTTTGTATTTTCATGGACTTTTAGGAGGCATATATTTCCTTTCATTTCCATGTTTAGAATTCCTTTGACCATTTCTTATAGGTTCAATCTAGTGATGACACATTATCTTAGCCTTTGCTTCTCAGGGAAAGTCCTTATTTCCTCTTACATACATGAATCTTAGTTTGGCAGGATAGAGCACTCTTGGCTGGTGGGTGTATTTTTTTTTTTTAAGCAGGCTGAAAATAGGCCTCAATCTCTTCTAGCTTGTAAGGTTTCTGCTGAGAAGTCTCCAGTTAGTCTGATGGCATTTGCTTTATAGGTAATTAGACAAACTCCTCTCTTGTAGCTTTCAATAGTTTAGTTTTTCACATTTACTTTGGATAGTCTGATGATTATATGCCTTTATAATGTTTTTCTTTCACAGAATCTTTCATGTGTTTTCTGAGCTTCTTGTATCTTGATGTCTAATTCTCTAGCTAGACCAGGGAAGTTTTGCTAAATTATACAGTCATATATGTTTTCCAAGCTTTTCAATTTTGTTTTCCTTCAGGAATGCCTATATCTCATAGGTTTGTTTGCTTTGCATAAGACCAAATTTTTGAAGACTGTTTATATTTTTAATTATTTTTTTTCTGGCTAGTTTCATCCAAAGGACAAGTCTTCAAGCTCTGAATTTTTTCTTCTTGGTCTACTCAAAAAAGCTTTCAATTATAATTAGTAATTCCATCCGTGATTTTTTTTTTCTTTCCAGCAGTTCTATTTTTGCAATCTAGATCTTTTTAGTAAATTTTTCACTCATATCCTGAATTGTTTCTCTGATTTATTTGTATAGATTTTCAACTTTCTCGGGGACTTGCTGAGCTTCCTTGCAATCTAAATTTTGAATACTTTATCTGTAATAACAGAATTTTCATTTTGGTTAGCCTCCATTGCTGGAAAGGTAGTGTGATTCCTAGAAAGTATTGTTTAACTGTTTTTTTGTTTTTGTATTGCCAAGGTTTTTACATAGATTTTTTCTCTGTCTGGAGAAGCTATCACTTCTTATTTTTGAACTTGCTTTCATTCTGATGGGACTTTTTTATTTTCCCAAATTGACGGTATGACTGTAATTATGTTGTATATGATTGTTTGGCTTCAATTCTAGCTGCTTTCAGATAGAGAAGGCTCTGTATGAGTCCCTTGTTTATAGATAGCTTTTGCATAGTGGCTTTCTCATATGCTGATTGTAATAACAATGTTTTGGGAATATAAGCAGACTAACTATCCTCTTTAGTTCTGGAAGTGCAGAGGTCTTGGGAAGCTTATCTCATTCCCTAGCATGAAGGCCTTCTGTCAACAGATGTTTCATTTGGATGTTCAGTTCAATCTCCAGTCCAGTAGTTGTCACTTATGAGTAAGAACTGGCTCACTCTTAGATACTCCAAAGACTATGGGAAGCATGGGCCCAAATGGGGATGGCAAGGAGAGTTCATGGTGAGATACACAAAGGTATACGGTGGAAGAGGGAGGTGCACCAGCGACATACACTAGGAAGGCAGGAAGGCAATCCACTTTCCTATCATAACCCTGTTCCATGGCTCCTGGCCTTTAGTTCAGATAGGCAGTTTTTATCTCTAGGTTGCAACGGAACTGATGTTTGCAGAACATTTCCATCCCACAGCTACCGCCAAAATAGTCCTGGGGCAGAACATCTTTCCTTAGCCCAAAGAAGACAGCTCTGCAGCTGGACCACACTCCGCAACAGGAATCCTTCTGCTCTGTGTAGGAAGGGGCCGGGGGAAAACTTTCAGTGGGTGTACAGCCACTTTCAATAGCCCTGGAAAACTGTCCTCGGGTGCACTCTCAAGCAAACCCCTGAAGCAACTTCAAGCAGAAAGATCGAAATTGTGTCCATTCCAGTGGATAAGGGGGCAAAATATTCCCTCTCCGTGTCCATTCCTGGTCACTGGTGCCACCTGTCACCTGGGGTAGAACCTCACTTCTCCCCTTTGGAGCCTGGTACCATACTCTCTTCTCCAGTAGGTAAAGGCACAGTCACCTTCTGCTCAGAAGCAGGGAATCTCAGGCAGGGGAGAGTACACAAACGTTTTCTTTGACCAAAGAGTGCTCTGACACACTGCATTCCCTTTCCCCTAGGGGTAGCCCATGTTGAGGGCAAGACCTCCAGAAATCCTGCAGCACCTCCGGGTCTTGACAGTTCCCCTGTAGTTGCCACGGTCTCAGTGGGTTCTACCGGGTTGTTTGCAGGAAATCAACTCATGTGGAGACATTAAGGGCTGAGATTCTCTGGGCAGAATGGCAGCACACAGCCAATAAAGTGCCCACCTCCTCAGCTTGGGTTTGACGTGAGGGTGAATGAAACTTTGCGAACTGGCCTCCTGATGCTCTGCTCCCAAGGACTCCTCAAATGGCCACCAGCAGCAGTTCCTGGGCTTGGGGGTGCAGAGGAGCTCACCACCATTTTGGCAGTCAGCAATCTGGGGCAGGTGGAAGGGGAGCAAAGAAACACCCAACCTACTCTTTTCATGGGATTACAAGTTCCTCAGGGGGCATTAGCTTCCAAACTCTTGCTGCCTTCTTTTTCTGCACCCCAGATTCATCCCATGGGTTCTCTGACAGGTTCGGAAACTCTTCCTTCAGTATTCTACTCTGGCCATGATCATTTACCTGTAACTTTGGTTTTTATTTCTGAGAAGAACCAGTAGCTAGTGTCTGCAGTCAGCCATCTTGGAAACAAAAACAAAAATAAAAACAAAAAAAATGGGTCTTATTTAAGAAAATATTTTCCTTCTATTAATTCAATCAAATTGTCACACATGTTAAATTTCATGAAAAAATTCTTTATTTTCTAAGCATTTACCCTACATTTAATTAACCTATAATAATGTGACATGGTAATAAATTTATTGCATAAAATGTATTTAAACCTAAATATAATTATCTTACTTGGCAATAATTTGCTTTAGTTGGCTTATTATCTCCTCATATTACATTTTACTGCTTTTAGCATGGGGCTCTTTAAGCCAAATTTATTAAATATTACCAGTCAACCATACAAATAGAAGAAAAATATTTACCGGCCCACTAAATGTTTTACAAGCCCTTCTGCCTTTGTGACATCCCAAGTGTAGTAAAATTAATGCAATTGTCATTCTTCCTGATTCATTCAGCAGTTCTTTTTCTCCAAATCCATAATAAATGGCTGTTTTTTTCTAAAGTCTATTCATTAATTGTGAATTGTACTTGATTTGGCACATTGAGTATAATAAGTCATGATCTTTTAATGTCTGGACAATGACAAAATAAAATATTTCTTATATAACAAATATTGAAATACATTAATGTATATTTTAAACCTGAATATTTAAGTACAATACTAGAGAAGGGAGAGAATATAGTTAGGACAATAAATTATTGAACAAGTGATTTTTCTGTGATGACTATACCCATTTTCCAAAAACTAATTTCATTTTTGGTGTGTGTGTGAAGAAAGTTTGGAGGCTTCAGTTTCAATCACTGTGCTCAATACTTAATTTTCCATTATTCACAGAGAAATTGTTTTTCTGGAAATTGGCAAGAGGAAGGAAGTAATAATAAAAGATGACTTATGCAGATCCCATGTGACCATCTTACATTCTTACTCTTGTGCCACTGTTTCCCTGGCAGTCCGTTACTGGTTTAAAGAGCACTGGGATATAACTCTAGAAATACGGATTATTTTCTCACCTCTGACACTCATTCATGGTGGAGCCTTAACCTTAGTGCCAAGGTTATTGGCATTTAACTTTACTATTTAACCTTGCTGAACTACAGTGTCCTTCCTCAATGTCAGAAGAAGCTTAGATAGTTAAATAACTTCTAAGGATTATCTATCTGGATTATTAGGATTTTTCATCATTCTTGGCGTGATTGTCACAAGAAAACAGGACATAGCTAGTGGCAAGTGCATCCTCACTCAAAGTTACTTTTTTTTTTTTTAATACAGAGTCTTGCTCTGTCACCCACGCTAGAGTGCAGTGGCGCAATCTCGGCTCACTGCAGGCTCCGCCTCCCGGGTTCACGCCATTCTCCTGCCTGAGCCTCCAAGTAGCTGGGACTACAGGCGCCCGCCACCACGCCCAGCTAATTTTTTGTATTTTTAGTGGAGATGGTGTTTCACCGTGTTAGCCAGGATGGTCTCGATCTCCTGACCTCATGATCCGCCCGCTTCGACCTCTCAAAATGCTGGGATTACAGACGTGAGCCATGGCGCCCGGCCGTTACTTTAACATGTATATTATTTTCAAATTTATCAAAATAAAATGATGATAATTCTTGATGTTTTAAAATGTGAGCATCATCTATCCTGGGCAGTCAGCAAAGGTGTAAAAGAAATAGAAGACATTATCTAGTCTTGAAAAATATGTGAAACCTGGAAAATACATAAAGTCATGAATTCAACATACATATAAGTAAAGCTAGTCATAGTTCATGTAAGAGAATTTTTACAAAAATTAGACGGTTCAAGGGGTACAAAAATGGCAAGGATTAAAAACTAAGAGAAACTGGAATGTATAGCTCAGTGGACACAGATTTCCAAAAAGAAATAAAGGAGTTATAGCATTGACCAAAAATTGAGAGAGAACTTCTTACAGAAGTCAAGAGATGGATCATTTTAAGATTGAGAGATAATAAAAAATGTGAAATTCTTCCAGGAGGTGAAGTGCTCATTTGATTTGTCAACAAAGATGATATGGTGATCTTGGAGAAGACAGGTTAAGAATACCTCCAGCTGGCCAGGCGCGGTGGATCACGCTTGCAATCCTAGCGCTTTGGGAGGCTGAGACATGTGGATCATTTGAGGTCAGGAGTTGGAGACTAGCTTGGACTACATGGTGAGACCCTGTCTCCAATAAAAATACAAAAATTAGCCAAGCATAGTGGTGCGTGCCTGTAATCCCAGCTACTTGGGAGGCTGAGGTAGGAGAATCATGTGAACCTGGGAGCAGAGTGAGACTCCATCTCAAAAAAAAAAAAAAAATTAAAAAAAAAAAGGAAAGAATACCTCTAGGCTTTTCTTGTAGTAAGTTGCTGCCAATTGCATACAATAGTCCCCTTAGCTGCTAGGCAAAAATAAATTTATCTGAGGTGCAATTAGGTTTAGTATAGGTCAACACAAACATCAAATGGGGACTGTCATAACCTTTTCCTATTCGTATTTTTTTGTTCCTATTTGACATTCGTTCTTTGTGTACCCACCATTTACCAATGTGGCTTTCACTGGTAAGTTCAATGAAAGTTGAATGAGTTGTATCTTTAAAGGGACTATCCATTCTGAACTTTTAGTGTCTTCTGTTTTGTGAACTCATGAAGTTTGATTTAATTTCTTGAGAAATTTAAGGTATCATATGATGTGAATGAAATGATCCAGGAAAAAAAGCAATTAGAGGCTACATATCCTACTTTTAAAGTTTATTTTTTTTTTACAGGTGGTATATTTATGAACAAATTAACACCTGCTAAAGTGATGTAATCCTCACCCACACTGCATCTGCTTATTCACAAAATCAAAATGAATATTTTCTCAGCCTTTTCTAAATTTGCTTTGTGCTCGGAGTTCATTTGCTCTACATTTTCATTTCAGTATAGAATTGTTGAGTTGGGACTTGGACCCCCTTGGTGTACTTAGTTGTATATGAAGCTGTGAACTGTACAGTCATTTCCAGCAGGTTCTCTCTAATGTAAGCCTCTGAATGAGACAAAAAAAGTTTAAATATTCTTCATCAATAGAGCCAAAAAGGAGCGCTCCTGGGATTCAGTCCCAACATTATATAGATTTTCTACTTTTCTTTAGTCACATCTATGAGAAAGCTTTTGGGAAAGTGTTGCCTCCACTGGTTCAATTAGTATGATCAGTCTATGAACTTGCTAAACAATATCTTAGAGAAGTCCATCAATGTTAGCTCTATTGTTAAATAAACCAAGTCAGGGCAGCCTCTATTCAAATCCTTCTCTTTTATGTTTGCACACTTTTTCTGGGTACTCAGACTTTTTTGTAACCATTGTGGCATTCTACTCCTCACCACTTCATATTTTACAGAGTTCAGTTCCTCAGTTATTTGCTAGTTAATTGATAAACTGATGTTAATTAAATGTTGGCCATGCCCATTTACTTCAATTGGGTCTTAAATAATGAAACTATGATTTCACTAAGAACTAAGGGCTCTACAATAGAGGGTGGGTGCATTTAAGGGAAAAGAAAGATTGTGAACCACACAAATGACTCTCTTCCACTCTACCCTCCTTTGTGGCAGGAAGTTGTTCATCCAACCAAAAATTCTGGACATGTGAATTCCCTTTTTAAATATGTTTCTATTGATCTGTATGACTATGAGATAACATCAAAGCAATTAAACGTATTACGCATGACTTTCCAAAATTTGATCACTCTGTAACTGATTCCACTTAATATAGTGCAATACTATGAAAAGTTGAGAGAACATCTATGTAGGATATTTTAATAACAATAAAAAAGTAAATTTGTCATAGTGATATTTGATATGCTTATTCTTACAGAAAAATAATAAGTTTATAGTTTATTTGATAGCTTTTATATGTTACCTAAATAGGAGGAAGTCTGGAATTCCCAACATAAAGAGAGTTTTAGTATGTTCTGCCTGTATTTATATGGTGGCATTGTAGTTTATATGTACTGGTCATATGAATTTTTTTTAAAAAATCAAATTTTAACCCTTGTGGAGATAAAAGAACCACAAGAAGAATACAATGTAAACAAGAACAATAAGCAAAAAGAAAACCTAAGGACGAGATTAACTATTTTAGAAGTTTGAGTCAATAATATTGACTGAAAATTACCAAAACATTGGAATCATCAAGAGACAAAATTAAATAGAGATTTTTATCTATTATTGTTAAAAATATGTTCTTAAGAATACAAAGTACTGACGTTATGATTAAAGCGTAATTGCAAAGATATTTACAAACAAATTATAGAACACAGACAAAAACTTTTCTCTTAGGGACAAATTTGCAGTATTTTATTTATTTTACTTTTACTTATGCTTTAATAATTTTTCAGTGTATCACTAGAAACATAATAGATGTATATTATTTGTGTGTGTATATATGTGTATGTGTGTGTATATATATATATATATATATATATATATATATATATATATATATATGTATATATAACTGCTAGTATTAATGCATTCAGGGATTCAGCCTTAAGTAAAATGTGAATGTACTCCTTGAAATTGTGCAATGGAAAGACCCTGGATACATGATCCAAAGAATTGAGAGACCAGTCAGGCAATGGACTTGGTACATTTACCCCTACACTTTCATTAAGAGAATTCTGAAATTTTTATGCCTTATGCTGATTGGTATCTTTTTTATAGACCAATATTTCTTTGAAGTTTCAATACAAAGTCAATTTCTCAGAAAAAAAAAAATACAGGTTCCCCAAAAGAGAGGTAGTCATTCTCTCCTACCTGCTCTAATAGACTATGTAGAACATACTGTTGTCCTAGAAATTTATAAAATTACAACTGTTACATTTTCCATGTTGCTCTCCCTTTGCAAACTCATTATTTTTAGAGAACATGAATCACATGCTATCTATAACATAAACCTCAAAGCCTAACAGTATTTTAAATCTTCTAAGATATTAAAAATGATTTCAATTTGTTTAATTTAGATATGACTATTTAAGTGCTGCTATTGTAACTTTTCATATGCTGAACTTTTTTTTTTCATTTTCAACTTATTTTAAGTTCAGGGGTACATGTGTGAGATGTGCAGGTTGTTACATAGGTAAACGGGTGCCATGATGGCTCGCTGCACAGATCATCCCATCACCTAGATATTAAGCCTGGCATTCATTAGCTATTCTTCCTGATGCCCTCCCTCCTCCCAACCCCTACCCACCAACAGTTCCCAGTGTGTGTTGTCCCCACCATGTGTCCATGTGTTCTCATCATTCAGCTCCACTTATAAGTAAAAACATGCAGCATTTGGTTTTCTGTTCCTGGGTTAGGTTGCTGAGGATAATGGCTTCCAACTCCACCCACGTCCCTGCAAAGGATATGATCTCATTCCTTTTTATGGCTGCATAGTATTGCATGGTGTATATGTACCACACTTCTTTTTTATCCAATCTATCATTGATGGCCATTTAGGTTGATTTCATGTCTTTGCTATTGTGAATAGTGCTGCAAGGAACATATGCATGCATGTATCTTTATAATAGAATGATTTATATTTTTTTTGGTTATATACTCAGTAATGGGATTGCTGGGTCAAATGTTATTTCCGCTTCTAAGTCTTTGAGGAATCACCACACTGTTTTCCACAATAGTCCAGCTAATTTACACTCTCACCAACAATGTAAAAGCATTCCTTTTTCTCCACAACCTCTCAAGCATCTGTTGTTTTTTGACTCTTTAGTAATAGCCATTCTGACTGGTGTGAGATAGTATCTCATTGTGGTTTTGATTTGCAATTCTCCAGTGATCAGTGATGTTAAACTTTTGTTCATATGTTTACTGGCTGCATGGATATCTTCTTTTGAGAAGTCTCTGCTTATGTCCTTTGCTCACTTTTTGACAGGGTTGTTTGCTTTTATCTTGGAAATTTGTTTAAGTCCCTTGTAGATGCTGGATATTAGACCTTCGCCAGATGGACAGAATGCAAAAATTTTCTCCCATTCTGTAGGTTTTCTGTTCACTCTGATGATAGTTTATTTTGCTGTGCAGAAGCTCTTTCATTTAATTAGCTTTCATTTGTAAATTTTTGTTTTAGTTGCAACTGCTTTCGGCATCTTTGTCATGAAATCTTTGCCCATGCCTATGTCATAAATGGTATTGCCTAGGTTTTCTTCTAGGGTTTTTATAGTTTGGAGTATTAAATTTAAGTCTTCAATTTACCTTGAGTTGATTTTTGTATATAGTGTAAGGAAGGGGTCTAGTTTCAAGGTTCTGTATATGACTAGCCAGTTATTGGTCTATGTGTCTGTTCTTATATGAGTACCATGCTGTTTTGGTTACTGGAGCCTTGTAATATAATTTGAAGTTGGGTAGTGTGATGCTTCTAGCTTTGTTCTTTTGGCTTAAGATTGTCTTGGTTATTTGGGGTTTTTTTTGTTCCATATGAATTTTAAAATAGTTTTTTTCTAATTATTTGAATGATGTCAATGGTACTTTAATGGAAATAACAGTGAATCTATAAATTGCTTTTGAGAGTATGACCATTTTCACAATGCTGACTCTTCTTATCCATGAGCATGGAATGTTTTTTCATTTGTTTGTGTCCTCTCTGATTTCTTTGAGCAGTGATTGCAGTTCTCCTTGAAGAGGTCCTTCACTTCCCCTATTAGCTATACTCCTAGGTATTTGTGTGTATGTGGGCGGGGGGGGCAATTGTGAATGAGAGTTTATTCATGATTTGGCTCTCTGCTTGCCACTTGTTGTTGTATAGAAATGCAAGTGACTTTTTAAAATAATTTTGCACATTGTTTTTTATCCTGAGACTTTTCTAACGTTGCTTATCAGCTTCAGAAGTTTTTGGCTGAGGCAATGGGGTTTTCTAAACATAGGATCATGTAATCTGCAAAGATATTTTCACTTCCTCTCTTATTATTTTAATAACTTTTATTTCTTTCTCTTGCCTGATTTCCCTGGCCAGAACTTCCAATATTATGTCAAACAGGAGTGGTGAGATAGGGCATACTTGTCCTGTGCCAGTTTTCAAGGAGAATGCTTCTAGCTTTTGCCAATTTTGTATGATATTTGCTGTGGGTTTGCCATAAATGGCTCTTACTATGTTAAGGTGTGTTCCTTCAATATCTAGATTTTTGAGATTTTTTAACATAAAATGATGTTGAGTTTCATCTGGATCCAATGGACCTGATACCTACTGGACTCTCCACCCAAAAACAACAGAATATACATTCTTCTCATTGCCACAAGGCACTTACTCTAAAATTGATCACATAATTGGAAGTGGAACACTCCTTAGCAGATGCAAAAGAACTAAAATCATAACAAAGTGTCTTTCAGATCGTGGCACAATGAAATTAGAAATCAAGATTAAGAAATTAACTCAAAACCACACAACTATTATATATAGTAATTCAACAACCTTCTCCTGAATGGCTCTTGAGTAAAAAATGAAATTAAGGCACAAATCAAGAAGTTCTTTGAAGCTAATGAGATCAAAGAGACACCATACCAGAATCTCTGGGATGCACTTAAGGCAGTGTTAAGAGGAAATTTTATAACATTAAATGCCCACATCAAAAATCTAGAAAGACCTCAAGTTAGCAACCTAATATCACAAAAAAAGAACTAGAGAACCTACAGCAAACGAACCCCAAAGCTAGCAGAATACAAGAAATAGCCAAGATCAGAGGTGAACTGAAGGAAAAAGAGACAAAACTATATTCAAAAGATCAATGAATCCAGGAGTTGTTTTTTTTTTAAATTACTAAAATAGACCAGTAACTAGCTAACAAAATAGAAAAGAAAAAAGATCCAAATAAACAGTCAGAAATGATAAGGGTCATATCACCACCGACCCCACAGAAATATAAACAACCATCAGACACTACAATAAACATCTTTATGGATGTAAACTAGAAAATCTAGAAGAAATGGATAAATTCCTGGACACATACATCCTCCCAAGACTGAACCAGTAAGGAATTGAATCCCTGAATAGACCAATAATGAGTTCTGATATTGAGGCAGTAATAAATAGCCTACCAACCAATACAAGCCCAGAAACAGAAGGATTCACAGCTGAATTCTACCAGAGGTACAAAGAAGAGCTGGTACCATTCCTACCGAGAATATCTAAAAAAAAAATTGAGAAGAAGGGATTCCTCCCTAACTCATTCTAAGAGGCCAGCATCATTCTGATACCAAAGCCTGGTGGGGATACAAGAAAAAAAAGAAAACCTCAGGTAAATATCCTTGATAACATCGATGCAAAAATACTCCACAAAATACTGGCAAACCAAATCCAGTAGATTAAATTGTGGGTAAAAACTTATCCACAATGATGAAGTAGGCTTTATGAGATGGAAGGTTGGTTCAACATATGCAAAACAATAAATGTGATTTATCACATCAACAGAACGAAAGACAAACACCACATGGTTATCTCAGTAGATGCAGAAAAGGCCTTCCATATGTTGAACTTTCCTACAGGCATGCCATGTCTTTTTGACCCAATCTGAAAAACATTTTATTATTTTCTTTGAAAACCCAAATGTATTGTCTGTGCTTCTGTGAAGGCTGCTTTCCCACATTAGCTTCACCAAAATTTCATTCAGCTTTGTAGATATCTCTGTTATAGACCATAGTGCACTACATCTGTCCACATGTCTTATTTCCCTAGGTAATGAATTCTTCAAAGGCAAAATGATGTATATTTTTGTTACATGCATTTGTCCACTCAGTGCTTTAGGAAATATTTGTATATTTTCTTAAAATATATGTATATATTTCCTTAAGAAATATGTGTATAAACACACACACGCTATATCCACACAGATGCATACATATAAAGAACCAAGTGCCCCTGCTGATCACCATAGAATTATACAAGTCAGATTTTCTGCTAGTTCATAGTGACTATAACATAGCATACCCTCATAAACCTTATTTAATATTTGAAGATCAGGGTTCTGGTAAATTAGAGGCAAAAATAGTTTTATTATTCTGTTTTCTTTCTTTCTTTGTTTTGGTTTTCAATTTTGTGTTTTTAAATGACAGCTTGAGTGACTCCTCACAGGAATAAAAGTTCTTAGAGTGACCTTTGCGTGTGATCAGTGGGAGAGGTATCTGAACACATTATTAAACACTGATTTTACTGTAACTAAAAGTTGTGGTAAAGGCAATTAATTTTTCTTCTTTAGTCTCTATTGTGCAATATCAAAAAGAATAGGAGTGAATTGCAGATAAAATGTTTCAATAGCCTTCTTCAAACCTGTCTAGAAAAATATCTGTATTTTATATTTTTAAAGTTTTTTAATGCAAAATATATTTCACTGAATAATTTAAATTGGTTGAAATGTCATGCATGCTTATTAGAGAAAGATTAAAAATTATAGAAAAGGAAATGATTAAAAACTTGAAATCTAGGCCCACCATTTATAGAAAATTACTAACATTTTGACATACTTATTTTGTATTTCTATTTTGTGTATACATCGTGGAGTTTAATAGGAAGTCTTTAATGTTAAAATTTGAGGCCGGGCATGGCGGCTCACGCCTGTAAATCCCAGCACTTTGGGAGGCTGAGGCGGGTGGATCACGAGGTCAGGAGTTCAAGATCAGCCTGGCCAAGATGGTGAAACCTTGCCTCTACTAAAAATATGAAAATTAGCTGGGCGTGGTGAAGGACACCTGTAATCCCAGCTACTTGGGAGGCTGAAGCAAAGAATTGCTTGAACCGGGGAGGTGGAGGTTGCAGTGAGCCGAGATTGCACCACTGCACTCCAGCCTGGGCAACAGAGGGAGACTCCTTCTCAAAAAACAAACAAAGAAACAACAACAAAAAAATTGAAACAATTTTTTATAATTATTGAACATTTTATTTTGAAATAATTACCAATATATAGAAAGTTGCAAAGGTAGTGCAGAGAGGTCCTGTGTACTCTTCACCCATTTTTTCCCAAAGATTATGAGTTAGATATATATGGTACTATCTATCTATCTATCTATCTATCTGTCTGTCTGTCTGCTTGTCTGTCTGTCTATCTATCTATCTATCTATCTATAAACTTGACATGGATACTTCTTGTGTATATACTTCTATGTCATTTTATCTCATGTCATTTTATGTATGTCATTTTATCCCACTGTACACAAAGAACACAACTATTTCATACTAAGAGGCTCCCTCTTTCTACTCCTTTGTAGTCACACCCGTACTCTCTACCTCACACACACTCTTGCTATTCCAAAGCCCCGACAACCATTAATCTGTTTTCCATCCGTATAATCTTGTCATTTTAATAATGTGGTATAAATGGAATTATACAATGGGATGTCACATAAATGGAATTACATAACCTTTTGAGATTAGCTTTTTAACAATAATTATTTTATTTTTTAAGTTTTGGTGTACCTGTGCAGGATGTACAGGTTTATTACATAGGTAAACATGTACTAGGATGGTTTGCTGCACCTATCAACCCATCACCTAGGTGTTAAGCCCAGTATGCATTAGCTGTTTCCCTAATGCTCTTCCCACTCTGCCCTCCCCCAACAAGCCTCCATAAGGGTTGTTCCCCTCCCTGTGTCTGTGTCCATGTGTTCTCATTGTAAAACTGAAACAATTTAATAATATTTTAGGATATTGGTTTTATTAACGATATCTTTTCAATTTTGCTTTATGTCCCTTAGGTCCATGGAAATGGAGTAATAAAAATTATTGATTAATGGGTGGCTCCTTTTTCTTTATTTATAATCTACTTTAATAATTCAATAAGTAAGTTTGAATTTAATATTCAATTTAAATTAAGACCTTTACAATAAATTTTAACTATATCTGTAAATTTCCCATATTCCACCTCTGCTTATAATATAAAAATCTTCCTGAATCTTACTGCTACCTATTTGTTGTTTATCTTTTTACATACTTTTAATTCATTAATATGTATTCCTGAAAGTATAATTGTTTTATATGGTTATTATTAACATCAGAGAATATTATTTAACTTTTATCATATAAGTTAAATTCATAAAATGCCTTAATCTATTAATTTTAACCTCATATGACCAAATATGTTCTTTAAGATTAATTTAAATTGTTCTATTAATTAGGTTTATCATACAAAATTAAAATAATTTTCTTATCTCCAAATAATAGATACTAGTAGTAAGCCTATCAAAGAATAAAGAAATTCATGAAGTAGAAAGTAAAAATCGATTCAGTTTCACAATCAAACAGATAGCCTTAGTTAGAAGTTTAATATAAATCTACCCAGACATAAATATCATGCCCAATTTTGAAGGCTTTACTTCAAGTTGGTATATGAAGAGCATCTTTCATGTTTATAGCTGTAGTATAATATGTAAAACAATGTCTTATTAAGGCTCATGTAGAGAAAAACTGATTTATATACTTTTAACAAATGTCTTTGTATTATTATTGCATGCCTCTGTACATGCTTCTAAAAGAGACATAGAGTATTTAGAAGTGAATGAAAGAATATTGAAATTTTTGAGTTATAAAGATAATGCCCCCCATCAAGGGGTTTTCTTAACAGTCACACAGTGTTTGAGAGTACCTATTTAACCCCACTTGATAATATTGGCTTTTATTAATATTCTTGACACTGTGTTGTAGCATATTATAAGGTAAAATCAATAACCAAAGTACCATATATAGAAGACAATTCAGAACCATCTATATCTGCTTAACTTTAAATATAATGGCTTGTGATTACATGTTCAAAGATGCATGGAAAAAAAACTGAATCGATTTTGCTCTTCAGGAAAGAGCTTGATTTTAGCATGGGAATGTATCTGGAAAAGAGGGGTTAATGGTTGTTGGCTCAATTCCTGCAACTTGAATGAACAACTTTTTTTTTTTTTTTGAGAGCTTGAGGGTAAATTAAGACAACATTTAGCTCTGCTTCTTATTAGCTGTGCATAAATTCTCCCAAGAGCCTAATTAGCTCTGTCACAGTAAGTGTCTCATCTGTTTACACAAGAGAACATTTTCTTTCCCCTTACATTTTGTCATGTAATAAACGACCTCAATACTGAATTTAGACTTGTTTTTAAAGTAGTGATATGAAGTATGCTGAAGGTCACAACATTTCCTGAAATTAAATGGACATTTTGGGATTTTTTTGGTAACACCTGGGATATTGACCTAATATTAAATAACAGAACACTTGTGAAGCAAAGTATCCTCTTCTTGTTCATTTATTTTCAGTGTCTGTGGCCACTATACTCTGCGTTAGATGTAGATTTATTTTGACGATTGAAATTTATCTGTGAACCTTTAAATAGTTAATTGGGAAGGTGGAATAAAAATGAGTGAGGGAGTAAATAAAGCATTAAGAATGTGAGAGAGAAGAGAAGGAAAATAAAAAGAAAGTCATTTAATATTTAAAATCAAATCATGTATTAATTTTTTTTTTTTTTTTTTTTTTTTTTTTTTTTTTTTTTTTGAGACGGAGTCTCACACTGGAGTGCATGGCGCTATCTCGGCTCACTGCAACCTCCGCCTCCCAGGTACGCGCCATTCTCCTGCCCCAGCCTCCTGGGTAGCTGGGACTAAAGGTGCCCGCCACCACGCTCGGCTAATTTTGTTTTTGTATTTTTAGTAGAGGCAGGGTTTCACCATGTTAGCCAGAATCTTCTGGATCTCCTGACCTCGTGATCCGCCTGCCTCAGCCTCCCAAAGTGCTGGGATTACAGGCGTGAGGCACCGCGCCCGACCCCAAATCATGTATTCTTGTGAAAATACAGTCAGGATTTGTATCAAATACTTACAATTCACTGTCAAGCTCTGAGTCATTTATATTTTGGGCATCTTTAGGCCTAACGAGTGGCCAAGGGTCAGCAGTTGTATACAGTCGAGTGCTTGAACTTGAGGCTGGAGTGTTGCACACACAAGCCTTTACCCAAGAAAGCTTGTGTACACACAAGCAAGACCCTTCATATGGCAGAAAAGGCAGAGGTAGAGGGGAAAAAGAGTCTAGACTGGATCGTGCAGCCTCATTCATGTTCAGGCTTTGATTTGCTAGGAGACAGAAGTCTACTTTGAATCTGGCTTTTTGGGACAATGTGAATAAATTATTTTGTTAGTTGTGTTTTTAACTTGTAAACATTTACGTATGTAGTATGTATACTTCCAACTGTACCCTTGGCCTCAAGCCCTACAAATGTTAGGGGAGATTGTTTCGTTTTCTCAAAATAATTCTGAAACTTCAGCCGGAAAGAAATTAAATACAAAGAAAAACAGCACTAGATTTTAGGTATAAATTTCATTAATAGATTAGGCTGTATATTACAGTGAGACTCACAAAAAATTCTCATCACATTTCCTTTCAGTAATCAAAGTATGAAGGACTTTTACACTTTTTGCATCCGTATTTTTTTCTCATCCTTGCTACAGGAGAGTCCTGATCTCCAGCTTTCTTGATCTATTCTTAACGCTGCAACAAAATGGGTTTTTGGAGATTCTACATTCTAACGTGCTAACTGCTACTTAACTCTTTTTTCTGTCTGTACTTTAATTTTTGCCTCTATAGTTTCTGTCTACATATAATTTTCCTTTTAAAAGCAAACAGCAAAATATAGGGAAATATTTTTTATCTTCCTTTTTTATGTCATTCATTTTATTTCCATTTAAAACCAAATTTTTATACATTTATTTCTTAGTATACCTTTTGCTAAATGATTCTCTAATATTATGTTTCTTGCCCACCTAAGGGACATGTTATTTCCCTATGGTTATAATTGCTTAGTCATCTGTTTTCTCTGCATTGTAAGCTCTGAAAGGGGACATGTCCTGTCTTTTCATTGCAATAGGTGAATTTCAATTTGGCACATAGCAGGTTTCAATATAATCTGATGAATAAAGAAAAAATATGAACGCTTTTATTGTTTTACTTTGTTTTAAACAGACTGATAGATATAAAGACAGATAGAAGTAGATACTTTTTATTAAAGTAAACAATATTAAGGAAGTGTTTACGTTTAAGAACCATTAGCAGCCTCCAATTCCACTCCATCTTCACCCATAATACTACTTTTTGGGGGACATCAACTGTAACCATTTTTCCTTATTTCTCACATTGTAGCTAATGACACATCTCTAAAGATTATGCATACTTCATTTTCTTAAATTACCATTGTCAGCACTGTCTACTGACTCCTGATTTGAAACAAAGCAGACAGCTCTCTTTTCCAATTCTCTATCTTCTCCCTTTTTCAATCTTTCATTTTTAAATCACTAATTTGTACTTATTTTCTTATATTGGTGACTTTATAATAAACCCTTATCTTTGTATTTTGTTATACTAGCATTTATAGGATTTCCTGTCTCTCATGTTGTAAGTGAAGTGACTGTCACTAGTCCCTTTCATCCAGTTTTCCTCCCGTTTCTACTTGTATTTATTTATAAAATGTCATGTTTGTTAGCATATGCATTCTGTTTTATTACATAAATAAATCTTTGGCATGTTGTGTATAGATTGCTGGTTCTACAAATTAAAAAAGCAATCTTTTTGATTTTTAAGTCCTTGCAAATATTTCTTATTCACATCCATTATAAATTTTATGATATATATTTTTGGCTCCTTGATTTGTCTAATGATTTTCTTTTGCTTGGCCACAGTATAGGTTTAGCAGTGGCTCCTAGAGACAGATTTGTGAGCATCTAATACTATCATTGAAGTGTAATGTGTGACTTCCAATGGATTATTTAATCTCCCTGTTTCTACATTTCCTCACACATAAATGGATACATAGACTATCTGTTGGATATAGATGTTCAGAAGATTCAATGAGTCTGCATTCATGCATATGAATGTATGGCAGGACAAAAAATACCCCTGAGTATATATAGATTCTAATCCTTGAAACTTGTGAATGTCACCTGTGTCAAAAAGAACTTCTCAGATGTGACTAAATTAAAGATCTCAAGATAAAGAGATGACCTTGGATTATTCAGGTGAGCCTTTAAATGTAATAGCTACTATTCTTATTAGAGGGAGACAGAGAGTTGTTGAATACAGAAGAAAAGTGAGTATTACCAGCGAGGTAGAAATTGGAGTGATGCAGCCAAAAGCCAAGGAAGGCTGGCGGCCACCAGAAGCTAGAATAGGTTAGGAACAAAGTCTCTCCTGAAGTCCCTGGAAGGAACCAGGCCTTCAGATACCAATAAAACCATTCTTTTAAAAATGTATTGCTCAAAACGACATATAAAGTAAAAATGGCCTTTATAAACATTTTACATGTGAAAAAACTAAGTCCCAGTAAGGTTAAGTAACTTGACCAAAGTCACCAAGCTAGTTGTTTGGGGCTTTGGGTTTCTAATAAAGTTTTAAGTTTACTAATTTTGTTTTCAACTTACATGATTAAAATATGCTTATATATCTATCAATATTCTTCACCACATTCTAAATCCCCTAAAACTGAATCACATTTCTACCTCAGCCCTTTATACAGTATATAGCTTAGTTCATGACAGATATATTATAGCCATGCCTTCCCAAATAAGACAAGCTTCTCATTATCATGTATACAGCCATGCAGATCCTTTAAATGATGCCTTATTTTATCTGTGGTCCCAGAAATTGAAAATGTTATATTGATAATGGCATATTTTGGAGCAAAATTCTGCTTTCAATCATGTTTAGACTTTTTGTCAGTAACAAGCAGAACAAATTATTTTAAGTAAAAGAGCACTGTACTTCATGAAGCCAAGCAACCTGAATTTAAAATCTCTTTTTACCAGCATGTAATTGGTACACCGAGAACATCACCTGACTTCCCTAAACTTCAGTTTCCTTGTCCTTAAGAGAAAATAAAAATATCTTCCTCAATGATTAATTTCTTAAAAATCAATAAAATGTGAAATAATATCTGGGATGGATTGTGACAAATATTATGAATGAAATTAATGCAGTTTCCTTTAATTATTTATCAGAGTTCAGAGAAACACAAATGAAATCATGAATACTAATTAACTGTGTGCTTTGTTTAGAAAATGCATTACATCTCTTCTCAGTATTCAAGCATGCCTTCTTTTTTTATTTGAAATTATCAATAGCATTCTAATTCTGTCTTCATACTGGTGCTAGAAATTCATCACAGTTTTAAAATCTACTTATATAAAATGTATTATAATGTTTTTCACATCATTTTACAAAGACATGATTTCATGGTAGAAAACATTGGATGTGGAAGAGGCGCTAAATATCTGTGTCTCAAGATTATTGCCCTCTTAAGAGTTATAAGAATTGGCTGGAAATTGTGCTGATCATAGTCCGTCAGAGATCCGGGCTGATCATGGTTCAATTTTCACCTGTACTTCCAAGACTACTGAATTAGAATGATGAGGATGTAGTGAGTCTAGAAGTTTCAGCTCAAAAGGGATACACATAACTTCTGTCTACATTTTATTGTCCAAACAAACCACATAATCCTATCAAATCCAAGTGGGCAAAGAAGTGCAATTCT
This sequence comes from Homo sapiens, assembly GCF_000001405.40. NCBI lineage: Eukaryota > Metazoa > Chordata > Mammalia > Primates > Hominidae > Homo > Homo sapiens. Next base: position 43,083,299 of record NC_000014.9, on the reverse strand, counting down.
ATCAATTTAATTCTCCAAAAGAGGTGAACTATATATTTGTGAATAGGGCTAGTGAATATACATACTGTGTTTATCTTTCTAAAGAGGTTTTATTATCTCATAATCTCAGCATGCATCCTGTTGTTACATAAGTTATTAATACCAATATTTACTTAAATTCAGTCATTTATCTTTTCACTTTACAAATGGCATTTTCTCCCTATGTGAAAGTATTTTATATTCGCTATGCAATAGTATCTGATTTTTGGCTCATTTATGGAAAAGTCTTTTCTAGTTCAAGGTAAAATTCCAATTATTAATCTGTTTTAGATTCATTTATTACACCAAATTTTTCCATGAATTTTATCTTGGTATATGTTGAAAAGAATAATTTTATTCTTTTGAAAATGTCTGCCATATTGTCCAAATAGTTAAATATATTTTCTAAGTTGAATTAAAATGACTCCTTTACCATATTAAATTGCCACACATACTTAGCTGTATATCTGTACTGTCTTTTAAACCAATTTTGAAAAATGAATTTAACATATTTAGACAATTACAGTTGAATTTAGGAAAACTTAAAAAGGAAAAAAGAATAAATTCATTGACTTATTACAGATATAGGATAAAGCTAAACATATATAAAAATTTTAGTCATAGAATAGAAATTTTAATGCCAGAAAGTAGACATTTTAAAGTTTAGACTAACAACAATTGAGGCTGAGAGACAGAGAAAATATGATAAAGTGTAAGAATACTAATGGCCTTCTCCTAAATAGCTGAGAGTCAATTCTATTTAAATGTAAATCGTACTTCTAGGAAACTAATTTTATCCTCAGTATACATTTATTTGAATTTCATTTTTTCATTTTATTTCTGTTTTTCTTCCTTATTTTTAAATGAAATTAGACATGGTATTATATTTAATTTTGAAAATAGCATTCTGATGGGAAATCTCCTCATAATAAGGTACTATTTTACACATGTATTTATATTAAAAGATATCTTCAGAGGTTTAATTAAATATAACAAAGATTACTATAGAACATTTAAATCACTTTATAATTATCATTTGTGCCCTTTGTACTTTTTTGAATGATTAATAATGATCAAAGATGTTTTAGCCTCATAGTTTTTCTAAAAATTTATATCCATGTTGTAGATTTTTACTAATTCCCTTCTTTTTAATTTTTTTAACTTATACTCTCTATTTTACGTATACTCCTCTTTTTAAAATTTCCAAAAAGTAACCTATATGAAAGTAACCTTAAAAAAATAATTTTCAAAGTGATTGCCAGTTTCTGCCAGGCCATGCTTAGTTATTCCTTTCCAGCACCATTCCTTTATTGCAATGTGTTCGGGATTATCCATTTATGAGCCCTTCCATAATAGCAAATTAGATAAATAAAGTTGTAGCTTTTTAGCATCAGTGAAAGAGTTAGCTACAGTAAATGTTATTTTTACTCCCAAAACTACTTTAAAATATATTGAATTAAGAGAATTATCTAATTAAATGTATTCACGGTAAATCAAGACATGAATGGACACCTTTATCAAATTCTTTTGAAAGTGTACTTTGCATTACTAACTAACCAGCTAAATAACTACCTAGTGAAATAAGTAATCAAGGGATTACACATTCACTCATATTCAACAAGGCACTTCAAGAGTATTCTTTAGAAAATTGGTAAACTATAGTAAAAGGAAGAGACTGAATTTGCTCTTTTTACTTGGCAAAAAAAAAAAAAAAACTTTATAAAAATGATAAATCAGGAGTGTGTCTCTGTATGATCCACCAGCTTCCCTTCCAGGTATATACCCCAAAGCACAGAAAGTAGAAACTTGAACAGGTATTTGTACACCCATGTTCATAGCAGCAACATTTACAATAGCCAGAAAGAAGACACAACCCAAATGTCCATTAACAGATGAATAGATGGACAAAATGTGGTATATACATGCAATGGAATATTATTCAGCCTTCAAAAGGAAGGACATTTTGACATATGCTACAACATGAATGAACCTTAAAGATATTAACCTAAATAAAATATAAGTCAGTAGAAAAAAGACAAGTATTATATGACTCCTTTCACATGAGGTTCTTACAGTAGTCAAATTCATAGAGACAGCAAATTGAACAGTGGCTGCTGGGGCTGGGTGGAATGGTGAATGGATGGGAAGTTTTCATGTAATAGACACAGAAACATATATCCTAATATTTTAATTCAATTTACTTTTTTAAAATCAGTCTCATGTAAATTTGCTTGTTATGAATACTTCACTGAGGTCTTCTAATTTCTAAGTGGACAGATTTTAAATAAGTAATTTTTAACTGCAAGACCCATGACCAAAGCTTCAAGTGACAGTAAGTTAGCCAAATTACTACCTTGCCAAAAAGTAATTCATAAATCTTTTGTCAGGTATTTTCTATAAAATGTCATGATTTCACATTCCTACCCTACACAGACAAAAATATGATGAATTAACCTTTTAAATAAAGCTATCAATACATTTGTGATTTCACATTCCTACCCTACACAGACAAAAATATGATGAATTAACCTTTTAAATAAAGCTATCAATACATTTGTGTGTTCACCCTTCTTATCTACCATATAACCTTTCAGTTTTAAATCAGTAAATCAGAGTTAGTTTTCCTTCTATACCTAGGTGTTAAAACTTCACTTTGAGAGTAAACCAAAGAGCCATCCAAGTTACTCTGTAGGTGTCTCTGTGTGTGCATGCATGTATGTTTTTAGATAGATGATAGATTAGATAGATAGATAGATAGATAGATAGATAGATAGATGATAGATACACAAGTAGGGATATAGAAAGCCTGAGATCCTACAGGTAATCATCTCTCAATTTATTAAAGTATCTAATTACCCTCATAATTTAATTGTACTTTTTTTAGTTTTTTAATAGAGATTGCTTCCTGTGATTAATTGTACTCTTTTATCCTCAAACTAAACCAAATGTTTTCAGTAGAAAAGTCTTTTTAATGAAGGCTGTTATATATAAATATCACATACACATTTGAAAAGATATCTTATAAACTTAATAGATTCAGGGTTTTTTAATTTTGTTGCTTGTGAGCTTTTCAAAATGTGTTAAATGCCTATGCACACACAAGAAAACACAAAACAAGGATCTAATCAAAATATAAGGATTATTTTTAAAATGGAAAACATTATACCATCAATATTTATTTAAATGTGTGTGTTTGTTTTTATGAGCTCTTTTAAGATAGGTATATTTCTGAAGAGGATTTTATCGTTACTGACATAGTAAATATGTTTCTCAGGTGAACACTGAGACTTTGGAAATTATATTGGGAAAAGAGATCACACCACACCCAAAAGGCACAGAATTCTGAAACAAGAAGAACAATAAATTAATTTAATTTTCTTTGCAATATTGTTATATTCAATCTTTAGACATTCCCCAAAACAGTAATTTGGTACTTAAACTACTCACTGGAGAAATTCACTAGGCATTCCCAAAACAGTAATTTGGTACTTAAACTACTCACTGGAGAAATTCAGATTTGGTTTTACTCTAAGAGATAAATGTGTTTCTCTCGTTTTTTCAATAGGATACATATTTTATATTAAATTTTGCAAGCCATCTTCAATTACTTTTACCGTCATTCATGGGAATCTGAAGTTTTTTTCTCTTCATATGTATTTGTTGAAATAGGGATCTATTCAATGAATCTCAATGTATATATCATAGAATTTTTCTTTCTGCTACCTATCCATCTATAGCAGTAGCTCTCACTTAGGTGGGAACAATTTTGTTTCCTGAGACAGTTTTGGTTGTCACAAATGGGAATATTCTACTAGCATCTAGTGGGTAAAGACCAATAAATATCTTACTAATCCTACTGTGCACAAATAGCCACTCCCATCCCCCAACAAAGAATTGTTTATCCCAACATATTAATAGCATCGAAGTCAAGAAAATCTGATTTGTAGTATAGTTATTGAACATTTCTTAACAAAAGCAATCAGAACTGAATCCAGCTAATTAAAAAGCACATAACTTACTGAACGACGTCAAAAAGTTCACAGGATTACCAAGAAAGACAGAGATTTAAGGTTTGTGGATAACACAGTCAGTAAACTCATCTTTGGATTGTGTTGCAGAATCTGGCACATGCAATACTGTCACAGCCACTAGCCCTGGACATTGAGGTTGTACAATAACCCCCCACCCCTACAGAAGTCAAGAGCAGGTGCCTGTACTCTAGATATAAGAGAAAAAGAATGCCTGAAATTTCCAGCTTCTTTTAGAAAGTTGGAATAATTTTCAGCTGCTAACAACAAAAATGCCTGGCAAATATCAAATACTTACTTTCCCCAATAATTCCAACTCAATTTCAAATTAGTTTTTAAACACTAAATTCTGTCAGCTTCCATTTAATTTAGTAAAGCAAGTCAAAACAGTATGCTTATATAGTAATGTTCATTTGTCTGTAGCTAAATAGAAATTTATAAATATCATGTTTTGCTTTTTCGTATTCTATATGAAGATGGTTTTAAAGTGTAATCACTAATAAAACACCAATTCTATGTGTTCTGATTAATATAAATGTTACATATATACATTTTAAAATAAGGACATTATCAAGAATAAACAAGTGTATCCTAAAATGCTTTTTTTCAGGACAGCAAAATTTTGCATACAAAAGCAATTTTTTTTTTTTTTTTTTAGAGACAGAATCTCACTCTGTCACCCAGGCTGGAGTGCATTTGTATGGTCCTGGCTCATTTCCACGTCTGCCTCCTGGGTTCAGGCTATTCTTCTGCCTTAACCTCCAGAGTAGCTGGGATTACAGGCATGCGCCACCACACAGGCTATTTATTTTTATTTATTTATTTATTTATTTATTTTGTATTTTTAGTAGAGACAGCATTTCATCACGTTGGCCAGGCTGGTCTTGAATTCCTGGTCTTTTAGTTTTGAGTATGTTCACATATCTTTTCTTCATATAGTTGAAAATTGCAGTCAAAGAGGTCTGGGAAACTTGTTAGTTCAGCTTTCATGCAACCTCTGGCCCTCTTCTTGTTCTATCCTAGATGTTCCACTTCCAGCATTTGAATGTTGGTTCTTGCGCACAATTGAACTTATTACTGGTTATGTATATGTCTTTTCCTACATACCATAAGAAAGCTTGACATTTATTCTGCTGCTTGAAAATTGTATTCTTTGTAAATCTGAGAAAATCAACTAAAATATATTATTTAAAGGAAACAAAAGTAGATAAATATATTTAAAAATTGCTTTATTATAGTGACAGAAGTCCACTACTTGAAAGACATTGTAGGAAAATGCATATTTATTATTAACAACAAATAGAAACAAATGTAACAGAAATAAGCAAAAATTAGCATATAAAAGTGTTTCAGTACTAATTATCCACCCCCAAATATGGAAAATAATGGAAAAAATTCTGGAGTAGAAAGATGGTCTCATCGATTTATCAATAGTATTGATGGTACATTATAAGTTTAATATACCCCAACTTTTTAAAATTAAACTAATTCTAAAAATCCGGGTGAATAAATAAAAGTACATTAGCCAATATTTTTCTATATTTATTAGCAATAAGGTGCTGCAAGCCTACCTTTTTGAAATATTAAAATATATTTAAAAGCTATGCTGTAGTATGAACACATAAAATAGACTGAAAGATCGAGTTAATATCATAGATCAAGTCTGAAATAGAATAGTTATTTTAAACAAATTAAGTTAGATTCACATCTCCAACCTTACACAAAATGAATTTAATGTGTTTAAGATTTAAGTGGATAAAATGAGACTCCAAATGTGCCAGTATAACACGAGGTATTGTTTATTGCTTTTAAAACATTACAAAATGCAAAAATAATAAAATTAAACATAAATAGCTTTTATCAGCCAAGCATTATAGCAATCTGCCTGGCCAAAAAAAGTGATTTTAATGAATGAAAAAAATGCTCCATCTCGCAGAACGATAAAAGAGTAATTTATTTAATACATAAAAGTTTCTGTAAAGCAGTAATTTAAAAACTCTAAGAATATAACATAAAGTAGGCTGTAAAATGTCTCTCAGAAAGTGGAAATATACTAATTCTCACCTGAATGGAAAATTATAACATATTGAGATACAAATTTTTATCTTTCAAATAGGAATATAATTTCAAATAATTTGTAAATACCTCCATAGGCAAACACTGAGAACATAGGCATTTTCATATATTACTGGTGTAATAGTAAGTGGGTAAAATTCTCAAGGGAGGGAAATTAACAATGTATCTCCACAATTATAAATGTATTCTCATTCATATATTGATCTACCAAATTGATTCCTGAGAATTTTACCAACAGATGTACTTTTATGTGTACAAGCTTGCTTATTTCCAAAGATATTTATTGCAGTACTGCTTTGTAGTAGCAAAACACTGAAACAACCTGAATACAACAATGAAAACTAGATTATTAAGTTACAATTCATTCATCCATTGGAGTAATTTGCAATTGAAAATCACAAGTTCTGTCTGTCTTGACGGGGATGATTTCTAAGAGATGATATAAAGTGTAAACATAAACAATAGCATGCAGAACTTGCTATCTATTTTATAAGAAAATAAAAATGTAATATATGCATACATCTTAGTACAACTATGGGATATTTCTGGAAACTGAAGACCTTCAATAGCCTCTACATAGGGAAACTGAGTAGGTGGTGACTAGGAAGGGAGACTTCCTGCTACACTCATAACTTCTGAATTTTTTAGCAGATGATCATACTTTTCACTCAAAGAAAAAACAAAAGTAAGTACAATAATTTCATTTCTAAAGTCAGACCATAGTCAGTTATTTTCACACTTATCTCATATTAATTAAAAAAAATTATTATAATACGTAAAGTAAAGCTGTGACTCAAATATTCTGAGGAATGTTTTATCATAAAAAAGTTTATGATAAATCTTAATATATAATATTTGTAGACTAAATCCTGAAAAATTTATAATAAAGCCAATTAGTAAACACCATACAATATTTTATAATACTTATATAGCAAATATAATTAATGTGTTCATCAGGTTATTGCTTCTGGGATTATAAATGAAATACCATACAATTTTATAGACCACTTGGCTCAGCAGTAACGGAAGTTAATCTTAATTCTGAAAGAGATGTATTCATGTGCATCCAATAAAATATGACTAAGTGGTCTTGACCTGTATTTCGATGGTTAAGTCCCATTTGATGGTTTTCTAAGAACAGCTTGCCTTAGGTTATAGCAGTTTAATGGAACAGTTAGCCATTTTCACCATCTACTTGAACTTACTAATGAGAAAATTTAGACATCTCACATGGGATTTTGCTCCAGTTTCTCTCAGAATAATTTTTTATAAATAGTCCCTATTACAATTCACTAAAATAAATATAGGCAAATAAACTAAAATAATTTACAGTCTACACTTGTAGGATGAGATGGTAGCTGAGAGAGACTATTCTCAATCTACAAAATGAAAACACTATATAGACAAATTAAAATACATCAATGTTAAAATATTCAATTTCTATACTTCTGTTTTGAAATAATCACAAACTTTATAAGTTGTTAGCCATGTTCTTTATCATTTAAAATTTTCAACAGTATGGAATTCTGTCTAGTACTTAAGATATCTGCCTTGATTAGTCCCTCTTGTGGGTATCTTCCAAATTTCACCCTCTCAGTGAGTCTTTCTATAAATCTTTATTCAATATTACATAACTTCTTTCAAGATTACATTCCCCCTATTCAAGATGACAAACCCTTATTAAAGATTACAAGGGTAAATGTAATCCTTTACCTATTCTTGCTTTACTTCTGTTCCAGCACTTAACGCTATGTGACACATCCTATCCTTTCCCTTTTTAATTTATTTTTTGTTTTTTTTCTTGTCTAACTAAACTGGAAGCTCAGTACAATTGCGGTGATTTATCAGTTTAATTCACTGATGACTTCTTAGTAGTAAAACATTGCATAAAATACAGTGGGTATTTGTTAAATAAATTGTAAATTAATAAATAAGTAACTGGTGATTAAAACATATGACCCTTTCACCTGAAACATTAGTTATCAATATTTCTTGGTAAATTTTCAGTTGTGGCAGTCACTCCTAAATATGAACTATATTACTGGTGCAAATTTTATTTGTAATTTTGAAGGTAGCATCCACAGCTTGCTAACTTGAACATGTATGAATGGCCAATTATGTGTTTTTTTGTTTTTTGTTTTTTTTTTGAGACAGAGTCTTGCTGTGTCACCCAGGCTGGAGTGCAGTGACATGATCTTGGCTATAGTATTGTATTCCTCTGTTTTTACGCTCCTAATAATGACATACCCAAGACTGGGCAATTTACAAAAGAAAGCAGTTTATTGAATTTACAGTTCCACATGGATGGGGAGGCCTCATAATCATGGCAGAAGGCAAGGAGAAGCAAGTCACATCTTACATGGATGGCAGCAGGCAAAAAAAGAGAGATTGTGCAGGGAATTCAAGATGAGATTTGGATGGGGACACAGCCAAACCACATCATGCCACCCCGGCCCCTCCCAAATCTCTTGTCCTCACATTTTAAAACCAATCATGTCTTCCCATTGATTCCCCAAACTCTCACCTCTTTCCAGTATTAACTCAAAAGTCCATAGTCCAATGTCTCATCTGAGACAAGGCAAGTCCCTTTCACCTATAAACCTGTAAATTCAAAAGCAATTTAGTTACTTCCTAGATACAAGGGGGTACAGGCATGGGTAAATACAGGCTTTCCAAATGGGAAAAAATGTCCAAAATAAAAGGGGTACAGGCCCCATGAAAGTCCAAAATCCAGCAGGGCAGTTAAATCTTAAAGTTCCAAAATGATCTCCTTTGGCTCCATATCTCACATCCAGGTCACACTGATGGAGGGGTGGATTTCCATGGTCTTGGGCAGCTCTACCCCCATGGCTTCACAGGGTACAGCCTCCCTCATGGCTATTTTCATGGGCTGGCATTGAGTTTCTCTGGCTTTTCCTGGTGCATTGTGCAAGCTGTCAACAGATCTACCATTTTGGGGTCTAGAGGATAGTGGCCCTCTTCTCACAGCTCTATCAGGTGGTGCCCCAGTAGGGACGCTGTGTGGGGGCTCTGACCCCATATTTCCCTTCCTCAATACCCTAGCAGAGGTTTTCCATGAGGACCCCGCCCCTACAGCAAATTTCCTCCTGGGCATCCAGGCACTTCCATCTGAAATCTATGCAGAGGTTCCCAAACCTCAATTCTTGATTTCTGTGCACTTGCAGATTCAACACCACATGGAAGCTGCCAAGCCTTGAGGCTTGCACCGTCTGAAGCAACAGCCCTAGTTCTATTTAAGCCTTTTCAGCCATGGCTGGAGTGGCTGGGACACAAGGCACCAAGTCCCTAGGCTGCACAAAGCACTGGGACTCTAGGCCCAGCCCATGAAACCAATTCTTCCTCCTAGGCCTCCAGGCCTGTGAAGGAATGAATTGCCATGAAGTCTTCTGACATGCTCTGGAGATATTTTTCCCATCAACTTGGGGATTGACATTCAGCTCCTTATAATTTATGCAAATTTCTGCAGCTGGCCTGCATTTCTCCTCAGAAAATTGAATTTTATTTTCTATCACATTGTCAAGCTGCAAGTTTTTCAAACTTTTATGCTCTGTTTCCCTTTTAAAAAAGAATGTTTTTGACAGCACCCAATTTACCTCTTGAATTCTTTGCGGCTTAGTAACTTCTTCTGCAAAATACCCTAAGTCATCACTCTCAAGTTCAAAGTTCCACAAATCTCTAGGACAGGGGCAAAATGCTGCCCGTCACTTTGCTAAAACATAACAAGAATCACCTTTCCTCCAGTTTCCAAAAAAGTTCCTCATTTCCATCTGAGAACACCTCAGCCTTGACTTTATTGTCTATATTGCTATAAACATTTTGAGTAAAGCCATTCCACAAGTCTTTAGGAAGTTCCAAACTTTCCCACATTTCCCTGTCTTCTTCTGAGCTCTCCAAACTGTTCCAACCTCTGCCTGTTACCCAGTTCCAAAGTCGCTTCCACATTTTTGTGTATCTTTTCAACAGCACCGCACTCTTGGTACCAATTTGCTGTATTAGTCCTTTTCCATGCTACTGATTAAGACTTACCTGAGACTGGGTGATATACAAAAGAAAGAGGTTTATTGGACTTACAGTTCCACGTGGCTAAGGAGGTCTTACAATAATGGCAGAGGCAAGGGGGAGCAAGTCACATCTTACATGGATAGCAGCAGGCAAAAAAAGAGAGCTTGTGCAGGGAAACTCTCCCTTATAATACCATCAGATCTCATGAGACTTATTCAGTATCATGAATACAGCACAGGAAAGACCTGCCCCCATGATTAAATTACCTCCCACTGGGTCCCTCCCACAACATGTGGGAATTGAAGATGAGATTTGGGTGGGTGGGAAAACACCCAATCATACAACGTATGATAAAAATACTGAATAAGTAAAAGATTCTAGTACTCATATTGTCTATCATTTTAACTTTGGCCATTCTAGTAGTTATATAACAGCATTGTATTGTGATGATTATTTGCCCTTCCTTATTTACCATTATTTTTATGTTTTTGTCACATGTATCTTTTTTTAAGTAGAATGCTTGTTCCAACATGTCCTTATTTATCATACTAATCTAATTTTCCATATTATTGTTAATATGTAATAATTTTTCATCTATATACATCTTTTAAAATTTCATGGATATAAATTATATATATGCATGTGTGTATTTCTATATATATATTTTTTGAACCTAGAAATCTTACTCATTCTCAATTAGACTTTGATGTATAAGGTTACATGCTGTAGTATAAGCCTAACAATATATTATAGTAATATTTTATTATACTAATTATATTAATTGTACTATAATACTAATAACATTATGTCTTTAATTCATTACAGTAGTTAGTATACTTTATATTAGTGGCTGGTACTATAGGACATCAAATTTTTAAATAATGAATATATATCCTTATAACCAGCTAAACTCTCTTATTATTTCTAGTAACTTACTTGGAGATTATTTTTATCTCAATGCAAAATACAGTAGAAGGAAAGAAACAAGAAATAAAATGTCAGGACAAATAGAAAACAAATATCAAGATTGTAGATACATGCACAACCATAACAATAGTAATATTAAATGTAAATAGCCTAAACAACTCAATTAAAAGGCAGTTTTTTTCAGATTTGGTAAAAAAGCAACTGGCAACTATATGCTACTTATACAAATTTTAATATAAAGAATAAATTGTTTACAAATAAAAAGTTGGGAGAATATAACTTGTTAACATCACTCAAAGAAAATAAAGTAGCTATGTAAATGTAAGAATAACTAATTTCAAAGTAAAGAATTTCATTAGAAATAGAGTGATTCCCTAATTATAATGTGGTATGCACTGAATAACAGAGAATATCTGTCTATCTAGCTAAATTATCTATCTATTTATCATCTCTTTATTTTCTCTCAATGACATATCTATCCATCTATTTATCCATCCATCCATCTATGAAGCAAAGCTGACAGAACTGCAGAACTGCAAAGAGAAATAGACATACCTACAATTATAATTAAAAAGCACACTTCAGTGCTACCAATTATAACTGGAATAAAGAAACAGAAAATCAGTAAGGACATTGGAGCACTATGTGTTTCATTTTTATATTATTCTTTTTTTCTCCTCATTGTAGTCACATTTTCTTCCAATTCCTTAAACATGTTTAGCCTATTGACAATAATTGCTTAAACTTCGTTTTACAGATTCCATCATCATTTAATTCGTATGTTTTTCTACTGACAGAATTTCTCTAAGATGTAAGCCATATTTCCAAATGTTTTTAATGACTAGTTAAACTCTGCGAATCTTGTATTTTGGTTCTGAGATTTTATTGAAAGTCCTTTAAATAGTGCTGAATTCTGTTTGTGCATTCTGTTGTGTTACTATGAGTCCACAGGATTCTTTCCAGGCTTGCTTATAAACTTTGTTTAGTGTAAATATATACATATATTTGGAAATATATATATATTTGGAAAAATATATATATATATATGGAAAATTTAGCTGTCTTACTAAAAAGATCTCCCCTTAATTGTTTTATCTTATGCCCTGTGCATTACAATATCTTTTCTATGTAGCTTGTAGCAACATAAACTCAGTTTTCAAAGATCTCTGTAGTACAATGTCATAGTAGTTGTTTCCTGTGTCTTAGTACTTTATCCTTATGTCCAGATCATTACAAATTCCTATTTAATTATGCTTTGTCTTTTTGCTTGCCAAAGCCTTTAAAATAAATCTAGTCTTTATTTAAAGGAGATTATGAAGATAAATTTTTCATAAGTTTTGTGTCTAGATAATTCCTGCTGGAAGTATTTTAAAATAATAATATGACAAGTCTATATCCACAAGTTTGATGAACTAGGTAAAATCAAATATCTATTTCTTGAAAGACACAATCTACTAAAACTCACAACTCACACAAGGGGAAATAGTCTGAATAGAACCATTTATATTAAACAAATTAAACCAATCATTTATACCTCTCAAACCAGAAAGAACCAGGCCCAAGTACATTCATTCATGAATTCTGACTAAAATTTAAGGATAAAATCATTCCGTTTTGATAAAATTTCACTCATAAAATAGAAACAGACTCATTCTAGGAGAGTAATATCACTTTCATACTAAAACCAGAAAAGAAATTGCCAGAAAGAAAAATTACAGGTCCATATCTCTCATTAGCATACATGTAAAACTCCACCAAAAATAGAAAATAAAATCCAATAATGTATTAAAAATTATATACCATGACCCAGTTGGATTTACGCCTGGTATACAAGGCTGGTTTATTGTCCATAAATTAATTAAAACAACCATCACATTAACAGACTAAATCTGAAAAATCAGACAATGATATCAATAAATGCAGAAAAATTTTCAACAAATGTCACACACTTTCATAATTTTAAATAGAGAAAATAAAGCTTTTAGCAATTTAAGACTATGTAGGATCATCCACATGTTTATTTTTAAAAATCTACAAAGAGCTGCAGCTGTCACTTTATTTAATGATAGAGAAGTAGAGGTTTGCCTGCTAAGACTAGGAATAAAACAAATATGTCTCTTCTCAATCAATCTTATTCAGTATCACACTAGAAGTCCTAGACAATACAATCTGATAAGAAAATAAAATAAAAGTATATGAATTAGGAAAGAAGATATAAAATTTTCTTTCCTCACAGATGACATTTTTGGCTATGCAGAAGATCTCAAAGACTCATCATCAACAACAAAACATCTGAGAACGAATAAAAGTTACAGCAATGTTAATAATTGGGTTTAATTAAAATTAAAATCTGCTCTGCAAAAGACACTGTTAAGAGGATGAAAACATAATCTACAGAATAGGAGAAAATCGGATGTTCATCTAAAATATATAAAAACAATTAGAACTCAAAAATTAAAATCAAACAGGCCAACTAAAAAAATAAGCAAAAGGTTTAGAGACACCTCACTAAGAATGATATTCAAATTGCATATAAGCATAAGAAAAGATGCTCAACTTATACATCTTTAGAGAATTGTAAGCTAAAATAACGATAGTATACTATTATACACATCTTTGAATGGCTAAGACCACAGCACTGACAGTACTAACTGCCAGTGAAGAGGGAGCAACAGGAATTCTCATTCATTGCTGGTGAGAATGCAAAATAGTACAGCCACTTTAGAAGATAGTATGGTACTTTCTTACAAACTAAACATACTCTTACCATATGATCCAGTAAATAGACTCTGTTATAGCCTATACTACATATATACTTACTATATTTAATACAAACTTAAACATTAAATATAGTACATTAATTCTAAACATTAATATTTTAAAACTTTGTACATAGTCTTGCATAATTGGCTATTCCTTTTAATGAGTTGAATTGTCAATTCCTTGGTCCATTTTGTAATGTGCAATTTATCTTCATCTTATTGCTTGGTTTATACCCTTTATATGCAATATTAAAGAAATCAAAATAGATGTTACTAATATTTTTACTAACTTGGATACTGTTATTTATTGAAATTCAAATGTTAATTACTTATGTAGTCAAATTTTACCTTTATGCCTTCTAAATTTCATTTCTGGCTTAGAAATAATTTTTCACTCAAAACATTTACTCATTCTTCATAAAACTGTATGACTTTTGTTCAAATATGTTACGTGTCTGTAATTTATTTTGGTATAAAAATAAAGTAGAACCCTATCTTTCAAAATCAATAGAAACTATATATTCCTACTGTAAACCATATAAGCGAAATATTTCTACTGTTTATAACCTGCCCAGTTTATGGTAATTTGTTATATTAGCCCAAATGGTCTAAGGTCTAAGGTAGGCTCCTTGGTATTTACCTAAATTTGTTAAAAATTTGTGTCCACACAAAAACTTGCACAGGAACGTTTATAGTAGTTTTATTCATATTTTTCCAAATATATTTTCATTATTTTGTAAGTTTCACAAGCATATTTGTTATCATTTTAGCTGGGGCAACTTATTACATATTATCATGTGTTTGGTGCCTTATTGATTTTTCTTATTGTAATAGTCATATTCCCATTAGTTGCCCAATTTTAGAACTAGAGGACGGAAAATGACAGGCTACAGGCAGGGCCGGATCTGCCTGTCTCAGTGCCTATCTAGTTCAATGAGAAATGCCTGTAGTTTTTATTACAACTCCATATTTTATAATTTTAATAAATATTGGACTATTGTAATTATTGGGAGTGGAAAGTGAAATTCAAAATTGTTACCCCTAGTGCACTTTCAGTAATAGTACTTGGTAATATCTTATTTCAAAAATATTTTCAAACTTTTCTCTTTTTTTTTATTATACTTTAAGTTTTAGGGTACATGTGCACATTGTGCAGGTTACTTACATATGTATACATGTGCCATGCTGGTGCACTGCACCCAGTAAATCGTCATCTAGCATTAGTATATCTCCCAATGCTATCCCTCCCCCCTACCCCCACTCCACCACAGTCCCCAGCGTGTGATATTCCCTTCCTGTGTCCATGTGATCTCATTGTTCAATTCCCACCTATGAGTGAGAATATGCGGTGTTTGGTTTTTTGTTCTTGCGATAGTTTACTGAGAATGATGATTTCCAATTTCATCCATGTACCTACAAAGGACATGAACTCATCATTTTTATGGCTGCATAGTATTCCATGGTGTATATGTGCCACATTTTCTTAATCCAGTCTATCATTGTTGGACATTTGGGTTGGTTCCAAGTCTTTGCTATTGTGAATAATGCCGCAATAAACATACGTGTGCATGTGTCTTTATAGCAGCATGATTTATAGTCCTTTGGGTATATACCCAGTAATGGATGCCTGGGTCAAATGGTATTTCCAGTTCTAGATCCCTGAGGAATCGCCACACTGACTTCCACAATGGTTGAACTAGTTTACAGTCCCACCAACAGTGTAAAAGTGTTCCTATTTCTCCACATCCTCTCCAGCACCTGTTGTTTCCTGACTTTTTAATGATTGCCACTCTAACTGGTGTGTGATGGTATCTCATTGTGGTTTTGATTTGCATTTCTCTGATGGCCAGTGATGATGAGCATTTTTTCATGTGTTTTTTGGCTGCAGAAATGTCTTCTTTTGAGAAGTGTCTGTTCATGTCCTTCGCCCACTTTTTGATGGGGTTGTTTGTTTTTTCTTGTAAATTTGTTTGAGTTCATTGTAGATTCTGGATATTAGCCGTTTGTCAGATGAGTAGGTTGCGAAAATTTTCTCCCATTTTGTAGGTTGCCTGTTCACTCTGATGGTAGTTTCTTTTGCTGTGCAGAAGCTCTTTAGTTTAATTAGATCCCATTTGTCAATTTTGGCTTTTGTTGCCATTGCTTTTGGTGTTTTGGACATGAAGTCCTTTCCCATGCCTATGTCCTGAATGGTAATGCCTAGGTTTTCTTCTAGGGTTTTTATGGTTTTAGGTCTAACGTTTAAGTCTTTAATCCATCTTGAATTGATTTTTGTGTAAGGTGTAAGGAAGGGATCCAGTTTCAGCTTTCTACATATGGCTAGCCAGTTTTCCCAGCACCATTTATTAAATAGGGAATCCTATCCCCATTGCTTGTTTTTCTCAGGTTTGTCAAAGATCAGATAGTTGTAGATATGAGGCATTATTTCTGAGGGCTCTGTTCTGTTCCATTGGACTATATATCTGTTTTGGTACCAGTACCATGCTTTTTTGGTTACTGTAGCCTTGTAGTATACTTTGAAGTCAGGTAGCGTGATGCCTCTAGCTTTGTTCTTTTGGCTTAGGATTGACTTGGCAATGCGGGCTCTCTTTTGGTTCCATATGAACTTTAAAGTAGTTTTTTCCAATTCTGTGAAGAAAGTCATTGGTAGCTTGATGGGGATGGCATTGAATCTGTAAATTACCTTGGGCAGTATGGCCATTTTCACGATATTGATTCTTCCTACCCATGAGCGTGGGATGTTCTTCCTTTTGTTTGTATCCTCTTTTATTTCCTTGAGCAGTGGTTTGTAGTTCTCCTTGAAGAGATCCTTCACATCCCTTGTAAGTTGGATTCCTAGGTATTTTATTCTCTTTGAAGCAATTGTGAATGGGAGTTCACTCATGATTTGGCTCTCTGTTTGTCTGTTGTTGGTGTATAAGAAAGCTTGTGAGTTTTGTACATTGATTTTGCATCCTGAGACTTTGCTGAAGTTGCTTATCAGCTTAAGGAGATTTTGGGCTGAGACAATGGGGTTTTCTAGATATACAATCATGTCATCTGCAAACAGGGACAATTTGACTTCCTCTTTTCCTAATTGAATACCCTATATTTCCTTCTCCTGCCTAATTGCCCTGGCCAGAACTTCCAACACTATGTTGAATAGGAGTGGTGAGAGAGGGCATCCCTGTCTTGTGCCAGTTTTCAAAGGGAATGCTTCCAGTTTTTGCCCATTCAGTATGATATTGGCTGTTGGTTTGTCATAGATAGCTCTTATTATTTTGAAATACGTCCCATCAATACCTAATTTATTGAGAGTTTTTAGCATGAAGGGTTGTTGAATTTTGTCAAAGGCTTTTTCTGCATCTATTGAGATAATCATGTGGTTTTTGTCTTTGGCTCTGTTTATATGCTGGATTACATTGATTGATTTGCATATATTGAACCAGCCTTGCATCCCAGGGATGAAGCCCACTTGATCATGGTGGATAAGCTTTTTGATGTGCTGCTGGATTCGTTTTGCCAGTATTTTATTGAGGATTTTTGCATCAATGTTCATCAAGGATATTGGTCTAAAATTCTCTTTTTTGGTTGTGTCTCTGCCTGGCTTTGGTATCAGAATGATGCTGGCCTCATAAAATGAGTTAGGGAGGATTCCCTCTTTTTCTATTGATTGGAATAGTTTCAGAAGGAATGGTACCAGTTCCTCCTTGTACCTCTGGTAGAATTCGGCTGTGAATCCATCTGGTCCTGGACTCTTTTTGGTTGGTAAACTATTGATTATTGCCACAATTTCAGCTCCTCTTATTGGTCTATTCAGAGATTCAACTTCTTCCTGGTGTAGTCTTGGGAGAGTGTATGTTTCCAGGAATTTATCCATTTCGTTCTAGATTTTCTAGTTTATTTGCGTAGAGGCATTTGTAGTATTCTCTGATGGTAGTTTGTATTTCTGTGGGATCGGTGGTGATATCCCCTTTATCGTTTTTTATTGTGTCTATTTGATTCTTCTCTCTTTTTTTCTTTATTAGTCTTGCTAGCAGTCTATCAATTTTGTTGATCCTTTCAAAAAACCAGCTCGTGGATTCATTAATTTTTTGAAGGGTTTTTTTGTATCTCTATTTCCTTCAGTTCTGTTCTGATTTTAGTTATTTCTTGCCTTCTGCTAGCTTTTGAATGTGTTTGCTCTTGCTTTTCTAGTTCTTTTAATTGTGATGTTAGGGTGTCAATTTTGAATCTTTCCTGCTTTCTCTTGTGGGCATTTAGTGCTATAAATTTCCCTCTGCACACTGCTTTGAATACGTCCCAGAGATTCTGGTATGTTGTGTCTTTGTTCTCGCTGGTTTCAAAGAACATCTTTATTTCTGCCTTCATTTCGTTATGTATCCAGTAGTCATTCAGGAGCAGGTTGTTCAGTTTCCATGTAGTTGAGCGGTTTTGAGTGAGATTCTTAATCCTGAGTTCTAGTTTGATTGCACTGTGGTCTGAGAGATAGTTTGTTATAATATCTGTTCTTTTACATTTGCTGAGGAGAGCTTTACTTCCAAGTATGTGGTCAATTTTGGAATAGGTGTGGTGTGGTGCTGAAAAAAATGTATATTCTGTTGATTTGGGGTGGAGAGTTCTGTAGATGTCTATTAGGTCCGCTTGGTGCAGAGCTGAGTTCAATTCCTGGGTATCCTTTTTGACTTTCTGTCTCATTGATCTGTCTAATGTTGACAGTGGGGTGTTAAAGTCTCCCATTATTAATGTGTGGGAGTCTAAGTCTCTTTGTAGGTCACTCAGGACTTGCTTTATGAATCTGGGTGCTCCTGTATTGGGTGCATATATATTTAGGATAGTTAGCTCTTCTTGTTGAATTGATCCCTTTACCATTATGTAATGGCTTTCTTTGTCTCTTTTGATCTTTGTTGGTTTAATGTCTGTTTTATCAGAAACTAGGATTGCAACCCCTGCCTTTTTTTGTTTTCCATTTGCTTGGTAGATCTTCCTCCATCCTTTTATTTTGAGCCTAAGTGTGTCTCTGCACGTGAGATGGGTTTCCTGAATACAGCACACTGATGGGTCTTGACTCTTTATCCAATTTGCCAGTCTGTGTCTTTTAATTGGAGCATTTAGTCCATTTACATTTAAAGTTAATATTGTTATGTGTGAATTTGATCCTGTCATGATGATGTTAGCTGGTGATTTTGCTCGTTAGTTGATGCATTTTCTTCCTAGTCTCGATGGTCTTTACATTTTGGCATGATTTTGCAGCGGCTGGTACCGGTTGTTCCTTTCCATGTTTAGCGCTTCCTTCAGGAGCTCTTTTAGGGCAGGCCTGGTGGTGACACAATCTCTCAGCATTTGCTTCTCTGTAAAATATTTTATTTCTCCTTCACTTATGAAGCTTAGTTTGGCTGGATATGAAATTCTGGGTTGAAAATTCTTTTCTTTAAGAATGTTGAATATTGGCCCCCACTCTCTTCTGGCTTGTAGGGTTTCTGCCGAGAGATCCGCTGTTAGTCTGATGGGCTTCCCTTTGAGGGTAACCCGACCTTTCTCTCTGGCTGCCCTTAACATTTTTTCCTTCATTTCTACTTTGGTGAATCTGATAATTATGTGTCTTGGAGTTGCTCTTCTCGAGGAGTATCTTTGTGGTGTTCTCTGTATTTCCTGAATCTGAACGTTGGCCTGCCTTGCTAGATTGGGGAAGTTCTCCTGGATAATATCCTGCAGAGTGTTTTCCAACTTGGTTCCATTCTCCCCATCACTTTCAGGTACACCAATCAGACGTAAATTTGGTCTTTTCACATAGTCCCATATTTCTTGGAGGCTTTGCTCATTTCTTTTTATTCTTTTTTCTCTAAACTTCCCTTCTCGCTTCATGTCATTCATTTCATCTTCCATTGCTGATACCCTTTCTTCCAGTTGATTGTATCGGCTCCTGAGGCTTCTGCATTCTTCACGTAGTTCTGGAGCCTTGGTTTTCAGCTCCATCAGCTCCTTTAAGCACTTCTTTGTATTGGTTATTCTAGTTATACATTCTTCTAAATTTTTTTCAAAGTTTTCAACTTCTTTGCCTTTGGTTTGGATGTCCTCCCGTGGCTCAGAGTAATTTGATCGTCTGAAGCCTTCTTCTCTCAGCTCGTCAAAGTTATTCTCCATTCAGCTTTGTTCTGTTGCTGGTGAGGAACTGTGTTCTTTTGGAGGAGGAGAGGCTCTCTGCGTTTTAGAGTTTCCAGTTTTTCTGTTCTGTTTTTTCCCCATCTTTGTGGTTTTATCTACTTTTGGTCTTTGATGATGGTGATGTACAGAAGGGTTTTTGGTGTGGATGTCCTTTCTGTTTGTTAGTTTTCCTTCTAACAGACAGGACCCTCAGCTGCAGGTCTGTTGGAATAGCCTGCCGTGTGAGGTGTCAGTGTGCCCCTGCTGGGGGGTGCCTCCCAGTTAGGCTGCTCAGTGGTCAGGGTTCAGGGACCCACTTGAGGAGGCAGTCTGCCCGTTCTCAGATCTCCAGCTGTGTGCTGGGAGAACCACTGCTCTCTTCAAAGCTGTCAGACAGGAACATTTAAGTCTGCAGAGGTTACTGCTGTCTTTTTGTTTGTCTGTGTCCTGCCCCCAGAGGTGGAGCCTACAGAGGCAGGCAGGCCTCCTTGAGCTGTGGTGGGCTCCACCCAGTTCCAGCTTCCTGGCTGCTTTGTTTACCTAAGCAAGCCTGGGCAATGGCGGGTGCCCCTCCCCCAGCCTCGCTGCCGCCTTGCAGTTTGATCTCAGACTGCTGTGGTAGCAATCAGCGACACTCTGTGGGCGTAGGACCCTCCGAGCCAGGTGCGGGATATAATCTCGTGGTGCAACGTTTTTTAAGCTGGTCAGAAAAGCGCAATATTTGGGTGGGAGTGACCCGATTATCCAGGTGCGTCTGTCACCCCTTTCTTTGACTCAGAAAGGGAACTCCCTGACCCCTTGCGCTTCCCAAGTGTGGCAATGCCTCGCCCTGCTTTGGCTCGTGCATGGTGCACGCACCGACTGACCTGCGCCCAATGTCTGGCACTCCCTAGTGAGATGAACCCGGTACCTCAGTTGGAAATGCAGAAATCACCGGTCTTCTGCGTCGCTCACGCTGGGAGCTGTAGACCGGAGCTGTTCCTATTTGGCCATCTTGGCTCCTCCCTCCAAACTTTTCTTTTGAGAAATCTGAACATGATGCAGGGTAGACTCACCAATATCAATACCTAAAAAATAAGTAGATTAAAATTACTTAGAATGGCTATGTTGTGCTTATCTCAGAGTTGTCTGTAAATTCTTAAAGACATTCTAGTTTACCAATGTTGTCCTAAAACTAATCAAGTAAATATGGACCACTTAATTAGGGTCTCTCTATATTTATATTTAGATGCTAGTTCTGTACAATTCTTCCTTTTGAATTATTATTACTCTTAAAAAAGCTTCCAAAACTCTGACCAAAAATAACACAATTTTAAAGGAAGTAAAAATGAGTAGCTACATTTTCAAGTGTGAATATGTCTACACTGAAGACAAATGTTATGCTTTTCTTAATTATCTTCTGGGATGAATACTTCAAAATCATCCATACTATTTATTTTGTTTGGCAATTTAAGCACTTAGACTTTGGGAATTGGTAAAGTAAAAAGAAAAACAAAAACACAACGCTGAACGTATACCATGAATAAGCTTTAAAATGGCATTGCTGATTCCTAGGCAAAGCTACATTTTACACCCAGGTTAATTAGTTGTCAGAAAAGTGGAAGAGATGATCTGATCATAAGCCAGGAGCAGGTGGTAATGATCTGAGAAATTTACTGGTTCTCTGAAGCAATAGAAAAATTACTTAAACCTGCTAGTATAAAGCTAAAACCTCCTAGATTTCTACTTTGATTTACAGGGACACAAGAGTTATAACATTTTAAATAAAAGAAGGAGGTGAATATGGGTTAGGTAAATTATGTTAGGCATCTTGTGAACAAATAGGGAAAATAAAAGAAGGAGGTGAATTTGGATTAGGTAAATTATGTTAGGCATCTTGTGAACAAATAGGGAAAATAAAAGAAAGGAATAATTGTTGAAATAAATTCCCTGTTACAAATTAATTTTACAGTCTTCTGATTAACGTAGAAAGCGAGCAAAATTGTAATGTGTTTATGTTAATTTGCAACCTGTTCAACAAAAGTCAAATGTCATTGACAGTAAATACCAATTTGTTTATTATGTGACATTTACATTAGAAATAAATAAGAATGCCAAAGAAGTTAAATGAAGAAATATACAGTTTGTGTGCATATGCATGTATTTATGTAAATCAAAACACCATATTTTTTATTACCTATATGCATAAGTTTGAAGTAGAAAAAATAATTCAATGGGGTGGTAAGTTCGGAATATACTAAAGAATGGAAGAAGCACATTAAAAAAATTAAACCAGAGATTATGAGAAGAAAGTATGAAAAACCAGGTGATACTACAATGAGATTATAGTATCCATAGTGAGACATTATTTTTTTCTCTTTTTTGTTCTTGTTCATGTATGTTCACACATACACAAAATGTATTCACATACAGATATTGCCACAGAACATTAACCCTATTTCATACATATTATCATCACTGAACAAACCAGAAGCATAAAGCAATTTTATTTTATTTTATTTTATTTATTTTTATTTATTTATTTATTTGTTGAGACGGAGTCTCTCTCTGTCTGCCCAGACTGGAGTGCAGTGGCTTGATCTCAGCTCACAAGCTCCGCCTCCTAGGTTCACGGCATTCTCCTGCCTCAGCCTCGGGAGTAGCTGGGAATACGGGTGCCCGCCACCAAGCCCGGCTATTTTTTTTTTTTTAAGTAGAGGCAGGGTTTCACCATGTTAGCCAGGATGGTCTCGATCACCTGACCTCGTTATCCCGCCTGGGATAACGCCTGCCTCGGCCTCCGAAAGTACTAGGATTACAGGCGTGAGCCACTGCACCCAGCCAAGCAATTATATTTTAATTGGAGGAGAAATATACTAGATACATTTTGTGTCCTTCCAAAACTTCCCTCTCTCTCCTATTCTCTGCCAGGTTGCCCACCCAGTATGAATCACATCAATTAGTTTGCATGATTTCTAACTTCCTGTTGAGTTCAGCCAATGGGAAATCATGGCAGAGGATCTGAGAAGAGAGTCATCAAGGTCATTCTTCACACCTTGTAAGCCTGCCTTTTGATTGCTCTGTCTCTTCACAGAAGGTCTCTGCTTCTCCCAAAGTAACCTGTTCTACAAAATTTTTCTTCTTTACGTGGTAAATCTAAGCTTCTCCCTTCCCTCAACCTTTTGAAACTAGGTAATGATATTTGTACCAGTGCTTAACATCAAGGACAAGCACTTTTCATTATGATTGTCCTATGTACCAACCAAACTTTTGGATTTTTTTAAAACTTTCTTTGAATTTTTCAAATTTGTGTGTGCCATCTCTTTCCAACTGGACTCTGACTAAATGAGAAAATAAAATTGGCCATTTTTATGCCTTGAACAATATCAACAGTAAAAATGGCAAAACTTTTTATACAGAAAATACATCTGGGTTAAGATGGCCCAATTAGACGCAGCTAGGAAGTACCACTGCCACCAAGAGAAACCAAGGTTTTGAGTAAACCAACCTAATTTGGACAGATCTTCAGAGAGAAAACACATACTGGATAAAGATGTGATACAGATGCTAAGGCCAAGGAGAGAGGAAGCTGGGAATCCTGACAGGTTACCCAAATGCTGGGGCTTGTTTTCAGCCCCAAATGGCACCTGGGAAACAAGTGACAGAAGGGACTGTGAGACTTCCCAACCTTGCTTCAGACTTCTGTGATCCTGGCTGCAGGGAGCCCCATGTCCACCATCAGTGTTTGAGCTGACAGGGGGATTTGCATTGAGAGTAGGCAGACAGCTATTTAGCTGGTATGGAAGTGGGAGGTGTTGTGCACAGGGCAGTTCTGATGGAGCATGGACATAGCACCCATCCTTAAAGCTTCCTGTGTCCCTCTGAGAAGCTCTAGCCCTAGCTGACCACTGAGCCAGGAGAAAGTGGCGTTGACTCCCCTATGGGATTAGGGCATGTCTGGTCTGCAGGCCCTGCTGCCCTCCAACCCCTCTGAGATGTTCACCAATACCCTTGATTAACATAGAAACAAAAATATATTTTATGTGCATAGACACAAAAATTCTCAACAAAATACTAGCAAACCAAATCTGGTGGCATATTAATAAGTTAACACACCATGATTAAGTAGGCTTTATTTCTGGGATGCAAGGCTGATTCAACATATGCAAATCAATACATGCAATTCACCATGTAAGTAGAATTAAAAGCAAAAACCACATGATTATTTCAAGTGACAAAGGAAAAGCTTTTGTTAAAATCCAACATCCCTTCATGATAAAATCCCTCAAGAGATGAGTCATCACAGGAACATACCTAAAAATAATAAGAGCCAACTGTGAGAAACCCACAGCCAATATCGCACTGAACAGGCAAAAGCTGGAGCCATTCCCTTTGAGACCTGAACAGGACAAGGATGCCTACTCTCACCAGCCCTATTCAACATAATACTGGAAGTCCTAGCCAGAGTAATCAGGCAAGGAAAATAAATACAGGCATCTAAACAGGAAAAGAAGAAGTAAAACAATCTTTGTTCGTTGACAATATGATTTTATACCTAGAAAACCATAAACACTCTGACAAAGTTCTCCTAGAACTGATAAATGACATTAATAAAATCTGAGGATACAAAACCAATGTACAAAATTCAATAGCATTTCTATAGATGAATAATATCCAGGCTGATAATAAAATCAAGAACATAATCTCACTTAAAATTGCCACAAAGAAAATGAAATACCTAGCAATGCAGCTAACTAAAGGAGTGAAATATTTCAACAAGGAGAACTACAAAATGATACTGAAAGAGCTCAGTGATGACAAAAATAAATGAAAAAACATTCCATGTTCATGGATTGGAAGAATAAATTTTGCTAAAAATGGCTATATTGTCCAAAGCAATTTATATATTCAATGTTGTTTCTACCCAACTTTCAACAGTATTCATCATTCTTCACAGAATTAGAAAAAACTATTCCAAAATTTATATGGACCAAAAAAGAGCCCAAATAGCCCAAGTAATAATAAGCAAAAAACAAACAAAAAAAAAAAAAGGAAAAAAGAAAAAAAAAACAGGCTGGAGACATCACACTACTTGAAATATTGCTTGAATATTTAACTTCAACTGATATTGCAAGGCTACAACAACCAAAATAGCTTGGTACTGGTACCGAAACCAAAACAAACACATAGACTGATGGAACAGAATAGAAAACTCAGAAATAAAACTGCACACCTACAGCCATTTAATCTTTGACAACACCAACAAGAAACAAGCAAAGGGTAAAATACTTCATTAAAATCATTCTGGTTTTACTGGTTAACCATATGTAGAAGAATGAAATTGGACCCTTAACCTTTTACCATATACAAAAATTTATTCCAGATGGATAAAAGATGTAAGACCTCAAACTAAAAATCCAAGAATAAAACCTAGGAAATAAACCCTTCTCAACATTAGCCTTCTTAAAGAATTATTGGTTAAGTCCCCAAAAGCAATTGCAACAAAAACAAAAAATGAAAAGTGAGACCTAATTAAACTAAAGTGCTTCTTCACAGCAGAAGAAACTATCAACACAGTAAACAGACAACTTCCAGAATGGGAGAAGTCATTCTGAAGCAATAAATCAGGCAAAGGTCTAATATGCAGAATCTACAAGACACTTAAATCAACAAGCAAAAACAAATATTCCCATTAAAAATGGGCAAAGGCATGAACACACTGATATGGTTTGGCTGTGTCCCCACCAAAATCTCATCATGAATTGTAGTCCCTACAATCCTGTGTCATGGGAGAGACCTGGTGGGAAGTAATTGAATCATGGGACCAGTTTCCCATATGCTATTCTCATGATAGTAAGTTATCACGAGATCTAATGGTTTTAGAAGGGGCTACCCCCTCTGAATGGTTTTCATTCTTCTCCTTCCTGCTGTGATGTTAAGAAGGGCATATTTGCTTCCCCTTCTGCCATGATTATAAGTTTACTGAGGCTTCCCCAGCCATGCAGAACTGTGAGGCAATTAAACCTCTTTACTTTATAAATTACCCAGTCTCAGGTATTTCTTTGTTAGCAGCGTGAGGACAGACTAATACACACACACTTTTCAAAAGAAGACCTAAATTGGCCAATATACATAAGAAAAATGCTATTTATTTCTAATCATCAGAGAAACACAAATCAAAATCACAACGAGATACCATCTCACACCATTCAGAAAAGCAGTTATTAAAAAGTAGAAAATCAACAGATGCTGTTGAGGCTGCAGAGCAAAGGGAATGCTTATATAGTGTTGGTGGGAATGTTAATTAGTTCAGCCATTTTGAAAAGCAGCCTGGAGATTTCTCAAAGAACTTAAAAAAGAGCTACCATTTGTTCCAGCAATCCCATTACTGGGTATATACCCCGCAAAAAATAAATCATGCTACCAAAAAGACACGTGCAGTAGTATGTTCATCACTACACTATTCACAGTAGCAAAGATATGAAATCAATCCAGGTGCCCATCAATGGTGGATTGGATAAAGAAAATGTGGTACATACATAGCATGGAATACTGTGCAGCCATAAGAAAATAACTAAATCATGTCCTTTGCAGCAACATGGATACAGCCGGAGGCCATAACACTAAGCAAATTAATGAAGAACAGAAAACCAAAAACTTATGCATGTTCTCACTTATAAGTGGGAGCTAAACATTTAGCCCACGTGGACGTAAACATGGGAGCAACAGACACTCTGGACTATTGACTATTAGGGTAGAGAGGAAGGGATGGGTGTGGGTGGAAAAACTGCCTTTTGGCTCGTGTGTTCATTACCTGAGTAACGACATCCATAGTCCAAACCTCAGCATCATGGAATATATTCTTGGATCAAACCTGCATGTGTACTCCATATATCAAAAATAAAATTTGAAATTTTAAAAATAAAAAGAAAACACATGGAATATGTACATAAGCATATGAAAAATGTGTTTTCTTTAATAAATAGTAACTTTATTAATAGGAAGAATGAGGAGAAGGAGAAGGACAAGGAGAAGAAAGAATGGAAGGAGAAGAAGAGAGGAATGAAAAACATGATGTCATCTATTATTACAATGATCTTATAATTTTAATATCCTCTAGGTATCTCTGATTCTCAAACTTTATTTTTGGTGTCATTCAGAACCCGTTGGGAAATTCTTCAAAGATTTCCAGGCCTTTTCCATAGACATTCTGGTTTAGCAGATGGGGAGTGGTTCATGAAACTGCATCTTAAACATCACCACAGGTGATTTTGCTCCAAGTGTTCTATGAACCAAAATTTGAAACACATGCATGGACATAAATGGACATATGATTTTATATATGTCTGATTTTGTTTGTGTGATTATGTGATGAAAGCACTATTATCGAGACACAATACATTTAAAGATGTGTCCTACATTGTTTTTTCGGTGAGTATCCCAACTAAAGACTTGGGATAAAAAAGAGTAATTTAAAGATTGACCTTCAAATCAATATTTGTTGATAATAATAAGATACATTAAAACATCAACAAAAGTTAATCTCACAAATTGTGAACTTTTGAGTTAGTAACTAGAAATGCACTCAAAACATCATGTTATTGTATTTATAACTGAATGTGGCTTTCTTTTGAGACTCTGAATTAAAACAA
The DNA here is from genome assembly GCF_000001405.40 of Homo sapiens. Lineage (NCBI taxonomy): Eukaryota > Metazoa > Chordata > Mammalia > Primates > Hominidae > Homo > Homo sapiens. The sequence goes on along the minus strand of NC_000014.9, from coordinate 43,055,711 downwards.
GAAATATGAGTTTTGCTATATTATTTCCAAAATATTTAACAAATGGGATATCTGAGCAATATGCCTCAAAACCTAGTCTTCTTCATACATGTTGACAATGTTTGTCTATATTCCACTTGTGCTAATATCTACATGATATTTTTTCTATTAGCAGATTTTAAATCAGTTCAATTCTCTTTCTTTTAGACTTACTCTAAGGAATAATATCTGCCAAGCCATTGATTTGACGTTCTTGACAAATTTGTTCTAATTAGCATTAAATGGAAAATGATTTGTCAAATAAATGATTCATCAATGTGACACAACATAATTTTGTATATTATCATTGTTACTTATATTAGTGTTTGACAAGCATTAAAATTTTTAATATTTTCAGGCCATATTGATATATTTTTTTAAAAACTATTTTTTGCGTAACATTTGTGAGAGATAAATGGCAAAATAAAACTCTTAACTACATGTCATAGAGAAATGCATATTGTAATTCTTCCTTCAAATGGTACTGTATTCAAAATTTAACTATTAAAAAAGGGATGGGGTTTACTTGTTAAAGCTGTGATTAGTGGAAAGAATATCACAGAAAGAAAGATATATCAGTAAAAGCCCAGCCTCATGTTGAGTTGGCCTCATCACATACTTTAAATATCTGGGAAAATATGGACATGTTTCAATATCCTGCCTATTGCCCACTCAAAAGTATCTCAATATACGATTTGATATAATTCTGCTTCATCTCTTTTTATTTTTTGTTCAACTTTTAAACTTAAGGTGACTACTGAAAACATTGTTGAACCCTCATATTAATTCCTGATTAAACACCCATGTGTATTTTTCAAATTAATATTTCACTTGAAGCTGCATGTTCTTATTTATGTAAAATTATAAAATTAAAGAATAAGGTTTTTTTGAGAAAAACAACTATTTTTAGCTACTTTTTATAATATTTATTTGGGGAAAAATTACAAGAAAATATAACTTTATTGGTAAAATATTTCTAGATCTTACATTGAAAATATGCCTACTGTTTTTCACATGAAATTCTCTTTCAAGTTGAAGAATTAAAAGGGGCTTTCCCCCAGCTAGAATTTATTCATTTTTTCTTATATTGTTTAATTTCAACAAGCTTTGATTATTTTATCACTAATAATAGTGAAATTTACTGAATGGTCATTGTATGCTATGCATGCCCTCATATATTGGGATGCTTGAACTTTGTGGCTAACTATGATGCAGATATAATGAACACAAGTTCAAAGACATGATAATTTTAATGTTTAAAAATATTTCAGTGATAAAGCCAGCATTTGAACTCAAATCTAACTATATCTCTATATCTTTTAGTGGAATACAGTTACAAGTATATAAAGTGAATATGTTGCTAGAGTCAAAAAAAATTAAAAAGCATATTATATTAAAACATTCTCTTTTCCTAAAATACAAGGAATTCAAAAACATCCAAATAAGATGTTTAAAAAATCCTGCATATGTAGAACAATAGATTAACTGGAATGTACCCATAACCCACCATAACCATTGACCTAAAAAGCCTTGGATTGTCCACGAGTTTTAAAAGTGAATCCCATTTCGGTTTCTTACCTGCTTACAGCAATCCTCTTTCTCACATAAGTAATTACTACTCTCATCTCCATCAGGAGAGGGATCCCTAGCATACATGTTTTTATAGCTAACAACGGAAGTTCTCCCTTTATCCAAACCGAATCAAATTTTTCTTCCATGAATTTACTTTCTATCAACCAATATGCTTAGAATTTGTACTAATAATTCCACACTGAGAGTGTAATTTTTTATTATAAGCTACAGGAAATTTATCAATGCCTTGAAAAATTATCATTACATATATGTAAGAGGTATTTTAGGTAAATTGCTTAAAGGTAATGTGATGGTCAATGTTGTCACCTTGATTGGATTAAAGAATGCAAATTATTGTTCCTGGTTGTGTCTGTGAGGGTATTACCAAAGGAGATTAACATTTGAGTCAGTGGGCCAGGAGAAGCCGACCTACCCTCAATCTGTGTGGGCACCATCTAACCAGCTGCCAACATGGCTAGAATAAAGCAGGCAGGAGCGATGGAAGAGCAGACTTTCTAAGTCTTCTGGCATTCAATCTTTCTTTCTCTAGTATACTTCCTGCCCTCTAACATCAGACTCCAAGTTCTTCAGCTTTTGGACTCTGAGTTACACCAGTGGTTTGCCAGTGGCTCTTGGACCTTTGGCCACAGACTGAAGGCATCACTGTCGGGTTCACTACTTTTGAGGTTTTGGGACTCGGACTGATCCACCACTGGCTTCCTTGCTCCTCAACCTGCAGATGGCCTATTATGGGACTTTAATTTGAGATCGTGTGAGTCAATTCCCCTTCATAAACTCCCCCTCTATATATACATATCCTATTAGTTCTGTCTTTCTAGACAACCCTGACTAATACAGGTAAACAGAAACATACGGACAAAAGACATCTAATGATTTGGAATATTGCAAATTAATCTGAAAAGAGGAAGAATCAAATCCTAAAAGTATCAGTTGCCAGATATTGAGCATTTCTTGCCAGCACTTGAAAAGTCTAATTTGGTGATATTTACAGGCTGTGCTGTATTTCTTGCCAGCAGGAGGTATTTAGTTAGAATAGGCCATATTGTGAATAGCACATCCTCATTAGGACCAAGGACTAATGGAAATTTCTTTCCTATTTTATACCTAATTACTGAAAATTTTTGGACAAATTTATTTTTGAATATTTGGACAAACACACTAGATCTGGAACCAACATATATTTTTGTGGCCAAAATATAGTTGAAATTCAGTATCAGTTTAATCTCCACTTACATCTTCACAATAAATATCAAATTAAAATGCAATGAATTCTCAAATTAGGATATTCAGAATCATAAAATCATTTTGGAATAGATGCGGTATTATCATTTAAAATAACAATAAGTCAGACATAGTGCTAAGCTTCTTATCTTTATTTCCCATTATATAATGTATGCAATAATCAAAGAAAGTGAGATACTGCTAAGAAGTTCAGAATCAAATATGTGTCTTAATTTCAATAATATATGCTCTTCATGTCTGAAATAACTAGTCTAATCTTGTTTTGTGATATAAATATTCTCATATTTTTAGTTTTTAGTACCCATATTCTTGAATTACACAAATATTGGAAGATCAATATTGTATACATAAGGAAATAGATACTTAAGGCTATTAAGAAGTCACCAAAGGCTACCGAAAAGACAGGATCTTTTACTCCAAATTTGGGTATAGTACTGGTAGCTAAAGAGATATTTTTATTATACTATTGCAATTATTTGGATAACTCTTATCTTAGTTTTAACTATTTTTATGCCCAAACTAACAAAAATGATTTCTCATTTTCAAGAACATTCTAGAAACAAAACATTTTAAATTTATAATTACCATATACAGCATACAGGGTTGATGCCTATTAGTTTTTAAAATAATGAATTCTAAATCTACCTTAGATATCGATTCTCCACAATCTAAAGAGAGAACATCATCCTTAAAAAAAAAACATAATGTGGCTGGACACAGTGGCTCATGCTTGTCATCTCAGCACTTTGGGAGACTAAGTTGGTCAGATCACCTGATGTCAGAAGTTCGAGACCAGCCTGGCCAACATGGTGAAATCCTGTCTCTGCTAAAAATACAAAATTAGCCAGGTGTGGTGGCGCATGCCTGAAATCCCAGCTTCTCTGGAAGCTGAGGCAGGAGAATTGCTTGAACCCAGGAGGCAGAGGTTGCAGTGAGCCGAGATGGTGCCATTGTATTCCATCCTGGGTGACAAGAACAAAACTCTGTCATAAACAAACCAACCAACTATAATGTTATACTGAAGTATTCTAAAAACACAGAAAAACTTTTGTATTCCCTTCTTAGAAGGTGAGGGCAAACTTATTAGGCATGCTGGCTATATGAGTTGGCACCAGAGAAGGCCCATTAAGATGGAGGTAGATTCAATTGACAGTGTGTTAAGTGACAGAAGGAATATTGTCACAGGAGTGAATGTGTACTGGAATTGAAGAGAAATCTTCAAGTCAATATTATTGGTATAGCTTCAGGGATGAGGATCAAAGGTGACAATAAATTTAAATGATAAAACATTTCAGGGAACAAAACTTACTGGAATGAAATGAATGATATCAGGATATGGTTACCTTTTTACTAAATATTGAAAGAATGTTTCACTTGTGGGTTATTTTTAATTCCCTGTAGAATAGACTACACACTCCTTCTTCAGCCCAGCAAGGCTCTGTGTAACCTGGTCTCTGCCACATCTCTAAATATTTACTCCCATTGCCTTCCTAGCTCACCATATTTCATGCCTACTGGATTTATTCCTATAATGTAGTAGATCCTATTCCTGTTTTCCATAACCCTGCCTAGGAACCTGTACCCAATAGGTTCATATTAGTTTCTGCTTGTTATCAAGATTTTTGCTAAAACTCCATGTCCCTTTAAAGTAGCTTCTTGAGCATCATATTGCAGTCCTCGAGCTGCCCAGTTCCAAAGATACACTGGCATATATTATAAATATCACCTACCAAATAGCTCGACAATAATCTTTTTATTTTATTTGTTTACGTGTTTATTGTATTTTTCCCCCACAAAATGTAAGCTCCTTGAGGCTAGTCAGGGGAGTTCCTTGCCATATTAACAACTCTATTTCAACATTTTAAAAGTCCCTGGAATATTGTAGGCAAAAAGTATATTTTGTAAATTTATTTATATTAGTTTTAATTAAATACTTCTGGAAACTCGAGCAATCCCCAGATCTTGGTAAATTACATACTTCTTACTTGTGTTTTATATTTACTGTGTGTCAACTGCCAGTGTACTACACATGTGTTTATTCTAGGCCTTTGGATGAAAAAGCCACTCAAACTGGGCCATGCCAATATTGAGGCAGTGGTAAAAAAGTGACAAAAAATATGCAGTGACACAAAGTATGTCATTTCTTTTCACATCATATTTTCTTAAGAAAGTCACTTGACCAAAAGGTTGACTTCAATGGGATATAGCAAGTCGCGTTCCATGGTCAGAAATGTATTATCCTAGTAGCATGTTACAGATGCAGGTTGATTAGTGTAGACTACACTAGAATAGACTGTATACACCTTTCTGTGCCTGAAGGGAAGAAAAGGAGATAACCATGAACAATAATGCAACCTATCATAGTATTCAAATTGATATAATCTAGGTGTAAGCAAAAAGCCATAGAATGCATTATTTTCTTTCTTTCTCTCTTTCTTTCTTTTTGAGACAAATTCTCTCTCTGTCATCCCAGCTGGAGTGCAGTGGCACAATCTCAGCTCACTGCCAGCTCTGCCTCCAGGGTTCATGCCATTCTCCTGCCTCAGCCTCTGAAGTAGCTGGGACTACAGGCGCCCGCCACCACACCAGGCTAACTTTTTGTATTTTTAGTAAAGATGGGGTTTCACCGTGTTAGCCAGGATAGTCTTGATCTCCTGACCTCGTAATCTGCCTGCCTCGGCCTCCCAAATTGCTGGGATTACAGGCATGAGCCACAGCTCCCAGCCAGAATACATTATTTTTCTGAGTGAAGCTAAGTGAACATTAGGGCAAGCTAAACCTGTGACCCAGCTCTCATAAACATGGTCAACACTTGATCTAACTAACATTGAAAACTCCTTCTGAATATATATATTTTAAAAAACTAAGTTATCATTCATTATGAGAACACTGTTATTTTGTGTAAACTTAAGAATAAAAAAAGCCAATTAAATATCCACAATGTTAAGAAGCATTTAGCAGAGATAATAAAATAAGACTAGCATAGGATAATTAAAATTTAAAAGATGCTAGTTAATTTTTAGATGGTAATTATTTAACTTAAGATACTTTTCCACAAGCTCTAAATATGTGTTTATATTTGACCTAACAAAGAGAAGATTAGCTAAGCGAATTAACAGATCACATAAATATATGGGAGCATATTTAATCGGCTTAAGTCAACATCTTTTAAATATAACCACCTATTAATTTTGATTAATAAATGATTGATACTATTTCTAAAAAATATATATACTTGTCAACTGGACAGCTGTTGATACCTATGTATGCGAAGAATACTGGGAGGCTAATTAGCAATGCTGGTTTTTATCATGATTGTCACTAGTAAGCAATAATTCTTTGGAAATGAAGATTGACCCCTCTGTTTCAGTTTAATATTCTGTACAATATTAGGATTGAGTTAGAGCATTGTTTTGCAAGCTGTGCTCCATGGATATTTAGAATTTGCTTGGTGGTTTTCAAAGAATATCAAGAGATGAGAATATGATGAAAGGGAGAGTAGAAATTTTTTTTATCTTTTCTCCAAATGAAGAAATTATTTTTAGTCCATTCTATATAATGAAGAACAATAAAAATAGAGAACAGAAAATAACTTGCTAACAAACTTTAGAGATCATGTGCTTTCTTTTAAAAAATATTTACATACATATTAAAATGAGAAGACAGGTGTATGAATTTCTTGATTACTCAGTTTGTGAATTTTAGGGACTGGAGCAGACTGGTAGGTTAGAGTTTGTCACAAAAAGTTTTACACACTCAAAGTTGTTTCACAGAATCATCTTTAAAAAGGTTTAACAATACTTTCTGATTATTATGACTATTTTGCGCTAGAAAAATTAATTCTAAGTGATCTGAAGTTGTCCTGAGCCATTTCATTGAAATAAGGGATACGCTGTGTGATACTGTGCACTAATCAAGTCATAAACCTACCAATTAATAGTATTGCCTTGTAAACATTGTTCTGACACAAGTTTAAGCTTGTCAGCATACTTTATTGGTAGCATGGGGTGATGATTTGCATCTTATCTTCATGAGACCCACGAGAGGACTCTGCCATTGGAGTGGATTACTTTAGTCTTGTGAGTCATTTTCTGTAGCAATTGCACCCTTACTAACTGCCACCATTAATGTGCCTGTTCACATGGACACAGATACACAGAAACACAAACCTACAGTTCCTATTACGTAACATACTTACCACACCTTTCGCTACTAAATGACAATGGCAAAGTTAATGTACCGATGAGGGAATATAGCTAGGATCCTGAGACCCAGAAGAAAATATTGATAATATCAAAATAGAGATTGCTTATGTTCTTGAGAGACAAAGAAGAGTGTCCGGATGCTTCAGGACCCAAGTAAGAGTTTTGGGGCCAGACAAACCAGTGTTTAACATTCACTCTGCATTTATTCTCTTAGTAATCCTAACCATGGTGCTTAACCCCTTAAGGCTTACATATAAAAGGAAGAAAACAATGCCTGCCCTGTTCCTACCTGGCTGTGTATAACAAATAAATTATATTTCTCTATCCTATCTATCTATATGTCTAAATACATATCTAAACAACAACATTTTCTGGTTAGTGATCCAAAATATCCCTTCCACACACCAAATACCATTTTCAGTGTTAAAGAATTCAAACTACTTTGACATTTTTGGAAGTGCCATATTGCTAAATGTAAAATTCTTAATAAATTAATGGTCTAATTTGAGAGAATGTTCTTTTAGAATGTATAGATAGTGACTTGGAGAATTGCTACACTTAATTTAAAATAAGACAAGAAGTAAAGGAGAGACAAATAAATAGACAAGCAAGAAAGTTGGAATGGAAGAAATTAATACTTATTATACCATATTTGAACATTATTTAAATACTTAATCACAACTTTTTCAGATAAAATTTAAATTTTAAAAACATACATGGTCACATGAGTAGAGACACAAAATTAAGTGTTACTGCATTATAGATTTGATCCAGAAAGCATAAAACAGATTTGATTTGTCCAATAAAGCTCTGCTAAATATGCATTTAATCCCTTTTCATTAATTTGTTAATAGTAAACTAGTGACAATGGAAGTAAATGTATTAGGAATAGTGGGGGTATGCAAATGTAAATAATTAAAGACACAGACTCCAGTTGGATGCATAACACAGTAGGGGAGTATTCTTGAGCACCAATAATTAAAAGCCTAATAAATAGTGCCATGTACCAGATAACAAAGGAGATAAACAAAATGGAGATAAAAAGGTTTCAAGTGTCTAAAAGTAAAAGACATTACTTTAGTCCAGGATATCCTAGAAAACATTACTAGGGAAATGGCATTTGAGAATAAAAATGTAGGACAACGTGAACATGTACAGATGTGGGCAGATGGTATTGCATTTGTAATAAACATTGCAAGGAAAGTATAGACATGGGGGAAAATGAAGAGTAGGGTTTTTCTTATATCTTTCACATTCTTTTGGCTGTTTAAAGACCTTTTCTTCTCTACTCTTCTTTACAGGTTATGTCCTCTTGTCCTAACATTTCCCTTGCCTCTTTCAAGTGATCCACAGCTAATTCATAATCTACTTATAGAGTTTATATTCTCAGTAGGAGACACTAAACAAAATAAGCAATTACATTTGATATTTTAACATGCAATTTGGAGAAATTAAAATCAGGTATTGTATTCAAGAGTGCATCGTGAAGGTGGTGTACATAACCGGAGTAATAAAAAGGCATTTCTCAGGATGTAAAATTTGATCCGAGAGCAGGTATGGAAAGAAAATAAAACAGAAAGAATGGCAATACAGCACTGGTGAAATAGAAGTAAAACCATGTGAACAGGCAGAATCATTTGAGTTAAGAAAAGGGAGTTTGAATTTATTCTAAGTAATGTGGGGATATTTTGAAGGAGTAGAGGCAAGAATTATAGTCTAAATTATATTATTAAAGGCCCCTCTTACTGCTGTGGATTGTAGATGAGCAAGAATGGAAGCAGGGAAGCCTGTTATAGGCTGTTGCCTGAACTCATGCTAGAAACAATAGAGTCTTAACTAAGAAAGTTTTGGAAGAATGGCCAGAATTGGTCACCTTTGAAATACATTTTTAGAATAAAATAATCATTATGATATAGACGAAGAGGTGAAAAAATAAAAGTAATCAAGGAAGACTAGGAAGTTTTGGGTTTATGGATGTGTCTTATCTCATAATCGAGATTGAAAATTCTAGGGAAGGAAAAGGCTTACTGAAAGTTTCAAGAGATATGGTTTTTTATGTATTAATTTTGAAAAGCTTATTAGACTTCTTTGTAGAACTTTAGGGAGAAAAATATATGTACTTGGATTGCCAGATAAAGGGAGGCTAAGAAATTTAAGCCTTTCAGAGCTTATTATGGCCTTCTGGTGATGGGAAAAAAAAAGAGGGACTTCTAAAGTATTCAATCGATTAATAAGAAGCGCTAGATTTGGCACACTAATGATCTTTGGTAATTTAACAGTAGTGATTTTTACAGAGAGGAGACATTTGCTCTGTCAGTATAAGTTAACTAGAAAATAAATCATGAGAATGTACAGACACTGAGTGCACATAGTTTTGGGGGCCGGTTTTCCTGTGAAGTATGGGGGGAGCAACTGAGATAGTATGAGGGGAAGAGAGGTGGTCAATGCATACTTCCCTTAAAGATAAGCATAATAGAACTATATTGATAGGCATGATAAATAAAAGGGAGAAAATCTCAGAAGTAAAGTCTTGAGAATACTAAAAAAGTACACCAAGTAATCAGGGTCACCACTTTTAGTTTATCAAGAAGGAAGACCTTGATGATGAAAGCATGAGGCTAGCATGATTTGGTAGATAGGAAATGTGTCAGTTCTTGTCTAATAGCTTTCATTTTTGGGATGAAATTTGAAAAGCTTGTCATCTTATTAGAGTAATGCAGTCAAGAAAGTACTTACTGAAGGTCCGAGGTGAATGAAAAAAGATATTCGTTATTTGGGACAGTTTAAAGTGCTAAAAGGTTTCCAGGTAGTGATTGTACCCATTTGAACTCTTTCGTCATGAATTCAATGTGACACCAGTCGGCTCTTTTTTAATTTTGATTTTTCCCTGGCAAGTTAAACTGCTAGGACAATATCTAGATGGGTCTGGGAGATGACCAGTCTGACATGAACTCTTCCACTTTCAAAGAACTGACTTGACTCAAGAGGACAAATCTAGGACCTGGCATTTAGGTGAGATATCATATATTTAAGTGAATAATTAAATAAATATGATGCACATAGTTTATTGAATGACATTCTCATAATTGCAACAAATACGGAGAGAAAAATGATGGGATGAATGTGAAATAAAAATTAACTTTCATGAATATAAGTAAAACAAGAATATCTATGCAATGAAAGAATCGATTTTAAGCTTTCAGCCTGATTCCAACTTACCTTTAAATAGAAACAGGGAACAAATTATACTGGAAAAAAATATTGGCTACAATTTGGTTTTAGTGTGTGCTTTCACATTTGAAATTAACAACATAAAAATAAATGAAGCAGAAATATTTCGACACCAAAGATAACATTTTCATCAAATTTATCAATGTAAATGGCCAAAATTAGGTTCTCCTGAGAGTATATTTTATTCAGTTTTGTTTTTGTGATTCGCTTTTCTGATAGTTTTCATTGATGCAATGAAAATCATGACCCGTAATTTTGAAATTGTTTTCCTATTAAGTTATGGTCATCTGTGGACCTTTTTATTTAAAGTGTTAGAATTTTTAAAATCATATTAAATAATTAGTTTACTATGAACAACTTAGGAAGATATTTTGTTTTAAAGAAGTAACATATAATAAAGTATAGATAGAACTTTAAAGTAACAATTTAATTTTTTATGTGAGCAATGAAGGCAGGTTGCATATCTCAGGTAGCAGTAGGAGAAATAGTAATTGAATATAAAAAGAATATAAAAGATGATTAAAGCCAGAAAATTTTGGGTGAGTGAAGATGGATCATGCAGTATCCCAATAAGTATAGTTTGAATTTCAACCTACCAATCCATAAAGAAACCCTATGTGTTCCTCAATTCTCATAAACGACATTGACACTATAGGAATTAAAGTAATAAATTCTTGTAGACACAATAAAGCCATAGCATTTAAACTAATGTGACTCTAGATATTTAACAATAATTTAATAAAATAGAAAGGAAAACCCAGAAAATACAGAAGTTCAAAATTTAGTTAATAACAAGCAACCACAAATAATCCTTCTTTCACTAAAAGAAAGAAGGGTTATTCAGTAAAGAGTCAATAAAGTCTCAGTTAGGTAACTAGTTGGAATTTATTAAAAATGCAATGACCTCAATTCCTATTCACATCTTACAGCCAGCAAACTACAAATGTGTTTGAGGTTTAAATGCAAAACATATAATTAAAAATAATTTACAGAAAAATTAAAGTTAGGATAATATCTACTTGGAAAATGACTTTGTTAGATTGTCCTGAATGGGGGAAAGGGGCAAAACTTATATCTTTAACAAAATATACATTTCTTAACTAGGAAAAATATTGAAAATAGATATTAAAGTCAGTTGTCTATATTATTGTTTTACAGAGAAACCTTAAAATCACAAAGTAAAAACAAATGAGCATATGCATGAATAGAGGTGACCAGAATTTTATTTGGTAGCTAATTAAGGAAAACATGAATGTAGCCAATTAATATATTATTAATTCATTCATTTGTATTATTTTTCAATTGTATTATTTAGAATTCATTAAAATGAAAATTAAGAACTTTTTGTTGTTGTTGTTGTTTTGTCTATTCAGCAGAAAGTGATAGGGCCCAATATTGATAAGGATGTGGAACAATGAACACTATCAGACAGTGGTAGAGAAAGATTAAAATGTACAGATTATCTAGCAGGCAATATGATTCTATTTCATCAAACCTATATTAAAATATATATCCTATGACCTAAATATTTAGCTTCTAGGAATTTATGTGGAATAATTAATAATCAAGTAAAAACTTATAGTGAGTATTTTTATGTTATTGAAAAAATAGAAAAAAATCCAGTTTTATAGCAAAGTATTTAAACTACTTAATGCATAAGGTAGAATAAAGCATAACTATTAAAATGATTTTGTTACTGGTTCTTAACATATTTTCAAAAAAAGAAATTCAGGTTTGAATTTATTATGAACAAAATAAACCTACTTGATAAATTTTATTATAAAAACATAAAAACTCTATAATCAAATATGAAGAGTGTTTTTTTCTGAGCTTTGGCATTTAGAATAATTTTTATTTTAGCATTTACTCTTTCTATACCTATACCAATAATTTCATCAATAAGAAACAGAATATTAACCTATATATCTTGATATCCATGACAGAATTATGACACTTTTAAAATGCTATTTCAAATTTTGTTTTTAATTGTAAAATGTTATTTCATAAAAAAGAATACTAAAGAATTTAGGGAAGTGAACATTTGTTAAAATGTACACGGCTAAAATATATATTTTTAAGTGGATGAAACTAAAATAAATTAAAATCAGATGTTACGACTGCAGCAGTCACAGTGGTAGTATAGAGAATCAGCAGGGATTCATTTTAGAAATCAATAAATCTGTTGCCCTCAGACTGATGCATAAAGAAAATGTTATCATGTTTTGTAAAAATTGTGAAAAAGTATTTCTGTACAGAAAACAAATCAAAAACTCCTCTGCAATGAAGAAAATACTCTAATTAGCCACACCCCACAAATCATGAACAAACAAAACCAAAATGATAATAAGCCTATTAATTTCCAAATATTCTGTAAATTGTGTTTTGCAGTATTTTAAATGCTTCTAAGTCTTTAGCACTGAAACATGAACAGAACACATGCTTCAAAATTGGAAACAGTAGTTCTTTTTAATCACTCAGAATTACAAATTTTATAGATTACACCATCCAACTAGAATTTTAGTACAGTTTGGGATTGAAAAATCACAATGTCTGCTAAGACAGTGCTTAGGAGGCAAGGATAAATGCAGCAATTCTTGAAAACTTATAATGAACAAAATGTGTCAGTCCAAACTAGAAAATTCATAACATATTTTATTGCCATTTTACATGGGGCTTACTTCTCTTCTCATTCCACACTCTAAAGAAAGTCTGCCACTTTACAGACAATGATTATCAAATTTCAGCAGCAAGTACTGTTGGGTTTGTGGTATTTTATAGGTCAAATATCACTTCCATGCAGGAGATATTTATAGCGTTCTACTTTCCTGGAGAAATGCTGACATTGCAATACTATGTTTAACTTGTGAGCTCAGGTAACAGATTGGGTTGATAACATTAGTTCCAACTTTTACATTTTACCTTTCCTCCTTTTTAGTCTGTTTTTGCAAATCATTTTATCTACCTGTTTGCACAAATGTCATGTCTATTAATCCAGGGATAGTTCCGTTCCTTCTTTTCTCATCTTGCAGCATGTACTTTAGCTTGACAGACACAAAATGAACATAAATTGCATCAGATTATTCCTCTAACTAAGCGGGCTGATAAAAATGTATAATGTTATTGTTTGTGAAGGTTTTCTTCTTTCTAAAATCCCAGAAAAAGCAATACATTCATGCAATGCTCACACAAGTTCAAAAGCACTGAACACTGACTGATATGCACAACTGCTAGCACAAATCTTTCAGTTATGCGTGGAGTCCACTCAACCCTACAGGAAATCTGTTACTGACTCAATGTTAAATCCTTCATAATGATCACATGAGATTCTGTAAACAGCTTAAATGAAGTATAAATTACATGAAATTCAATTCACTATTCTTATCCAAGTTTATATTTAAAGAGGTTTTCGAATGTATACATTAATTTAACACTACTACAGTTACATAGATAACCCAAAAAGCTATGTATCCATACCACAATTATACTGGTTTAGCGGCCAAAAATAACACACACACACACTCACACACCACACACACACTTTTGTAGCAACATGTAACTACTATGCATTGAGTGTTTCAGGAAAATTTTATTAAATAGTACCTGAACAAATATTGTGGCAATATTTAATACCCAATAATAAAGTATCAAAAAAACTCATAAAATAGACTATTACTAATGCAAACTAGTGTTTTGTCAAGGGGATGTTAGTTGTTATTTTATTTTTAAAGGAAAATGTATTTTAGAATACATAATTAAAGATAAAATTTGATTTTATATTTATAACAACCAAAAATTGGCTGGGTGTGGTGGCTCATGCCTGTAATCCAAGCACTTTGGGAGGTTGAGGCAGGCAGAGCACCTGAGGTCGGGAGTTCGAGACCAGCCTGGCCAACATGGTGAAACACCATCTCTACTAAAAATACAAAATTAGCCTCATAAGGTGGCACACACTTGTAGTCCCAGCTACTTGGGAGGCTGACACAGGAGAAATACTTGAACCCAGGAGTGCGGAGGCTGCAGTGAGCTGAGATCCCACCACTGCACTTCTGCCTGAGCAAGACAGAGCAAGACTCTGTCTCAAAAATAAATAAATAAATAAAATAACAGCCAAAAACTGCATGTGACTTTTGATAACAGGGATTTTAAAAAGTGTGGCCTTAAAAAATGAGAGCTTCTAATTTCATCACATAAGAAGAAACATACAGATGAGTTGGCCAGAGTTAGTATTAAACCATGTTAGTGTCATCAAGAATACAGACTGTCTTCTCAGTCCTCCTTATTCTCTGCTTATGTCTGCACAGTCCCAAGATGGCTCCAGTTATAACAATAATATTTTAGGGAATGAGAAAATCAGAGAGAAAAAGGCAATGAAGAGAATGTATGCACAGGCTGTCAGCTGACATTGACTCCCAACTTACCTGCTTTAAGAATCTTTTATGAATGTTCTACCCAACAATTTTAATTCACATCCATTAGACAGAAGTTAGTCTTACGGAAGGCACTACAAAGGACAATGAAGAATGCCTTTTCAAGTGGTCACTTTGTTGTATCCAGTACAATTATGACCTGTTATGGGTGGGCCACTGGTAATTTGGACCCACAACATACATTGAAAGAATATAAATTCATGTTATACTATCTATATTCCAATGAGTATGTTTTGTTAGTTTTTACTGAAGAATCACAAATTCCCTGTTATGACCCTGCTTACCTACATTTGGAATTATCTTTACTTCTAGCTCCCATATATCTACATCCCATTTAATGGCAATTCCCTTCTTTATATGTCATCTCCTCCCATATATGCTTGATCTCTTGAACCTAAAATTGGCCATGTGTGAAGTGTTTATTTTTATAAACACATAAGCCTTAAGATATTTTGAACAGAAATAATGTTCTCTCATTTATTAAAGCAATTAATTATTTAATTAAATTACTATGTAACATTTAATTATCACTATGTATTAGGATGACTCAATGTCAAATTCTCATTGCCAAAATTAGCCTAAGAATGCAGGACCATTTAATATGTTCCACTTAATAATACAGTCAATTGAACTTATTTTAGCTATGACTATATAATGACTTACTGATCACAAATTTCTAAGTTAAAAGAAACGACAGCATGTTTGAAGCTAGTAAAAGCATTATTTATGGAAGAGAGAAAGTAAAACATGGATTATTTTATACAGATGAAATTCTATTTTATGGCCTTATTTTGCCTTTTTGAAAGCTTCATGAAATGCAAATTAGAAGCTCAATAAAATATCTCTACACACACAGAAGAATAGCTGAAACTTAAAAGAACAACAATGCCAATTATTGCTGAGTATGTGAAACATTTAGAACATTTGTTCATTGCTGGTTCAAATCTAAAATTGTACTACAGCTTTGCTTTGGAAAACAGTTTGACTGTTTCTTATAAGTTTTAATATGCACTTACCATAAGTAAAATGAAAATATGTTTACATAGCAATTTACGTACACGTGTTGATAGCAACATTCATCAAAATGTAACAAATCTTGAAATATCTATGAACTGGTAAGTAGATAAACAAATAATGGTGAATGAATAACAAAGGAATACTAGGGATATATACAAAAACATAAATGAATCTCAACAACATCCTTCCAATTGTCTGAGCTGGTCATATTAGATTACATATATTATGCAAAAATACAGTGACAGAAAGCAGGCCAATTTCATCATTAGACTGCGGCTAGGGAGGGAGCATCAACTGCAGAAGGCACAAGAGAATATTTTGGGGTAGTGTAAACAGTCTACATCTATATTGGGTGCTGGTTACACAACTGGACTTATTTGTGTAAACTCATGGAAATTTGTATTTAAAATTAGTAAATTTTATTATATGTAAATTAAACTGCATTAGCAATTTAAAAATGTTTTAAATTTCTCTTTTCTCTTTCTTCTTTTCCTTCCTGAAAAAATCAGTCCAAAGCCACTAGGAGAGGATGAATAAGGTAGAGTCTTATGCTACTGTAGTGGAGAAAGTGGGGCCACATTGACTCAGAAGAAGGTGGTTAGTGCTTCCATGCCAGAGGGTGATGGCCTGGCCTAGCCAAAACAGGATGTTACATCAAAGATAGTTTGGAACTTCTATATACAAGCTCAGGCATGGTAACTAGAATTAACATGGGGGCAATCACGTGATAAAGAACATAGCATCACTTCTCTGATATTCCTGCCAAAGACGCCTGAAAATAAGCTAAACAAAAAATATCAAAGAAACACAGATTGGAGGACATTATGCAAAATAATTGGCCAAAACTGTCAAGATCTTCACAATCAAGACAGAAGATCAAAATGATAGAAACTTATAAGATCAACAAATTCAGTGCATGATATGCATAATACTAGATCATAATACAGATCATTTATCCAAAAGGTACATTTTTTAGAAAATTAGTGAAACTTGAATACTTATAGAAGTAGAGTCTGAGGAGTGGATAGACAGTAGTAACAAAATTTTAAAAGGCTGGGTGCAATGACTTACGTCTGTAATCTCAGGACTTGAAAGGCTGAGGAAGGAGGATTCCTTGAGCCCAGGAGTTCAAGACCAGGTCCTGGCAACGTAGTGAGACCCCTGTCTCTACAAATCTTTTTTTTTTTTTTTTAAATTAGTGTGGTGTCATGCCTGTAGTCCTAGCTGCTTGAGTGGCTGAGGTTGGAGGATCACTTGAGCCAGGAGATGGAGGCTGCAAAGAGCACACATCGTGCCACTGCACTTCAGCCTGGGCAATAGAGTGAGATCCTGTCTCAAAACATAAAAATAAATAAAATTTAAAAATACAGTTTTAACATTGTGTATATTTTTGTTGTAGCTATATAACATTTTTGTTGTGGAAACTATATACAAAAATTTTGAGGTAAAATATGGGAAATCATATACAAAAATATATAAGGAAATATTAGGAATTTCCTTTTGAATGGTTCAGAAATTTTTTGAAAGTTCTCAAACTGTACTTTTTGTAAGTTTGAGATAATTTCTATCTAAAATTGAATAATATGCTACGGAATTCCAATAATTAACAGCATAATCATGTCACATTATTCTGAGCTAGATTAGTTGAATATGATTGATAGCTAGAAACAGTTCCTAATTTTAATATTTTAATTTATTGAAAAGAAACAGTTGGAATTTAAGGAAAAATCATACAAAGTATACTTAATATATAAATATTAAAAATAATCACATAATATACTATAAGTCCATAGTTTGAGCTTTGAGGCATGTCATCTATAGTATTTTTTAAAAAGGGGAAAATAATAATATAAATTTATTTATTATTACGGTACATTTAAAATGGTAAAGATGGTAAATTTTATACATATAT
Source organism: Homo sapiens (assembly GCF_000001405.40). Classification (NCBI taxonomy): domain Eukaryota; kingdom Metazoa; phylum Chordata; class Mammalia; order Primates; family Hominidae; genus Homo; species Homo sapiens. Next base: position 43,038,066 of record NC_000014.9, on the reverse strand, counting down.
TTTACCTGAATTTTTTTTCCTCCTCTATAGTATTTTAAAGATGGAAGACTCAAAAGTGGTTTTTAATTATTTCTCAATCAAGTAAATGTTCATACCCTTACTTTTTCTACATTTTCTACACTTTTTATTTAGACATTATGATTCACCCTTTTAGTGTAAAATTGTATGATTTTACATATTTTTTTCATGTTCCCACCACCAAAATTGAAGTTAAGAGAATAGTTCAATCACATCAACAAAATTAATGTATCTTTTCACTAGTAAATTCCAAACATTTTAAACATTAAAATGTAAATATTCATGAGTTCAAATATGTGCTCATCATGCTGCATTCAATATACTTAGGCAATAACCTTAACCCGAAATTTTGGTATTCTTTGTAACCATTCCTTTCCTTCTTGGTATTTTATAAGAACTTTTGTTTTGGCAAAACGATGTTAGGAACACTGAGCACAATCAATATAGCTATTTCAACATTTCTTAAATAGTTCATTTAACTTAATGAACATTAAATGAACTTTTTAATAGCATTTTTTCTCACTGCTTCTTTTGTTTTTTATTTTAGAAACAAGTTATCAATCAATCCTGAAGATTACTATTTTTTATTATTCTAACTTTCCTGTTCCTCATAATAACATATATATAACCAATATTCTATTAAATATATATTATAATAAAATATACATTTATGGTCAAATGTTGTAAAATGTGGCATATAGTCTTAGTGGCATCTTTCACATATTCATTCCCTCCCCACAAAAAGGAAAGCAAATATAACTTATAATTTCAAGGCTAAAAAATAGTTACATATTTACATAATAAAAAAAACTACCTTCTAATTCATGGAAATATTTAATTTCACAATAATATTCTTGTCATCTGATGAAGTTCCTTAATCTACTGCTATTTATTTTTCACTTAATGACAAGTATAGAACTAAAGGGCGGTGCATACACATAAATCCCTTGGCTTTACCTATTTGTATTAACACAATAGAGTAATTAATTGAAGAAAGAACCTTAGGAAACAGTCAGTCTTGAAACAACTCATTTCAGATATTTGAAAAAAAAATGTTAAAGTTCCAGATTAATAAAATCTTACCTGGCAATTAATAAAGTGTTTCAAAACTCCACAGATTCCAAGATTTTTATTCTGAATTGGGTAGTATTTAATATCCAGAAGCATTGACAGTGTTATAATCTTTTATGTAGCCTAGGGATCATAATTAAATTGCCCTATTCCAATTTCCCTGCAATTATTCTTTGTGTCACTGAAATAAAAAAGTGTGTGCTCATGGAACACCATCCTCTGACAGGTGTCCTTTATCATTGAGTATTTAATCAAAAGCTTGTAGCGATTCAAGACTACTTTAAATCTTTCCTAGTGGGTATTAAGTATCTTAAAAACAGATACCTAAATTATTGGTTAGAAGATACTCAAATTTTTCACCATCATCTTAAAAGTTAGACTTCTGTTTGTTTATAAGATTCTCTCACTCTCTCTTTTTCTCTTCCTTCCTCTTTTGACCTTACTCATTTGCATGTAAGTTATTTATTGAGCACTCAAAAATACTATAACTTATGTCTTTTTTTTCCTTCAGGCAGTTCTTGTAGTGTGGGGAAACAAAGATAAAACACCACATTTCCTTTGTCCTATCATTTATAGAGTATTTGCCACAAGCTTTTATACAGAGCTGTCTGCCTATTGATCAATTAAGTTTATATACACTATATATCAAAGCCTATTGTCTTTTGGAGTTTTTTTTCCCATGAAAAATAACCATGGAATTTTCATTTCCTTTTAGAAGGTAAATTTTGCTGAGAAAAATTGTAAATATTTTTAAGAATATTAAAAATATATATGATCATGTTGGAAGTGATATACTTTAAAATATATGATGAATCAAAATGCAGTATTGAATTTTATTCTACAAATATTTTCCGTTGTGTTCTGGCAAAAATATGAGAACCCATGTTAGACAAAAGATTGTAAATTTTATATTCAAGAACTTAATCATGTTTTATACAAACAAATCTCCTTGGTTACCTGAATTCCAAACCTCCTCACTTATAACTAATTATACATTAAAAGTTCTAGGAGTTACCTGGGGCTATTTAATATTCAGTTTTACTGCAGATACTTTCATCTTTAAAAATAATACTGTTTAAATATTTATAGAGCTCATGTGTAAGCAGAAATCAAATATGACATGCTGCATTTGATTGATGCCCACTAAGTAAGTTACTTACAACTTCAACTCAATAAGCATTGCCAGTTGAAATCGCTGTTGTTCACAAAAGAAAAGTATAGATCTTCACCCTTGTTTCATTCTTGACACATTAGAAGAGTTGTGATTAAATATAGGATGTATAAAATAGCTAGATCTTTAGCAAAAGTTTTCTAAAATGTTAAAAAAATGAATGCATAGTTAATAATTCCCTCAATCTAATTTTTGAAGACTTCATATTATTAAGGGGAATGAACGGTGTAATACATTTTTATTTTGCTGTCATCATGACAAATTTAGATGAAAATAATAAATGCAGTAACTACAATTGTATGTATACTTTGGTAATTATTAAATACTTTAGGATAACTTATACAATAAAGCTTAACCCTCTGCCTATATCTAAAGAATATCTGAAAAAATGCTTTTCTTGATATTTGGGAAAATCTTTGCTAAAAATGACCTAAATTGACTCAAAATTCTCCTATATTTTTATTTTTTCCTATAAAAACTAATGCCTATTCTGTATGTAATTATCTAGATAGGAAGTGACTGTCATATTATAGGCTCAGCAAATTACAATTACTTTGATATTTAATCCTTACTATGAAAACACTTTTTAGGTGGTCAGTTTTGCCTCATCAATTTAGATGTTACCTTTTCCTGGAAAACTTTTATTATCTACAGAGACAGCATTATGTTTACATCCATTAGAGGATTCCGAAGTTTTAGATCATACAAAATGACTGACTGAAATGTGTTGACCTGGAAGAGATGCTAATAAAATTGTACACAAGTCTGGAGAACCAGACTTAAGGCTGAATCTAGAGAAAAAATAGTTCAGAATTTAAAAATATAGGAAAAGAAATATTATACTTCTCTAAGCAAGAGTCTAAACTTATTTATATATACAGTACTGGTCCTAAGATATCTCGTGATGTTAAGTAGAAAGGAAGGATGAGAAATAAATGCTGGCACGTGGAGTTGCAAGTTATGGTCAACATATTTGGTGAAGCAGGAAATGAACATATAGGGGAGAAGCAATCACAATAATCAGTCAGTCTTTCCTGTAGCTATTACCATAAATTTATGTGTGTAGCTATCTCTGCTGCTAACAATGAGTCATATTTGCAAATAAAAATAATAATATTGTAAAGTGTATATTTTGCATAAATCTTTTGAGTAGCTAACAAGAAAAAATGTTGGGAAGCAAGATAGATTTTAACATTGATAGGTCTGACACATGATTCTGTGGAATGCTGTTAATCTGCTATACAATTAAAATACTAACTTTTAAAATTTCTGCCTACCAATATTCACTGCATTTTCCAATATTTGAATGATCACTATAGGCTAGGGATTTTGTAAGTAATAAAACAGCGGAAATGTAAAGATGTGAATGTTCTTGCATAAATATTTCAACACACAATTCAACTAAAATCTTAAATGGCAAAAGACATTATCAGTCTTACCAGCACAACTAAAATATTCATCATTAAACTAATAAAATAAGCCTTTCTGAAACAACATATATTCTAACATTCAGATTCAATATGCTTTCTAATACACTCTAACATTCCATGAAGGTCAAAGCAAACTAAAAGACATTTATCTATCCCTGCAATATTTTTCATGACAACAAGATGAGGATTCTCCAATAGAGCAATTAATGCTTTAAGATTCTAGGTGTTTTAACTTTATTTTCTTCTTTTTTTCTTCAGTAATAATAATTTTTCAGTATTAAACACTTGTGACAATATCTTTCAATTTGTAAATGATCTTGTTTTGGCATTTATTAGTGTTATAATTCCTTTCATTCCTATTTTCCATTAATGTCTGTATCAAGTACAGATTATTTTACTATTATTGCAATGAATAATCATCTTGTAACATTTTAGTTGACAGTGATACTAAGCCAGGCATGTCGTCTATGGAATATGCATGTGTAAATATAGTATTTATGCTCATATTTATTTTACATATGCACTATATTTATTGTTAAATATTAAATATATTATTTAATACAAATTTAGTATGTATATATATTTATATATTTGGAGAGAGTTTCTGAAAACCTTTTCTTTGGTGGGGGTGCAGAGTCTCACTCTGTCGCCCAGACTGAAGTGCAGTGGCACAATCTTGGCTCACTGTAACGTCCTTCCTCTGGGTTCAAGTGATTCTCCTGCCTCAGCCTCCTGAGTAGCTGAGATTACAGGCATGTGCCACCACACCTGGCTATTTTTTTTTTTTTTTTGTATTTTTAGTAGAGACGAGGTTTCACCACATTGTCCAAGCTGGTCTCAAAATCCCGACCTCAGGTGATCTGCCCACCTCGGCCTCCTAAAATGCTGGGATTACAAGCATGAGCCACCGTGCCCGGTCAATTTCTGAAACTTTTAGCATAACTATTACAAAAATATAATTCGCTATTTATTATTTTGGCCATTTGTGATTATTAAAATGTAAAAATATGTTGGGGAACATGAATAATATAATTTCAGAAAGTTGAATTACTTGTTTCTAAATCCTAAAAATTAATGCCTTCCAGGAATAGTGATGGATTACGTTGATGATTACCCAGGAAAGTCATATCTAGCAAATCTAGATTTCTCTCTCCCTCTACTTTGCTCTTATAGAAAGTGACCTAGTTTATGATAAATGATTTTTAAGATCTGATTTAATTACGTTCTTTTTCAGTAAACATTATGTCATGAGGCCAGGAACAAGTATTTTTTGTTCATGACAATACCTTCAAGCCCAAGAATATTACTTTGAACAACATAAACATTCAATAGGCAAAAGCTGAATAAATGTTCAATGAATCAGATGACTACATGAATAAAGAGATTAAGGAATATGAAGTTCTTTTCTCTTAGTCACATGAAATATCCATAATTTCTCCATAAATTTCATAATTTATTTTAATCTTAGATCTGATATCATATTGTACAAAAATCTTCATTTCTCTGTTTTACAAATACCTTACTAATGGAAGAGAAAAAAATTAGGAATATAGAAGAGAAATATAATTGTCATTTGTGAATACTGACCATATGATAGCCATAATATATCACTTTTATTAGACTTAACCATAGTCAGGTGTTCAGATGAGTGCTTTATATTCTTTATCTCATGAAACATCATCAGTTTTTACCGATTAGCAAACTGAAGACCACAAAATTGCTGATTTTGCCTTAGATCCTCATAGTTATAAATGGCAGAGTTGAGATTTTAGCTCATGTCCATTTTGCTCTTAAAGGCATCTTTCTACTACACTATACAAAACAATAATAAAAATAAAAATAAAATTTTATTTCAGGGAATCATAAAAAATTAATATGTCCCTTGATTTAATTTGCTTTGAAATACCTTAATTTATAATTTTTACTTCTTTAGAAGAGACGTGAAAAGCATACATATTCAACATCATTTTATGTATTTTTATGTACCTTCGAAAAATTTTTCTTACTTATACTGACGTAACAATTTTTAATTTTGTCACATTTGCCAACTTTCAGAAACATGCAAACAATTTTCTATGGAAAGAGTAATTTGCATTATTTTAATACCAATATTTTATTTGCTTAAAGACTATAAAACTATTTTTAAGTATAATAATACAAACAATTGTTATAGTTTTGTGATTAAAAACACCTGACTCTTAGCAAATTATTAAAATATCAAAGGAGATCCATATTACAATTGAATTGTTTAATAAATTTTTTCACCATCAGGCAGTATATCTTTTGGGAACATAGAAAGCATCTATCAATCCAAAACGGAATTCTGTTTTAAAAGCAAAAAATAAATATTTTTATAGCAATATGTATTTATATAGCAAAAATTAAGGTTTTTTTCTTGACACATGGTGAAAACATTTCATAAGATTTTAATAATGACATTTTGATGTGACTGCAAGCTCATTCATTTATTTCTAGCACCTTATCAGTGTACAGTGTTATGTGATGCTGAGTAAAATTAGAGGCTGAGTGAATATTTGTTTAAGGAGGAGTTGGGTGCTTGGATGTTTAATGTATAACTTCCAGTCTAGGAATGATTCATTTACTCTATTCAATAATATTTCTTGAGCATCTACCTTAGCAAGGCTGAGTCATAGATACTGAGAATACAGCTATGATCAAAGTAGACAAAATCTCAGCTCTTATAAGATTTTCATTTCAGTGCATATGATAGACAATAAATAATGTAAATTGGTAAAATATAAAAAAGTAAAATATATTAAATAGCAATGAAGTAATTATAAACTGTAGAGTGGCCAGTGAAAAAAATTTAAAGCAAATATCAATCATTGATTAATTTTGTCCCTCATGAACACTTTGATTAAGCAACTTAGAATATGATGTCTCAGAAATCGTTATGTTAAAAGGTAATGGTGGTTAGAATAGTGACAATTATGACTTTAACTTCTCTCCAAATGGAAAATATAGTTTATGAAAGTTTGTAGTTACACTAAGTTTTTATTTTTTATGACATCTCAAATGTAACAGTTTCTCATATAACTTTTTTACAGTCAGTATCAAATATGAAGTTTAGTTAACAGCAGCATGTTAAGGAGACTTTCTGAAGATCTAATACTCAATTCTTTATTATGTAAAGTATTCCCAAGAAGTGTATTTTATATGGTAGTTCTTGAAACCTTGTATAAATGACTGATAACATTTTTGTTTATCTTTGGTATTATCCGTTTTTAATTGCTAATTTCAAGAAAACTTTTTTTAAGGGTGTGCTTTACTGGATAATTACATTTTCCCCATTCCTACGCTCCTTGTATGTAAAACTGAAACTTTCACTAGAGTTACTTTTAATAGTTTTATTTTCCTAGTATATGTTTTAACCATTTAAAAGGACAAAAAAATCATGTCTAAAGAAACAGCATTGTGTAAATCAGAACCAGAACGGCGCTGTTGAGACAAATGTGGAAAGACTAAATATTTTGGTTGGAAGGACCCTTAAAGGTTAGGTAATCCAACTGTCTTAATCAGAATAAAATCTCCTTTACAACATACTACTTTCAAAGTTCATCCAGACTTACTATCTAAATTCTTTACTAAGAACATTATAGAAGTTTTAAAATGTATACCTCTTAATGGATTTGTCGCTGCATTGTTTCTTCAAATTGATCATAATGCTTTATTGATTGCATGTGTATTAGGGTTCTCTAGAGTGACAGAACTAATAGGATATATATATATATAAAGGGAGGTTTATTAAATATTAACTTACACGATCACAAGGTCGAACAATAGGCTTTCTGCAAGCTGAGGCGCAGGAGAGTCAATTCGAGTCCCAAAACTGAAGAACTTGGAGGCCAGTGTTCAAGGCCAGGAAGCATCCAGCATGGGAGACAGATGTAAGCTGGGAGGCTAGGCCAGTCTCTCCTTTTCATGTTTTTCTGCCTGCTTTATATTCATTGGCAGCTGATGAAATTGTGCCCACCAGATTAAGGGTGGGTGTGCCTTTTCCTGTCCACTGACTCAAATGTTAATATCCTTTGACAACACCCTCACAGACACAACCAGGATCAATACTTTGTATCCTTCAATCCAGTCAAGTTGACATTCAGTATTAACCATCACAACATGTGAATTGAATAATTTTCAGATTAAGATTTTTTAAGTCTTCTGCAACTTATCCTCTTCAGCCTCCCTTAACTCCCTTCTCCCCCAACCCCTTTATTTTTCCTAATATATTGGAATGCCAGTTTTAAGGCTGTAGAATTTTTTAGTGTGTTCATACTAATGTATCTCCTCTGATGCTATATTTCAGCTTTTTAAATAGGCAAGAATCTCAAATTAAATGATCAAGCTTGAAATGATCTTACTCATGAATCTATAGACATACATATAAATTTGAATATAAACATGAATGTTTCTAAAATAAAGCAGTGAAACCCAGTTTTCAGCTTGCAGATTGGCTTTGGAAGAAGTAATAGTTTTAACATGTATATATTAAAATAGAAACAGTACATCTTCTTTTACCTTTGTTTGCAGCTGTTTAGAACAAGCATTTTGGTCTCAGGACTCCTTTACAATCTAGCTACAGGGAGTCACTTTGTTAAAAATTGTGAAATATAAAACAGGGTAATGTATAGTAAAATATAAAACATAGTAATTCATTTAGAAATAAAGTTAAAGCATCCATTATACATTAACACATTTAGCATGCTTTATCAGAAAAATAGCATTATTCTCCAAAACAAAATAAACAAACATAAACAGAAATGACAAAAAAATCCGTGATAAGAGTTACATTGTTTGGGATTTTTAAAAGTCTTTGATGCTTCCTATATCTGCTCCTAAATTTAATCTATTGGAAGACTAAATGTCTGGTACGTAGCATCTGGATAATTCCACTGTACATTTTGACAAATGCTATTTAGAGATTTTTGTATAATAATCTTGGACATTTCTTAGGAATATTATAATTTTTCTATCTGATAGTGAATGGGATGTTATTACTTCTACCACATTTTCTGGGAAGTTATGATTGGCTGCTGGAAAGTTTGTTGAGTGATCCGTTTTGTTATTATTTCTTCTGATATTTACTTTTGCTGTAAATTAGATGTTTCTTTTACTGATTAAACAATATAAAGTCTTTTGTCTTTACATTTGTGTATTATATTTAATGTAATTCCTGATACATTTACTCATATTCGTTTGTGCTTTACACTTACATTTATTTTTATCTCTATTATTGACTTCTTCCTGATTAATAATCTTGATTTCAGCATCTGCCTTTGTTAGCATTAATTAAGTATTCCTTCAAGTATTATGGTATCTCTAGAGATTATATTATTCTTGATATTATAAGCACAATTATAATGTCATGCTTTACTACTATCTCAATAAACAAATTTCCTCTTATTGTGATTCTAAATTAAGCTCTGCTTAGTTTATGGGCATTTTAGCCATCTTCTCATTTATCAATCCGTTTAAAATTGATATTTAAAAGTGAATATTTATTTATCTTACCCTCTCTTGCCTTTTGTGGTATTATTATCAGATATTTTTTACTCTCTATTTAAGCTCGACAGGTGATTATTTTTACTTTTATATGGTCAATGTTTATTTTTACTACACATATGCTTCCGCCTTCCCCTTTTTAGTTTTCTTTTTCTTATTGTCCTGAGCTGTCATTAAAGATCACTTTTCTCCTGCATGAGTAACATCATTTTTATGTCAGTTAGTGTAGTGAAAAATTCTAACAGAACTCTATCATGTGAAAATATCTTATAAATCTATTTGACAGTCTTGGAACAGTTACTATTTGTTACTAAGGTTTTCACAACAGATGCAAGAAAAAAATTATCCTTTCACTTTATGTCTGTGTGATTGTGGCAGCAAAGATTACCTGGGAAAATACAAAAGAAAACATGGAAATACAGTAGAAAATATTTGAGTAATGGATAGAAGAATGAATGAATGCTAAGAAAATCCAAAATTATTAAATAGAGGTAAAGATACTGTGCTTCCAGGGTAGTAATTAATCAAACTCCCAAAGACACAGAGTAATTAGAATAACATAATGACATGGAGGAAAAAATTAATCTGAATATGTTTAGTTTCTTTAATTTCATTTTTCTAAAAAAAGATTGAAAAAGGCAAGTAAAACAGATTAAAAAACCAAGAAACTTCTAAAAAATGAACAGGTACACATTTGAAGATATTTTAATATAGTTTTTATTTGATGTCTTCATGCTACCTCTGACTAAACAATGGGTTTTAACCCTGTTTTTGTAATTTTCTACATCTATTCATGACATATCTACTTTTTTCATTATTAAAGAAAAATAATCATATAAATAAGATATTCTTAAGAATATTTCCTCTTTATTATATATGGTAAAGTCTGCTGTATTAGAAGGCAACAGTTAGATCCATCCATTCCAATAATTTTAAAACAATGCTTTCTTTTCCTATAAAATTGTATTACTTGTACAGTACACATGCTTGATATATCTATTGTGATAGCACACCTGGGCAAAATGAGCTATGTCTTCAAATAATAAAAAGTCTCTTAATGTTTTTGCAATTTCTATTTTCTCAATACACTTACAAAAGCTTTTCACAAGAAGACAAAAATCTATGTGCTTTTTAGTACCCAATAAAAAAAAACACTTTATCCTCAGAAAACTGGAGTGTTTAGTGGGCATTTGGGGATTCAAAAATATTCTTAGACTTCCTGGAATAAATGAAAACATTTTATTTAATAGATTATTAATTCTTAGGCTATCATGAAAACTGGAGTCACTATCATAAAAAACTATTATGGCAAAAGATTTTTTTAGGCTATTCAAGAAATAAATGCTCAGGTACTGACATTTCAGAAATGCTTTTCTGAAAGTGAGTTAATTAAATTTTTTCCATCCATTGTTCTGAGAAATGACATCAATGCTCTTTGGTTATTTAGGATAATGGTAGTTACATGTTTGCATCAAGCTCCTTTTTGGACAAATAAAAAATCTAACTCCATAGGCCTTCAAACACAGCTGTTTCAGTAAATTTTCTAGATAGAACAACCTGGTCGCCTAAACATAGATTCGTGTCTGTGCTTGCACGTGTGTGTGTGTGTGTGTGAGAATAACATCAGCTTAAACAGAAACATGCTTAGAATCTTTCTTAAAGATTTTAATAAAAGTTAAAAACATACAAATGTGGCTTTATGTAACTTCAAACAATGTAAGGAATATTTAAAACAGGAAAAATATTGCCTGAGTCTGTTTCTGCAGCTATAACAAAATACCTTAGGCTGATTATTTTATAAATAACATAAATTTATTTATACAGTTTTGAAGACTGTGATGTCCAATATCAAGGCATAGGCAGATTCAGTATCTGGTGATCTAAATCTCTGTTCCATAAATGACACTGTTGCTGTGTCTTCACCTGTTGGAAAGGCAAAAAGGGAGAAACAGCAGCCTAGCAACTTTTTTTTATAAGGTCATTAACTCCATTCATGAGAGCAAAGCTTTCATGACTTATTCACTTTTTAAAGTCTTCATCTCTTAATATAATTATATTTGCAATTAAATTTCAACATATAAATTTTGAGAAAACACATTCAGACTGTAGCAAACATTAAGTGCTCTTTGATTTTAGCTTATATTGACTCTCCATATTTAAAAATCCCATAAAGCAAATAGACAAAATATAGTTATTAAAATTAATTTTACTAAAATATCATCCAGTACTTTATAAATGATGTAAATTTTTTATGACGATTGTATAGGACATTTGCATTGCTATAAAGAAATATTTGAGGCTGGGCAATTGGTAAATAAAATAGGTTTAGTTGACTCACGGTTTTGCAGGCTGTGCAAGCATGGCTCCAGCATCTGCTTCTGAGGAGGCTGCAGGAAGCCTACAATTATGATGGAAGGCAAAAGAGGAGCAAGTGTTTCACATGGCAAGAGAGGAAGCAAGAGTGGGAAGGGGGAGGTGCCACACGCTTTTAAACAGCCAGATCTTGCATTGACTCACTCATCACCAAGGGGACGGCACTATACCATTTATCAGGGGTCCTCCCCCATTATCTAGAAACCTCTCACTTGGCCTCACCTTCAACACTGGGAATTACAATTCAGAATGAGATATGGAAGAAACAAATATCCAATCTATATTAATGATGGTGACATATTGAAGACAATAACTTTTTATTAAAATATATATATTTTAATTTAAAATGACAATATAAGATCTATATAAAGATAGCTTCACCAGTGATGTTCTTATCCTTGTAGACTATTATAATTATCCCAGCCTCTCACTTTTCTTTAGGCAGAGCTGAAAGTAAAACTTGTTGCTGCTGCATATTTAGTCTCATTCTCAAATGATAATTTGCATTAGTGCATTACAAACAATATGAAATGTTTGGAAAAATACATCTCAAATTTAACACACATTGTAATAATATATACCAAGAAAGATTTTAAAACTCTCTTTCAGATGAAGAAGAAAGTGCAAAATATTCATTTGCATAATGAATATTCTGTGATATGTATCACATAAGCAGAAAAGGAGCTTTCTTTTGTTTATATATATACATTTTTGCATAAATGACAATAAGGTAGATATTTTGAAAATATATCCTTGAAAGGGCTCACTTTCAAAGTTAATATAATATAGAAAATTAATATAGAAATAATATTTCTATAAGAAATAATTATTTCTTATAGGAATATTAGAATATTCTGATATTCTAATTCTAATATGCAAAATATTCATTTGCATAATGAATATTCTGTGATATGTATCACATAGGCAGAAAAGGAGCTTTCTTTTGTTTATATATATACATTTTTGCATAAATGACAATAAGGTAGATATTTTGAAAATATATCCTTGAAAGGGCTCACTTTCAAAGTTAATATAGAAAATTAATATAGAAATAATATTTCTATAAGAAATAATTATTTCTTATAGAAATATTAGAATATTCTGATATTCTAATTCTAATATGCAAAATATTCATTTGCATAATGAATATTCTGTGATATGTATCACATAGGCAGAAAAGGAGCTTTCTTTTGTTTATATATATACATTTTTGCATAAATGACAATAAGGTAGATATTTTGAAAATATATCTTTGAAAGGGCTCACTTTCAAAGTTAATATAATATAGAAAATTAACATATAAATAATACTTTCTATTAGAAATAATTATTTTCTAATAGAAATAATTATTTTCAAATATAGAAAATTAACATAAATTTTCTATATTATTTTAACTGGAAGAAAGGATAAAACCTTGGTCTTTAAGAAAAACATAAGTAGTCATATATAAATTTAAAGTCTATACCATGTTTCTCTGAAAAGGCACATTTTTTGGTTTATACATATATTCATTTAAATACCTTATTTGTGACCTTGGGTTTGCTACTTTAAAAAGTAAGTGTTCCACGTGCTCCTCAAACTTTGTTAAACTCTTAATTTTAAATAATTGTGATGAACAATTGGCTTGTTGAAAGAACTAAATGAGAACCATTATGTGTGTATGCTAGAATAAATAACATTTTAAGCCTCCGTTTCCTAATATGTAAAACTAAGCTAATAGTAGGGCTTATATCCTGTGGTGGTTGTCATTGTTTATTTGTTTAATAAATGTTGTTGTATACATTTAAGGTCTACAGCATGATGCTATGGAATATATACAGACGGTAAAAGGGCTACTTACTATAGTGAAGTGAATTAACATTATCTATCATCTCACATGTTTACCAATTTTTGTTGTTTTTGGCAAGAACAGCTAAAATCTATGAATCCCAAATATGGTACAATTTTATTACCCATAGTCCTCACATCGTACATTAGATCTCTAGACTTGTTCAATTTACATACCTACTACTTTATACCCCGTGACATATATCTTCCGATTTCCTTCCCCTTTCCCACATCTGGAAACCAATATTTTGTTCTCTATCTTTTCTCTGTGTATTTGTTTGGTTGTTAATGAGTTAGGAACTCACAGGCCAGAAGACTAGAATTAGGCCATTCAGGGATCTTGCAGCAGTCCCACGGTCATATGGACACTGGTACCATGCATCCTTCTTTGATGTATTTAGAGCATACTTTTCATCATTAGAGTGCCTCTTAGTCACAAAGTAGTTGCTGTAGCTCCAGTAATCATGATTACCTTCTGAGCAGCAAGAAGCTAGAAGGGGTAATGGATAAATGACATGCCTCCTTTTCTTGTTTAGGAAATTTTCCAGAAACACTAACCAACAATTTAAGTTACCATCTTTATTTGCAAGACTGGATGGGAGGTACAGATTTTAACTGTACTCATTGCCACATATAATACAGGACTTCTTTTTGTGTGGAAAAAGAAGAGAATACAATGGGGAGACAAAATCAGCTTTGGCCACAAATTGCCTACCACAAGGGCTGATGCTTTTCCCAAATGACTTAATAATGTATGTGAAAAGATATGGTAAAGCAACAGATGATCATGTATATACTATCTACACTCCTTGCCTTCTCATACAAGGCTCTTTGAGAATGGGCCCCATTCTGCCTTTACCCAGCCCAGGTGTCTTCCCCCGGAAGCATCCTTGGAGCTCCAGGTTGGACTAAGTGCTCCTTTGCTGTACTTTTAAAGTGCTCTGCCAACATTCTATTCTCTCATTCTTCCTATTACCTTGAAATGACCAGTCTATTCCTTTACCTTTCTTTTGTGACCTATGCTGAGCAATGCCATAGCCACTGTTCACATATGGCAATGGAGCTGTTGAAATATGGCTACTCCAAACTCACACGTACTCTTCATTATAAAATAAAATGTACTAGATTGAACACATAGTAAAAATAAAAGATATGTAAAATTAATAATGATTTACACTGGTTTTATGTTTAAATGACAACATTTTGGATTTACCAAGTTAATTAAAATTCATTACTAAAGTTAAGTTCACCTGTTTCTTTTGGCTTGTTTCTCTATAAAAATTATTCATAATACTATTCATACATGTTTATGGGGTAGAGGTGATATTTTGTCACATATACATTGTTGTCAATTACAGTCACCCTGCTCTGCTATTAAACATTACAGATTATTCCTTCTATCTTACTGAATGTTTGTGCCAATTAACCAACCTCTCTTCACTCCGACACACACTCTTTCCTCTTCTCTGTATATTTGATTTTTTTAGATTCCACATATAATATTTGCAATATTTATTTTTCTGTGCCTGGCTGATTTTGCTTAACATAATGTCCTTCAGACTCATCCATGTTGTAACAAATGCAGGATCTCATTCTTTTTATTTAAGAGGTGGAGTATTACAATAAACATCAGTTACTATTATTAAATCCATTTATGCCTAGTGTTCCACTATTGGAACGCTAAGCATGTGAGAGTTATTTATATCTTACTGCTCAAGGTCATCACTACGGTCTGATTGCAAACATTCAAAACATTGCAACCTCAGGCATAAATTGGTGAATATATTTGAAAGTCTAGCACCATGCTTGGTATAATACATGCTTAATAGCTGTTAATTCCTTTTTCCTATCCAATAAAAATAAGAGTCACTAAATATATAGTAACTCCATGTAGTTTTGGTAATGTAATTTTAAAATATCTGGAATTAAGATTGTTTGCATCAATGGAATAATTTAGATATATCAAGTTCTGATGTAGAATTTTATAATTATCAAAGTACTAATGATAAAAACAATGATAAAAAAGCCAAAAATCAAGTAAAAAGAAAGCCAACGAGAATGAAAGAAGAATGGGGAAGGGGGAAGAGAGAGAGAAAGAGAAAGAAGAAAAAAGAAAGAGGAAAGGAAGGAAGGAGGGAGGGAAGGAAGGAAGGGAGGGAGGGGTGGAGGAAGGGAGGGAAGGAAGGAGAGAAGAAAGGGATGGAGGGAGGGAGGTAAAGAAGGAAGGAAGGAAGGAAAGAAGGGAGGGAGGGAGGAGGGAGGGAGGAGAAGAGGGAGGGAGGGAGGGAAGGAAGGAAGGAAGGATGAAAGGAAGAAAGGAAGGAAGGAAGGATGGAAGGAAGGAAGGAAGGAAGGGCCTTTACATTATCAGATTTTTTTTCTTCACACACAATCAGCATTTGAATTGTCAGAACCATGTAAAATGTGTTGTGAACTGCAGAAAACCACATGGGAGAGAAAGTTGTGTACTATGCTGAAGTCAAGCTAATTAGTGGATAAGACTTAGTAAAAGCTACAAATTAATCTGAGACACTACTAGCCCTCAAAGCATCAACATCAACTAGCCCTGCTTAAAATAATTCTAAATACTATGCTACAAAAATTGAAAACCTTAATGTTAAAAGTAAGCACTTTAACTATGTGTAATAAACTAAGAATAAGTCAAACAAATGTTTATACTGAGGCAAAAATAATTGATTATAAAATAACCACCGAATTTATTTGACACTGTATTGATATTAAATACAGTAACAAATAGAATGATTCATCTTCCCCTGCTTCTAGGATATGCGATAGAGTTTCAAAGATTACTGTATGATTTAATTCTGTGCTTTCAGTAATTCCTTTAACCCCAGGTCCTCTTTAAAGATCTCTTTAACATTTTTTAATGTGTTAAAAGACATAAATTACTGTTTTTATTTGTAACAGTTATGAAGCCAAAGTGTCAAGTCACTGAACCTAGAATTTTTGCCATCATTTAGTCTATATGCAATAAAGTGTGTGTGCATGTGTGTATATGTGTGTGCACGCATTTATTAAGAATGCGGATGGAAAATTGGGGAAGTGAGGGATATTGAAATATTTTAAATGTCTTCGTTATCTTTTCATTGATATAAATTATACCAAGAAAAATGGTTCTCTTTTTTGTGATTTTGAGAGGAATTGACATTCTAAAATTAAAATTGTTTGATGTAGTTGTGTGACCTCATTCAAGTTCTCACTATAATTTATTTCAATTTAAAATTCTGAAATTCTACAAGCTAAACAAAGAATAGAAGGATTTCAGAAATATGTTTTTGAAAACGATGAGATCAATACACATATATACATACACATATATGTATGTATTTATAGTTCAACAATAGAGTGACTTGTTTCATATCTAATATAATTTTATATGAGAGACACATATATTGCAATTTTTGGAGCACTACCTTGAAACATCACATAGAAAGCTTGTGTATGTGTCAATGTACTCATTTATTTCTAGTATATTTGTAATCTATACAAATTAGAACAACAGCAAAAAATATTTTTTTAATTCTTATAGCTTTAACAGACTGCCACAATTCCTAGTCTGAATTCAAATTATTCCATTGCTAAAATTTCAGTTGGAATAAAAAAGCTGTGGGTTTCTCTTAAATCCAGGTATTACTGATATTTACAAACTTTGAAAATAAAATCAGGAAATACAAACACATAATTACTATTTCAAGTGAACATCAAACTATAATAAACAAATCTGAAGCTATAAATTGATATTTACTTATTTATAAACTGTTTATGAAATGTATATATAATTACCCCAATACGTACATTAACATAAAATTTTGTGGAATCATAAATAACTAAAATTTGCCTTCTATTATTAATTAAATCAACATAAATCATTTTTATCAACATCAAAGAAGATAATATTTATTTGAAAATGCAGCAATTTTAACTATTGCCTTTTAAACTGCAACAGTTCAAGAACTACTTGACTGCATTAATTAATCTATATACACAACTTTTTGCTCCACCTGAAGTAATTTTGCACTGTTAGAAATGTTTGCTTATGTGATTAATTCACTTAATAAAATTTGACTGACAAAATTGTTTTTAAAAATCTTGGCTAAAAATCTGTAATTTTATATAGGAGGCAAATCATTTGTAAATTCTCTTGCACATTACAATATACTGATTAGTGAAAAAACTTTTTAAAACTTTAATTATAAATTTTCCTGTATTTCAATATACAATAATTTGATATACTGAGTTATACTTATAAAATTAAATTCTGCTCTAATGAGATTGTGGAGGCTTGGGAAGTCCAAAATTTAATGATGTTGTCCTACAAGCTGGAGACTCAATAGAGAGTTACATGTGGGTTCAAAAGCAGCCTGCTCTAGAACCAGGAAATGTTGATGTTGCAGACAAAGTCTGAAGACAGTCTCCTATAGAACCAGAAAAAAAAAACAAAGGATATTACAGATGGAATCTGAAGGCAGTCTGACAAAAAATTTCCTCCCTCTTGGGAGAGGCCAGCTTTTTATTCTATTCAAGCTTTCAACTGATTGGATTAAGTCTATCCATATTATGTAATCTGTTTTACTCAAAGTCTACTGATATAAATGATAATCTCATTAAATCAGTCTGCACAGAAGATTAAGTCCAATCACAGATTGACTTAATTCTATCCATATTATGCAATCTGTTTTACTCAAAGTCCACTGATATAAATGATAATCTCATTAAATAAATCCTCACAGAAGTATGCAGAATGTTTGACCAAATATTTGGGCATTGTGCTCCAGACAAGTTGACATATAAAATTAATCACTGAAATTTTACCACGTTGTCAGCATACACCCATACACATCTCCTTAAATCATACTTAGCAATCCTACTTCTCTTTGGTAATCAGAATCAATCACTTCAGACAGCACAGTAACTCCCTTCTTTGTTTATTCAGAAATTTACAAAGCTAAAAGTGGCCAAAATGAAGTCTTAACTTTCAGTTAAATTGAATTATTGTCTCCTGGTGGAAGCATTTCTCCCTTCGCGACTAAGATTTCTAGGCCATCAGAATTTAAGGTCATGGGAACAGGAAGCAAATATTTGCTAGAGGTCACAAAAGGTAATGATGAGTGGTGCCACTTCCATTTTCATCCTTTGATTCTTGGACTTCTGAATTCTGGCATCTGTTGAGATGATGGATTAAACCCTCAAATAGCACCAGTGATCTCTTTATCAAATTATTTTCCAGCCAATTTTTGCTATTGTCTCCAGCCCATGCTTTCTTGTTTTTTGCACTAAGGATAGACCGAGAGTTTTCCATATCTTCAAATTCTGGTAACTTTTTGCTTAATAATTGTTGCAATTTATCTCCCTCATCTCACATTTTACTGTAAGCAGTAAAGGGAAACCAGGGAAAATTTCTTATGTTTTTCATACTACATAAATTCAAATTGTTACACTATCCAACACATAGCCCTAGTAATTTGAATAAAGATTCTATAAATGATAAAATTTGAGGAATTGTCAATATTATAAGAAATGTGACAATTTTAAGAACATTGTCATGAAATCTTTAAAAACTGGAATAGCTTTAGAAACTAGTGATAATGCTTTCCATGATTCATGGTTAATTTAGAATAATCACACAACTTAGCGGTTATTAAATTGTTGGGTAAGGTAAATTTTTTACATATTATTAATGAATATGTTCATAAAAAGTGCCTTTGGTTATTGGAAAGCAAAATGATTTTCTATGCTAAAAATATTTTATTTTCTCTTCTTGAAGTAATATAAAAATTAACACAACATAAACCTCTTGTATCTTTCATAAGTGCCTGGTGATAAGATATGCTAATTTGTTCAACTGTGTGTATACTGAGTAAAACTAAATTATGGCCATAAGTAAATGTTACCCTTGAAACCATTTAGCATCATGAGCTGTGAGATATTCTATTGTAGTTACCAATAAATAATACTTTTAGACATTTTTGGGAAATCCAAAAACATAATTAGAGAATGAGAAAACAAAGCTGATGCTCCACTTTTCATAGTAGAATACTGCTACACGCTGTGATAGGAAAATAAATCTGGGGGCCCCCAAACCACTAAGCTAAAGGGAAAAGTCAAGCTGGGAACTGCTTAGGGCAAACTTGCCCCCCATTCTCTTCAGTCATCTCTCTGCTCACTAAGATGAATGCATATCTGGTTGCCTCCTTTGGAAAGGCTAATCAGAAACTCAAAAGAATACAACCATTTGTCTCTTATCCACCTATGACCCTGAAGCCCCCTCCCAACTTCCAATTGTCCTGCCTTTCCAGACAGAACCAACGTTCATCTTATATGTGTTGATAGATGTCTCATGTCTCCCTAAAATGTATAAAACCAAACTGTGCTCTTACCACCTTGGGCACATGTCATCAGGACCTCCTGAGGTTGTGTCATGGGCTTGCATCCTCAACCTTGGCAAAATAAACTTTCTAAATTAATGAGGCCTGTCTCAGATATTCGAGGATCACAATAAGAAAGTATATAGTGGAATTCAAAGCGCTCCCCTCTCCTGTGATTGGGAAGTGCTTAATATATTTGATAAATTGGTTGAACCAGATTAAGTAAAGATGTTTCTAAATTGGTAGAGGAGGGAATAAGTGAACAATAACAAATGCGATCTATTTTAACCTCTAGCTCAGACCAGTACTTTTTGTCTGACTTTATATTAAAAAAATGCATTGCTATGAGAAGAAATCAACACAAATTTAGTAGCTTAAAAATAATATAACTTATTATTTGGCAGTTCTGTATATCACAAGTCTGATACAAATCTCACTGGGCAAATGTCAGGTGTGAACAATGCTGCATTGCTTTCTGGAGACTCTAAGTAAACATCTGTTTCCCATTCACTAGAGTTACTGTCAGAATTTAGTTCCTGTGGTTGTAGAGCCAAGATTCCTGTTTCAATTCTCATTGTCAACTGAGAGCTATTATCAGCTTTTAGATGTTGCCCACATTCCTAGCCTCAAGGTCCCCTTTCTTCATCTTCGAAGCCATAAAAGATGAATCAAATCCTCTTCATATCATATCTCTCTCACTCCTCTACCTTCCTTTGTTCTTTGTTTTAAAATTTTATTATACTTTAAGTTTTAGGGTACGTGTGCACAATGTGCAGGTTTGTTACATATGTATACATGTGTCATGTTGGTGTGCTGCACCCATTAACTCGTCATTTAGCATTAGGTATATCTCCTAATGCTATCCCTCCCCCCTCCCCCCACCCCACAACAGTCCCTGAAGTGTGATGTTCCCCTTCCTGTGTCCATCTGTTCTCATTGTTCAATTCCCACCTATGAGTGAGAACATGCGGTGTTTGGTTTTTTGTCCTTGCAATAGTTTGCTGAGAATGATGGTTTCCAGCTTCATCCATGTCCCTACAAAGGACATGAACTAATCATTTTTATGGCTGCATAGTATTCCATGGTGTATATGTGCCACATTTTCTTAATCCAGACTATTGTTGTTGGACATTTAGGTTGGTTCCAAGCATTGTGGAAGTCAGTGTGGCGATTCCTCAGGCATCTAGAACTAGAAATACCATTTGACCCAGCCATCCCATTACTGGGTATATACCCAAAGGATTATAAATCACGCTGCTATAAAGACACATGCACACGTATGTTTATAGCGGCACTATTCACAATAGCAAAGACTTGGAACCTCCCTTTGTTCTTAAAAGTACATGTGATTAGATTGTGCTCATCCTCCAAATGCAGAATAATTTTCTTATTTTAAGATGAGCTAATTAGTAAACTTAATTCCATCTGCAACCTTAATTCCCTTTGGGCATGTAATTTTAACATATTCAAAAATTCTGCAAATTAAGAAATGGCATCTTTGCATGAACATTATTCTGCTTACCACAGAGTTCAAAAGAGGTAAGATTTTCACATTTTTGTAAAGAAACTATTTTATTAAAGCTATGGGCAATAACTGGGGACACAAATAATGCTGCTTCAGCATAGACATTAGAGCTCTTGTGATGAATGTGAGCAATGGAAACAAAAAACAGTTATCCTGAAATAGATTCTCAGCAGAGAACTTTGGGCACTGGGGTTAGAGAAAAGAAAGAAAAAACACTATTATAGCTATCATTATTATGTTTGTTCATGAAAAATTATTTGGAGATGCCCTAGAACTAAAGATAAATTATCCTGTTAGTACTCTATTACATACATCACTCTATAGTCTATAAGGCTGTCTAAAGCGGCTGGTAGTCCATTGTTATGTAATTTGGGAAAAGAGAGCATAAACATTGTGTTATTAGCCTATTAAAAGCTTCTTCATGAGTTTCCTGAGGTGGCCTGGAGAAATAACCTCAAAATTATTAATAAAACAATGCTAAATCTGCAAATTCTTGCTTTTAAATATGCAAGTTGATAATTACTGCTTCATAAAGACAAAGAATCTCACTATAACATCAACGAGAAACATAGCTAGAACATTAGCAAGAATGAGAGTTCTAAGCAATGTCATTTTAAATTGCGCACATCCCCAAAATGCAGATTAACAACTCAATAACACAGAGGACATATATAAGAAATAATCAATGGCTTCCTACCAAGTTATTCATACGAGTTTAGGTGTGAAAAAGGTGGACATGTGTGAAATACTGGTGCTTCCTCCTCTTCGACAAACAAGAACAAACATATGCAATTTAGGAACTTCAGACATTAGAATAAGTCTTGACAATAAACTATTTCTTGAACAAATTCAAAATCTCTGGTCATTGTCCCTGTCTGATCTTTAAATATGATTTCTCAAAATAGATTATTTATTTTTTCTGCCTATATGTATCTAATATTTTAACTATTAACTATTTATCATTAATTAATCTATATCTATAAAAATGTAAAATTTAATTTTCCTGCTATCATTGGATTCTATGTAGATTAAGTAGGCATGTTTTTAACACTTGCATAGTTATCCTTATTTTTCAGTAAAATTCTATAGAACCAGAATATCAACAATCTGGATAAAATGACAGTTCTATGTTTCATAAAATCTTCTGCTACAATTCATATATTTTTATCATATAGTTGTAGTAATGAAACATACTGTGTATCTAACAAAAACCTGACATTTGAAAGTTATGTATAGACACTTAGAAGCATCACTGTGAAGTGATATCAGCACAGTGAAAGAGGAAGGACCACTAAAAATTCTCTCCTCCATAAATCAATGATAATACTGGACAGAATTGTCAGAATCAGCTTTTTGTTCAGAAATCTGAAATTTACCAAAGGCTTGCAGCAATGCAGGGAGCATTTACTCATGAACAATGGCTGAATCTCAGTAAAAAACAGTAAGGCTTTCCCGGGCACGGTGGCTCACACCTATAATTCCATCACTTTGGGAGGCTGAGGCGGGCAGATCACCTGAGGTCAGGAGTTCGAGATCAGCCTGACCAACATGGTGAAACCCCATCTCTACTGAAAATACAAAAATTAGTCAGGGATGGTGGCGGGTGCCTGTAATCCCAGTTACTTTGTAGGCTGAGGCAGGAGAATCGCTGGAACCTGGGAGGCGGAGATTGCAGTGAGCCGAGATCATGCCATTGTACTCCAGCCTGGGCAACAAGAATGAAACTCCATAAAAATAAATAAATAAATAAATAAAACATCAAGATTTCCAGCAATTGAACCTACCCTATTCTTATCTCTATGAAGTTCCATGGTAACTTTGAAGACTGACAGCCCCACAGTCAAGGTAAAAACCACCAACCTGCTAGCCACCTGAGGCGGCAGATGGGGTTGAATGTATTTCAATGCCTCATTACTAGATAATTATCATTATTTGTACTTTCAAATCGTTTCCTTGAAGAATCTACTATGATTGATATATTTGACCTTACTCAGAGCTTATCCAGGATAAGAACCTCTTTCCATGAAGCATTGCCAATAACAATTGCAAGCAATGGTTAACTTTGTGGCTGCATGGGGCAATAGATAACAGAGCAAATAATACTAAAGAGCTTGAAAGGAAAAGACAGAGAATGAGATGGGCTTGGGAATACTCTGAAATATTCCTGAGAATGTAGAAGGCCATTTGTATTCATAGGACCATGTGCATACTGGGGTTGAGCACATGCTAAGGAAAGACTTAAGAAGGATCTAAGCTCGCATCTCTAAATCACAGAGGCTCTGATTAATCAAAAATTAAAGGCTAAGGTAGAGTTATCAAATACCTGATGAAATGGAGTCTTACCCCAATCCTCACACAGAGGCCCTCAGCAAAGCTTGAGAAATTTATTGGTTATAGGCATTTAAAAAAATGCCTGTGGAAATATTAGCTGACCACTAAGCTAACCAATCAGAGACCTCTGTGTCCATGAATGATGAAGAATACTG
Organism: Homo sapiens; assembly: GCF_000001405.40. Lineage (NCBI taxonomy): Eukaryota > Metazoa > Chordata > Mammalia > Primates > Hominidae > Homo > Homo sapiens. The sequence continues at coordinate 43,014,259 of NC_000014.9, read as the reverse complement.
ACATTACTGAATTATATTTTTAAAAGAAAACAACCAAAACAATAACAAATTTTGGGGAGGAAGAAGAGTGCAATTCTCAAAGTTATTACTTTATGTTATTTAAAATACAGTTTTTGACTAAAAAGTTAAAATATGCAAAGAAACAAGAAAGTATGGCTCATGGATGTGGGCACAGAAAGCAATTCACTGAAACTGTCTCTGAAGAAATACAGATGTCATAATTACTGAACACAGATTTTACATTAGCTTTTTATAATATGCTAAAATGATTAAAGAAAACATGTCCAAAGGATTAAAGGATGAGAATGGTGTTTCAACAAATAAAGGATATCAATAAAAAATAGAGGCAACCAACTCAAAATTCTAGAGTTAAAGAATATAACTATTGAAATAAAAAGTTTAATAAAGGTGATCAATAACATATTAATATTTGACCAGGTAAGAGGATTAATGGATTTATAGATAGGTTAACTAAAATGATATACTTTGGAGAATTAAAAAAAAAATGAATGAGAAAATTTGAGCAGAGCTTCAGAGATCTATGGAACACCATAAAGGACACTGACAACACATAATAAGTGTTCCAGAAAGAGAGGAGAGAAATATTTAAAAATAATGGCTGAAAACTTCTCAAATTTAATGAAAATATCATATATATTATAAAGTTTTATCATTATATGAAGGACTCATAAATCAATATTTGAAGGGCAATCTAATTTTTAAAAAAATGGGCAAATAACTTATATAAACTTCTCCAAAGAAAATATGCAAATAGCCTGTAAGCACATAGAAAGATTCTTGGCATCATTACTATCCATGAAATGCAAATCAAAACTACAATAAGATGCACTTCACTTCCACTGGAATGCCTGTAATTAAAAGACAGAATAACAAGTATTGGTGAGGATGCATAGAAATTGGAACACTCATAAACAGTTGGTGGAAATGTGAAATGCTACAGCCACTTTGGAAAAAAATTGACAGTTCCTCAATAAGTTAAACAGAATTAACACATGACCAAACAATTTCACTCCTAATTGTATATCCCAGAAAATTAAAAACATGTTCACAGAAGAACATGTGCATGACTTCATGGAAGTATTGTACATTATAGTTAAAAAATGTAAACAATCCAAATGTCCATCATCTGATGAAGAGGTAAGCAAAATGCAATACAAGCACTGACTGAAATAGTGTTCAGATTTGACAAAGATGGAGTGGTAATATATGCTGCATAATGACGTAACCCTAAAAATATTATGTTGCCTGAAATAAGCCAAATGCATAGGCCAACTATTATGTAATCCATTTATATGTAAAATCCAAAATAGGCATTTTCATAAAGAAAGACAGTACATTAGTGATTTCTATGGGAGACAGGAAGTAGAAGAGGGAGTGTCTACTAATGAGCATATACTTTTCTTTGGGTATGATGAAACTCTACAATTAGTGTTGATGTAGCCATAGTTGTACAACTTTGTGAATATGCTAAAACAAGCTGAATTGTATACTTTAAAAGAGTGAGTTTTATTGTACTTGAATTATACTTCAATTAAAAACATACCACATTATAGTCTTAGTTAAAATTAGTATAAAAAGCAATTGAGCAAATAAACTGAAGCTTAAATATGTAGTTAGGAAAATAAATTACAGTTCTTTACATATAATTAGACATTTAGGGCTAAGAGGTAGATGAACTTTATATTGTTTAAAAAATTTCTCCATGATGACTAAAATTATGACTCTCATTTAATTTTTGTTATGTAAAGCTCAACTGAAGCTCATAATAGGAGGGGGGATTCACATTAATCTATTTTACATAAATTATAGGCTTACAATTGTTGAAGGCAGTCTGTTAATGGCTTAGGTTAGTATTTGAGTGGCTAGTTAATTGAAGATGTCATACAGAGAAGAGATTTGGGGTTTTGGTAATAATACTCTTTCCATTTATATATCAATCTATGCAAAGATTTCTCAGTTAATAAACATTATGACTATAATCCTGCATACTTAGATATAAGTTCCATGTTTACAATTTATTTTCCAAGCTTACCTAGAATTTGGGAAAATAATATATATGTTATGACTACAACTTATAATATACAAAATGTGTTATTGAAGTAAAAATATTTCTAGAAGAGATATATTGTTAACTAAAGTCATTTGTGTGAATTAGTAACATGAAAACTTGTTTTATATATTACATTTACATAGAGGCATCTTATCAATAGAAATATAATATACTTTATATTTTTCACATATCTGACATATTCACAGAAATATTTTTATTTTCTGTCATATTGACAATTTATAATAGAAGTTGAAAACTAATTTTCAGGATATTGTGAATAAAATTCCTTTTTGAAGACATCTGTGACTTTATATTTTTGCATCCCATGAGGAAGCTGTTAATAAGCACTAATACTTACCTAGGGAGTTTCTATATTTAAAGATAAAAGTAATAGAAGTCTAACTAGTCAGCATGATATTTACTTCAAATCACTAGTATGAGTTTCAGAGAAATGATGGTTTCCAAGGAAACTACTAGAAAAGTATTGCAGGATGAATTATGTCCCCTTAACATTTATATGTTGAAACCCTGCCTTCCAAGACTGCGGATTGTTGTTACCATATTATGGAGCTATAACTTTAAAGTGGTGATAAGATTATAATGAGACTTTTAGAGTAGATCCTCATCCAATTTTACTAATATCCTTATAAGAACAAGAAACAGTGACACACAGAGAAACACCAGGTATTTTCAACCTTTCAGAAACACCAAATTTTCAATGCCCCCCATCCACCACTCTCCAAATTTATATATTGAGGCCCTAAAATCCAATGTGAGTGTGTTTGGAGATGAGACCATTCAAAGGTAAGTAGGATTAAAAGAGGTTATAAGGATGGAGTCCTGGTCCAACAGGATTAGTGCCCTTACAAGAAGAGACAGCAGGGAGATCTGTCATTCTCTCTTTCTCTCTGTGCAATGTGAGGACACAGAAGGAAGGCAACCATCTGAAAGCCACAAAGAACCCTCACCAGCAACTGAACTGATTGGCATCTTAACTTTGGATTTTCAAGTCTCCAGAACTATGAGAAAATAAACTTCTGTTCTTTAAGCAAATAAGTCTAGAGAATTGTATCATGGCAGCCAGAGCAGACTGATGTTAAAGATACACACATGCAGAGGAAAGACCATGTAAAGACACAGGAAAAGTCTGGCCCTCTTTCAGCAAGAGAGAGGTCTTGGAAGAAATCAAACCTGCTGGATCCTTGCTCTTGGACTTCAAGCTTTCAGAACTTTGAGAAAATAAAATTCTGCTGTTTAAACCACCCAGTATATTGTTGTGGTAGCCCTGGCAAACTAATGTAAATATTATATGTTATCTTATTATCACAATATTTAGTTCAAACACAAAGTAAAAAGTAATAATTTATGATATTTTAATAATAATAATATCAAATGAGAAATAAGAAATAACTGAGGAATCTCTTTCAAATAAATAACGTATTGGTTTTTATTTCATCATTAAGGCAAATACTGACTTTTTTAGAAAGACAAAGTAAATAATATATTGAAACAATCACATAAGAAGGAGAGAGATAAAACCTGAGACTAGCTTACTAACATGCCACTATTTTTGCAAAAATTATTCATCTCTTTCAATAAAATAGACATTTTAGAAAATCAACAGTTAATTCTTGGTGAGAAAACAATTTATTGTTTAAAAATTAGTCAAAATGGGTGTCATTTTAAGCTTGACTTAGAAAGTATATAACTTTTTTTCTATTTCATACCTACAAATGTTGATAAGAGAAAAAACAGTCACAGAACAATAATACAAATCTCACTTGTAAATTTTGTTTAGAACAGAAAGAAAATTTACCAAAGGAAACAAAAATATCTCTTTTATATGTCTATATCTATATATAGATATATTTCTATTAATGGGAAAAAAGTATAGTGTCAGTATCAATTAAAAAAGAAAACATTGTAGAAAACAATAGAGCTTAAAGAGAAAAATATGAGAAGCTACATATCTGGGAAATTAAAACTATGTTAACAGCAATATTTAAGTATAAAATATAAGGATTCAGTGTATAAAAATATATAAATTTGTATCTTCAAAATTTACCTTAAATTATATTTTTATGTACACAATAAGCAGTCTAGAATTTTAAATTATTAATCAAATGAGTTTATAAACATGTATTTCTGAAAATAAATTATCTACAGAAATACATTTCTGTATTAATTTTGTTTACAGAAATACGTGTTTAAATACAGAAACATGTATTTCTGTAAAATAAATTAATTTGCTGTCTGTAAAATAAATTAATTTTCCACAAAAAACATAAGCAAAAGGAAATTTTAGAAATTGTTATCTGAGAACCCTAATAAATGCAATAGATGAACACAGTAAGATGATTAAAAAACATCAGTCAATGCATAAGGTAATAAGTTAATTAAATAAAATTGCAACCTAAATTACATTTTCTATAAAAATCTAAACACTTGGTGTTTGTGTGTATGCTCTACCTCAAATATATTCTATCCATGCAGAAGCATTATTTTCTTCTTTAAGTGTTGAATATATTTAAACATTTAGAGACTACAATGCCCATCCTTGCAACACCTGAAAGTGTGGATTGTTTTAATTTGCATCTTTCTAAGGATTATTAAGTAATGTGACAATTTAGTAATTTTCAATGTAAAATAATTGATGGAGGCTTTATATCTGAGACAACAGAACAAATTGTAAACAATTGCTTTTACTTTATTCTTTTGATCACTCATAATTTACCAGGTGTGTAGCCTGGAACAACACAATCCATTGCATTTGTCTCCAGGTGACAGTGGGCAGGTAAATAAACCTTATTGTGTTGCAGCTTTTACACTCCTGTTGTTTGGCAAGTGGGAGAAAGTGTTACAGCTCTTTCACTCTTCTGCTGGAAAGCTCCAAATTATTGTCTCATGACCAAGATGAATAAGGAACAGACACCAGAGAGTAAGTAAGGCAGAGTTGAGTTTGTTAAGCAACAGAAAAGGTCTCAGCAAGAGAGGGGACTCAAAAGAGGGTTGCCAGATATGAGGCTAAGTCCAGGGTTTTACGGAATGGAAGGGGAGGAGAATGGTGAATTTTCTGCAGACTGTCTTGGAGAAAGCACCACTCAGAAGGAGGTATGATAGTGTAAAGAACCAACTGGAGGCAGAGGTGAAGGCTTGACCCAGTAACTTGGCTTGGGACCAATCAGGGGCTGAAGTGAAGGCTTGGCCTGGGAACTTGACCCAGGGCAAGTCAGGTGCTGAAGTAAAAGCTTGGCCCAGGACCTTGGCCTGGGATTAATCAGGGGCTGAAGTGATGATTCATCCTGTGTAAATGAACACTCAGCCCATGGCCAATCACAGAAAGATAGGTATATGTAAAATAGGTGAAAAGTGAGAAACTAAGGCACAACAAGGAGACAGAAATGTATCACAAAAGCAGTGGAATTTCTTCATCTGTGTTTACCAAAAGGAGGGGAATTTGTTCATCTGTGTTTACAGAGTAATCATTTCCATTCAAAGACATGAGCTCTTTCGTATCTGGGGCCTGCAGTTTGGTTTTCAGGCTGTTCTTTATTTGGAGAAGTTTTACAAAGGACCATGCTAACCGCCTGCCTCACTGGTTTCTTCCTTCCTACTCTCTCTTTCTCCCCTCAGGAACAGAGACCCTAACTGAAGTTAGGGAGGTGGGGTGATGATTCCTCTGGCTACTTCCTGCTGGAGAGGGATATTTTGTGGAGAACAACAGCTAGGGCTCCTCCTGGGGCTGGCCTAAGTGTCCTCAGAAGAAAGGCATGTCCACATGTAATTTCATTTGCATCATCATTTGGAGCTTGATAGCCTCTCTACGAGAAGAAATAATTTGGGTTATAGCATTGATTATAACAAGGGCCAAACATTAACATGATACATACAAGTAAAAGAAGTCCTACTAAAGGAGCTAACTGGATCCAAAAAGAACAAATCCTTTAAGAAGGGTTTGTAGCCAACTAGAATCAGAGCCCATATTTTCTCTCAATCTGTTAATGATCCTAATTTGGTCCTTAAGCACCTGTAAGTTTTCTTCTACCTGATTAGAAATGTTGATCCAGAAGCAGCATGTCTCATTTAAAAATTCACAGGCACCCCCTACACTGACCATAAGGACATCAAGAGTTCACTTATACTGCATTACTACAGTGGTTTGAGAACTTATGGATTTTTGTTGGGCTTCCATGGCTCCTACTGTTGCCTTTCACCCTCATTGCATCATAATAGAGATATTAAGTACTAATCTTTCAAGGAGAAAAATACTGGCAAACAAGTATAGCCCTCTATCTATAGAATTTTTCATCCATGGCTTTTCTAATACACGATTGTCAAGGGTATGTCTTTCTAGTTCTCTCTCTCAGTTAAATCTCCATATGATGACATAGAAATAAGTGATCTCCTGGTTCATTGTGTGTGAGAGATTGAACTCTCCAGAAAAAAGTCCAGATTGAGTATGTCACCAGATAGTGCTGCCATGTTTGTAGGGTTTAAAAATATTGAGTCAGGGAACACTGCCACAATAGTGCATGTTCCCCTTCAGTGCCTGGGGTAGATTAAGTGTATCCAGGAGCCACAGAGAAAATAAAGTTCCATTCCTTGAAGGGATGGTTCTAAGTTGTGATTTGTGAGAGTTCTAGCTAGTTTTTGTCCAGGCATTTTAAGGTCAGCCCCTTACATCTAATGGGAGTATTCTGGGGATAGAGATATCCATACTCAGTATAGTTATTCATAATGCTCTTTGGCATTTTACATTCTAGGTGGGAAGAATCTTTTGGCCGATGATGTTTCAAAAGATCAGAGACACAATATGTCCTGGCTGGTATCTTAGATAACCCTCCTTACAGGGACTATTGGTCCACACATGTCCTGTTTGCCTGCAGATTTGTAGGTCACTATCATTATCAAATATTATACAAGGCTTAAGGATTCCATGCGTGGGCACATATAGAAAGAACCATGAGTTATTTATTACCTGATGATAATGCTGGCAAGAGGTGGCATCCCTACCCAGGGATAGTCATTCCAACAAGGAATCCCGGCTGAGATGTTTGGTTAGATCATTAACATTTTTTCATAGTTCTTCTAATGTTTTGGGTTACATGTGTTCTTTCTTACTCTCCAGACCCCTGTGCTCTTAGCAATTATGAATGTGATGTTGTAATATTTGAGGTCTCCCAGATATGGTCCCTTCCCTCTGATTTTAAAACACAGGGGGTTATTCTGTTAACTTTACCCAGTGTAAGGGTGTGAGTCTTGAGTTTCTTTTATAAAGTCATAAAAAGGGCAAGCTATCTTACTGTACTTGGATATCCACAATATATAAAATCCTTTAATGAACAAGAATCCTCCTAGCTGTTTGAGGGTTTTGGGAAGTGGAAACAAGGAGATGAGCTTAATCCTCTGCTTGTCTAATTCTCTGGTCCCTTCTGATAGGGTTAGCCCTAGGTATTTTGTTGAAGTCTGAAAGAGCTGAGCCTTAGATTTTGAAACCTTAGATTCTTTGTCAGCTAAGAAATTGAGAAGAGCCTTAGCGCCTTCTTGAGAAGTTTCCTTGGTTGGGGCAGAGAGGAGCATATCATCTACATATTTTAAAACTTCAACCTGAGGATGAGAGAAACCAGAGGCATCTTTTTTAGGGATTGTCTGAACAGGTGAGGGCTGTCTCAGAAGCCCTGAGGCATTACTGTTCAGATTAATGGGTGGTCTGATTGGGGGAATCTTCAAATGCAAACAAATATGAGGATTTAGGGTACAATGGTATACAGAAAAAGGCATCCTTCAGGTCCAAAACAACTGAACCACTTAGTTCCTTTGGGTATTTGAGATGGCAGGGTATAGAGATTGGGAACTACTAGAGGAATTGGACAACATCTTCATTAATGAGGCAGAGGTCTTGAACTAGTCTCCATTCTCCCATTAGGTTTTTGCACTCGTAATATTGGGGTGTTGCAGGGGCTGTTGCATGGTCTGAGGAGGCCTTGTGTTCTTAAGTTATTAATAATAGCTTCTAGCCCTTTTCTAGCTTCTGGTTTTAGGAGATGTTGCTTCTTGTTAGGGACAAATGTAGGGACCTTAAGGTGGATCTAGGCTGGCATAGCTGTTATAGCTCAGCTAATTCTTCATTGGATTTCCCAAACCTCCAGGTTAATGTTGGTTTCCACCAGAGGGAGACAAAGCATTTTTCCTGGAGTCATAAGGATGGTGGCTCTCATACAGCTAGAATATCTCTAAATGGCAAGGAAGTGGGACTTCAGGCATGATTAAAAAGGCCTGAGTAAAGAGCAGGTCCCCCAAACTACAACAGAGGGACTGAAATAAACGTTGGATTAAGGGCTTTCCTGAGATGCCCATCATCATCATGTTATGGGAGAAAAGAGAACTGAAAGATTTGCTGCAGTGTCCAAAAAAAAAGTTTACCTTCCTCTCTTCCAACTCCAGAATCACCCAGGGCTCCTGAATAGTGATGGCAGTCTGAGCCATTGGAGCTGGAGAATCAAGCCCTGGGACCCATCATTCCTGCTAGATGATTTGTGAGTCTGGTCCTCGACCTGGTGGCCTATGTCCCAGGGACAGCCTGCCTTCTGGTTGTCCCCACCAGAGGATGTACAGGGTTGAGATGGATTCCTTTTACTACCTTGGCAATCCTCCCTAAAGTGCCCTGACTTGCCACGCTGGTAGCAATTAGCAGTTGATCCTTGGGGATCCTAAATTTTATAGGCCTGCAATGTAGTCACCAGAGCCTCTGTCCATTTCTTGTGCTTCCTCTTCTCTTGGGCCTCCTCCTGGTTCCTATTGTACAAGACTGAAGTGGCCACATTCAGGAGGTTCTCTTAGATGCTTTCTGGTCCCATGTCCTGTTTCTGTAACTTTCTTCTGATATCAGGGGCTTTCTGACTAATAAACTTGTCTTTGAAAATTAGCTGTTCCTCAACCAAATCAGAATAAAGAGAGGTGTGTTTAACTGAAGCTTCTCTCATCCCCTCTAAAAAGGCTGAGGCATTTTCTTCTAGTTTCTGATCTATCATGGAAAGCTTGAAGTAATTAACAGGTTTGTCTCTGGTCCTTTTCTATAAGCTGTCTAGTATGCACATCTAAAAATGGTTTCTTTCCACTCATGAGAAATGGTTTCTCATCCCTGTGGGATCACAGGGGTTTCAATTAAGGTTTTCCAGGGACACTACCTCTCTTTCTATTGGGTATGTGGTTTCTGGTTCTTTCTCACCTTCCTCTTTTCTCAACTAGTGATAGCAGACATATTGTTGGTCTCCAAATCCTTCTGCTGCCTGCAGGGCTGCCTATCTCTCAGCAGCAGTTAGTGTTAGATTTAGGAGCAACATAACATCTCTCTACGTAACTCAGGTTTTGGAAAACCTCTATATATTGATTGGTGTTATAAGACAACTTGCGTAAGTCTCGTTTTATTTTTCTAAGGTCCTGCAATGAAAAGGGAACTTGGACCCTGGTGGTACCATGTCCATCAGGCATTTCCTGTGGGCATAACAATGAAGTCAGGTGTTTCTTGGGTGGTAGAGCTGGGGAAACTGATGACATGGTAGAGGGTTTCCAGGATGGGGGCTGTCAAGAAGGGCTGAAAGATCCAGGAGTTGCAGTTGAGAGTTCGCCAGGGGTTTGTTTATCTGACTTTGGGGAATTATCGTCTGTGGGCTTGCCTAATATAACTGCTAAGAGGTCAGAATCAATCCTACAACGTTGACAAAGATCCAGGTTGTCTCACAAGGCAAAGACAGCTTATACACAGGGGGCCTCAGACCATTTGCCCTCCCAACTGTAGAAAACATCTAGTTATCAGAGGGTATTATAATTAACACTTCCCTCAGGAGGCCAGGCCTCTTCATCCTACAGTTGGTAAGATGGCCATTCACAAGTGCAAAGAATATAACGTGCTTTCTGAGTGTCAAAGGAGTTTCAAATTTTCAGAATGCACTTGAGAGGAGTACATGCTAAAGAACGTTTGTTTAGAAAGAGAGAGAAGGAAAGGCATTCTTTAGTCTCCTTCCCCTTTTTTGGAGTAACCCAGGATGGAGAGAGAAAGACAGAAGTGTCCTTTCTCCTCTTTTCCTCCCTGTGTCCTCTGGGTCCCAGCGACCATTATGAGTGCTGTTCATGGATGCAAGCATGACCTTTACCCATGGATCCAGAGGAGTTAATCAATCAGTAGAAGTAATCATGCTCACCTGATTAGCTTTCCGCTGGTGGTTTCTCATTGGTTTCCTAGATCCCTTTGAACCATAAGACTCCCAAGTTTCCCTACATGAGGCTTGCAAGAGGCTGTGCCACAGTTGTATTTGGGCAAGACTCTTTAATGGAGGGAGTGTCTTAAACTTATTCTTACTTCCTCTAATGAAAGCTCTGGTAAAGTTATGAATTCTAGAGAATGAGGCCAATTAACTTCTAGATATAGAATTCCCTTTTTATTCAAGTGCTGATGGAGCTGGATGTACAACAGATGCCTCAAAAGAACATAAGGACTGAATGGCCATTCTTCCCGTGATGGGGACTGCACTGAGACTAAAATTGTCTCTCAACGGTGGCTTCCTCCTGAGGGTTGAAAGTGGAATTTTGCTGTTTACAGATGGGGCATGGAGCCTGCAACCTAACAGAGGAATGTAGGAGAGAGAGAAATTGCAGAACGAGAGGGCTTGGACAAAGGGCTGATAAGGCCCTCCAAGGAAAGAAACCCCATCTCTCCAAGTACCTTGGTAAAGTTTGAAATGTTAAGTTGTAACTTTATCTCCAAATATTTTCCATGCAGAGGTTGAAAAGAGAGATATGGGGCTTGATAGTCTGCCCCAAGAGTATGCTTCTCAATAAGGGAAAATTAATTTGTTTCATAGATAAACTGTTTAAATTCATTGGGCAATGCTGAGCTCTTATATGGAGCAAAAAAATTAACCTAAATGGAGAGGAGAGTATTCACTTAGGGTGAAATATTCCCTTATACAATGCTATAAATATATCACTGGGGTCAAAAAGGTCCTTTCTAAGTGAAAACTTAGACTGAAATATTGAAATTCTGCTCTCTCAAGAAAATTACAAAAACAGCAATTATTTGTATTATACTTCTGATCACTAAGGCATTTGCTGACTCTACCCTGGAAGACTATGTTCCTGGGTCGCAAAAAACACCCACATCATTGTATGTAAAGAAGGAATAGGAGACGTGATGGATGTGAAGGAGAGAATGAAAGAAAATGCAACAGGAAAGACTGGAAATCATGGTTCTCAAAATATATGACATTCAGGAGCAAACAAAAATATAATTTAAGTAGATTTAAAAGATAGTGTTTTTCTGTAAATTTGAGGTGAGCAAAGAGACAAAGTTACTCTTCAAAAACATCAGGAGTGTTTAAACAATAAAACAGACATTGATTGAAGGAGGCTAAGTAAACATGACAACTCAATATATGGTAGTAGCCTGGTCGATATCCTGGAACAGAAAAAAATAAATATAGTTGTGGAAAAGCTGATATTATCCAAGTAGAGTCAATAGTTTGATAGTATTTCACTGATATGAAATTCTTATTTTGACAAATTTCCCATGGCTATTTAAGACATTAATAAATATTTAGAAAACTCAGATGAAAAACTTAGAAAACATTTTGAAAATAAAGAACCCTAATGGGCTGTTGCAGACTGGAGTTAGTCCAGGGGCCTTTAGGTACACTGAATGTAGCCTTGCCAGAACCCTTCAGTTGTGCCAGTACCTCCTTCCAACCCCACATGACAGCTAGATCATCCATGAAAGAAAATTGGATTGGAACAGAGCAAACATTCCCAACACCTGAGGGCAATGGGGGATTGACAAAGATCTCTCCATCAAGACTGTTGCTTGAGTCATGTAAGGCTGGTAGCCATGCTATTTGCTTTTAACTGGCTTACAGGGGCTCAATATTTTGTTTAATCTTATTAAAACAAAACTGTGGACTAGTTCCCTCAGAAATGAAAGTAAAGAGTGGGAGGTCTGCTCTTACACACCCTTCTGATGAATTTCAGTGAACATGCCAAGAATGTTGCAGCTTTTTCACTCCTGTTGTTTAGTGAATTGGAGAAAGTGCTACAGCTCTTTTACTCCCCTTGCTGGTGAGTTCTGAGTTCTTGTCCCGAGACCAAGAAGAATAATGCACATAGACACTAGAAAGTGAGTAAGGCAGAGTCGGATTTATTAAGTGACAGAAAAGCTCTCAGCAACGAGAGAGGGCTCAAAAGAGGGTTGCCAGATATGATGCTGAGTCTGCAGTTTTTATGGACTGGAAGTGGAAGTTTGCTTACTAGTCTACAGGCCATCTTGGAAAAAGCACCACACAGAAAGAGGTATGATAGTGTGACACACCAATTTGAGGGAGAGGTGAAGGCTTGGCCTGGGACCAATCAGGGACTGAAGTGGAACCTTGGCCTGGGTCCTTGATCTGGGACAAATCAGGAGCTGAAGTGATGACTCATCCTATGTAAATGAAGATTCCACTAAGAGCCAATCACAGAAAGGTAGGCATATGTGATATAGGTGAAAATTAAAAGACTAAGAGTGCCAAGGATAGAGAAATATGTCTAAAAAAGAAGTGGAATTTGTTCATCTGTATTCACAAAGTAAGCATTTCCATTCAAGGACATGGGCTCTTTCCTATCTGGGGCCTGCACTCCGGTTTTCAGGCTGTTCTTTGTTTGAGGGAGTTTTACAGAGGACACACCCTAACTGCCTGCCTGACCAGTTCCTTCTTCCTTCTGTCTCAATTGGATATTCTTTGTTTCACATTTATTATAAGTGGTACTAATTATGAGAAGTGAATAATTTTACTAATCAATTAATTTAAACTATTAAGACTACTCTTCTGGAAAGTGGTTGTGTATGCATTTTGGTCACTTGAGGTTCACCTTTACACTAAATCAAAAGAGTGAGAATAAATAGAGAATATTTTTCCTAGTCTATTGATTTGCTTTCATATCAGTATCTACAGGGGTTTCCAACTGAATCATTAAAGTAAATGAGGTAATGAAGCTTTAATAATATAAAAAGGATTTCTTTAATATACAGTCATGTACCATCATACATTAGAACCCTGTTCATTAGAGCATTTAATTTAAATTCTATAATTGTTTTAATGCCAAAAACATGAATGAAGCATTTCAAAATTTTGTTTATGGATTTAAGACTCAGAAGTATAACCTTTGTAAAATAAGTATTTGTTTAATTGAGTGTAATTCTTAACCTTGTGTTTTTAATCTCATTGTGATAACTTTGTAAACATACATTCTCAAAGTGTGAAATATAGAAATAAAACAAGTAGAATAAAATGGGACAAAAATATAAATCTTCTCCTCCCTCCCCAGATACGTAAAAATTCTTATGATATTCCCAGTCAGGTCAGTTGAGTTTTGCCAAAAGTGCATCCTTTCTTTGTTATGCCCCTGAAAAATACATTGCTTTTATCCCTAACAAACTCTAATAACCAATGACAAGAAAAATAATGCTTAACTACCCCAAAATGTACAGCAATAGAACACTTAACTAGTACCATGGGAGAGAATGTAATTCAATAATGACTTTAGACAAATTAACAATGGGCTAGTGATATAAAAATGTAATTTTGGTATCTACATAAAACATTTTGAAAATAAAGAACTTAAGCAAAAGATATTATAAAAATTATAAGATTTGGGGACACTGATCATGGTTTTATTTCTTACTCATACTGAAATTTGAGATTTTAGAAAAAATTGCAATGTGCAATTGAACAGTTGGTTAATTAGAGGGTGAAGATGAAAAAGATTTAGTAGACTGCATTTTGACTCAATATACCAAAATGATAATTTCCTGGCATAGGATAAAGAACGTTCAGAAAGATCTGAAATAATTTGTTTTGCAAAATATAATACTTTCAAACAAATAAAATGACTTTGAATCATTTCTTATTTATTATTTTAAAAATCTCAAAATAGATGACAGTCAGGAGCAAACAAAAATATAATTTAAGTAGATTTAAAAGACAATGTTTTGGGCCAAATGGTATTTCCAGTTCTAGATCCCTGAGGAATCGCCACACTGACTTCCACAATGGTTGAACTAGTTTACAGTCCCACCAACAGTGTAAAAGTGTTCCTATTTCTCCACATCCTCTCCAGCACCTGTTGTTTCCTGACTTTTTAATGATTGCCATTCTAACTGGTGTGAGATGGTATCTCATTGTGGTTTTGATTTGCATTTCTCTGATGGCCAGTGATGATGAGCATTTTTTCATGTGTTTTTTGGCTGCATAAATGTCTTCTTTTGAGAAGTGTCTGTTCATGTCCTTCGCCCACTTTTTGATGGGGTTGTTTGTTTTTTTCTTGTAAATTTGTTGGAGTTCATTGTAGATTGTGGATATTAGCCCTTTGTCAGATGAGTAGGTTGTGAAAATTTTCTCCCATTTTGTAGGTTGCCTGTTCACTCTGATGGTAGTTTCTTTTGCTGTGCAGAAGCTCTTTAGTTTAATTAGATCCCATTTGTCAATTTTGTCTTTTGTTGCCATTGCTTTTGGTGTTTTAGACATGAAGTCCTTGCCCATGCCTATGTCCTGAATGGTAATGCCTATGTTTTCTTCTAGGGTTTTTATGGTTTTAGGTCTAACGTTTAATTCTTTAATCCATCTTGAATTGATTTTTGTATAAGGTGTAAGGAAGGGATCCAGTTTCAGCTTTCTACATATGGCTAGCCAGTTTTCCCAGCACCATTTATTAAATAGGGAATCCTTTCCCCATTGCTTGTTTTTGTCAGGTTTGTCAAAGATCAGATAGTTGTAGATATGCGGCGTTATTCCTGAGGGCTCTGTTCTGTTCCATTGATCTATATCTCTGTTTTGGTACCAGTACCATGCTGTTTTGGTTACTGTAGCCTTGTAGTATAGTTTGAAGTCAGGTAGTGTGATGCCTCCAGCTTTGTTCTTTTGGCTTAGGATTGACTTGGCGATGCGGGCTCTTTTTTGGTTCCTTATGAACTTTAAAGTAGTTTTTTCCAATTCTGTGAAGAAAGGCATTGGTAGCTTGATGGGGATGGCATTGAATCTGTAAATTACCTTGGGCAGTATGGCCATTTTCAAGATATTGATTCTTCCTGCCCATGAGCATGGAATGTTCTTCCATTTGTTTGTATCCTCTTTTATTTCCTTGAGCAGTGGTTTGTAGTTCTCCTTGAAGAGGTCCTTCACGTCCCTTGTAAGTTGGATTCCTAGGTATTGTATTCTCTTTGAAGCAATTGTGAATGGGAGTTCACTCATGATTTGGCTCTCTGTTTGTCTGTTGTTGGTGTATAAGAATGCTTGTGATTTTTGTACATTGATTTTGTATCCTGAGACTTTGCTGAAGTTGCTTATCAGCTTCAGGAGATTTTGGGCTGAGACAATGGGGTTTTCTAGATATACAATCATGTCGTCTGCAAACAGGGACAATTTGACTTCCTCTTTTCCTAGTTGAATACCCTTTATTTCCTTCTTCTGCCTAATTGCCCTGGCCAGAACTTCCAACACTATGTTGACTAGGAGTGGTGAGAGAGGGCATCCCTGTCTTGTGCCAGTTTTCAAAGGGAATGCTTCCAGTTTTTGCCCATTCAGTATGATATTGGCTGTGGGTTTGTCATAGATAGCTCTTATTATTTTGAAATACGTCCCATCAGTACCTAATTTATTGAGAGTTTTTAGCATGAAGGGTTGTTGAATTTTGTCAAAGGCTTTTTCTGCATCTATTGAGATAATCATGTGGTTTTTGTCTTTGGTTCTGTTTATATGCTGGATTACATTGATTGATTTGCATATATTGAACCAGCCTTGCATCCCAGGGATGAAGCCCACTTGATCATGGTGGATAAGCTTTTTGATGTGCTGCTGGATTCGTTTTGCCAGTATTTTATTGAGGATTTTTGCATCAATGTTCATCAAGGATATTGGTCTAAAATTCTCTTTTTTTGTTGTGTCTCTGCCTGGCTTTGGTATCAGAATGATGCTGGCCTCATAAAATGAGTTAGGGAGCCATCCCATTACTGGGTATATACCCAAAGGACTATAAAGCATGCTGCTATAAAGACACATGCACACGTATGTTTATTGTGGCATTATTCACAATAGCAAAGACTTGGAACCAACCCAAATGTCCAACAATGATAGACTGGATTAAAAAAATGTGGCACATATACACCATGGAATACTATGCAGCCATAAACAATGATGAGTTCATGTCCTTTGTAGGGACATGGATGAAATTGGAAATCATCATTCTCAGTAAACTATCGCAAGAACAAAAAACCAAACACTGCATATTCTCACTCATAGGTGGGAACTGAACAATGAGATCACATGGACACAGGAAGGGGAATATTACACTCTGGGGACTGTGGTGGGGTGGGGGGAGGGGGGAGGGATAGCATTGGGAGATATACCTAATGCTAGATGACGAGTTAGTGGGTGCAGCGCACCAGCATGGCACATGTATACATATGTAACTAACATGCACAATGTGCACATGTACCCTAAAACAACGTATAATAGAAAAAAAAGAAAAAAAAAGACAGTGTTTTTCTATAAATTCGAGGTGAGCAGAGAGACAAAGTTACTCTTCAAAAGCATCATGGGTGTTTAAACAATGAAACAGACATTGACTGATTGAAGGAGGCTAAGTAAACTTGATAACTCAATATAAGGTAGTAGCCTCGTCGGTATCCTCGAACAGAAAAAAATGAATATAGTTGTAGAAAAACTGATACAATCCAAGTAGAGTCAATAGCTTGATAGTATTTCACTGATATGAAATTCTTATTTTGACAAATTTCCCATGGCTATGTAAGACATTAATATTTAGAAAACTTAGATGAAGAATATTTGGGTAAACTTCGTGCTCTGTTTTTTTACTTTTTTGAAAGCTAAATTTATTTCACCATGAAAAGTTGTATATAAAGACGCTGTGAAACAAAAAAATTGCATAACTTTGTGTGTGTATGTCTATTTGGACAATTCATTCTGTTTTATTAATATATATATATTCTTATCAATTTCAATTCTTATAAATATCTCTCTTGAACACTGTAGCTAAATCAGGTTGTATAAATCTTTTATCTATAATCATCCATTGTAAAATCATTTTGGCTACTTCGTATTTTTATATCAAATTTGCTTATTCATATTTACCAAAAAATGAAATACAAATCTTGCTGGGATATTGAGATTACCCCAAGTTTAGAAATTAATTTAGAATAATTGATATTTTAAAAGTTTGATTCTTTCAGTCCTTCAACATATATTCATTAATGGGTAGAATAAGGAAAATGTGGTGTGTGTATATGCAAACATACACACACACACACACACACACACAAATACTACTTAGCCACAAAAAAGACTGAATTTATATGTTTTGCAGCAACATGGATGGAACTGAAGGCTGTTGTCTCAAGTAAAATAACTCAGAAATAGAAAGTCAAATGAAGTGAGTGTTGTCACTCATAAGTGAAGGCTAAATAACATGTGCATATGAATGTAGTGTGTGTCATAATAAACATTGGAGACTTGGAAAGGCTGGAGGTGGGTAAGGGATGATAAATTGCTTAATGGGTAGAATATACATTATTTGTGTGATGATTATAGTGAAAGCCCAGACTTCACCATTATGTAATATATTCATGGAACAAAATTGTACTTGTACCCACTAAATTTATTTTTATTTTATTTTTTAAAAAGACCCCTCCAGTTTTGTAACCCAAATGCTGAGGAAAGGGAAAGGGAAAGGACGAAGAGTTGACAAGTTATAAGTACTGAGTCTGAGTGCAGAAAAACATCTTCAAGTTTTCCTAATAAAAATACCTCCAAATGGAGGCACCTGGCCAAGAAATGCAGCTATATGTAAGAACATAGCAAGCCGGGAGACCCAGGCCCTTTACTGTAGTCCATTCAGAGAATGCAGTGCCTTGACTATTCACCAGGTCTGGTGTGGAAAGGGCAGGTCCTTCTGTGAGGCCTGCCAGGTGGTCTTTGTAATTGCTTATCACTGGACTTGAAAATTCAAACATAATTTTTATTTTTGTTTCAGATCCTGATTTCTCCAATATATTGTTAAACTTATCCCTGAATACTTCATGTGTATAGATGCAATTTTTGTTGTTAGTTGCTAGTATATAAATACAACTTTTTGTGTATCTTTTTGTATGTAAAGAATATGAGTACTTTAGTCGAGTTGTAATGTGTTCTTAAAATCCACTACTATGTGATTATTTATAATATTTTTAATATTGTGTTTTTTTTACTATATGAAGACAGTAAGTCAGAAGTCTCTCATCTTACCTGAAGATGAGAGAATTCATTAATTATTTCTTCAAAAATACTTCTTTTCATTTTAGTGTTTCTTTCCCTTTTACTTCGAAGCCTTATTATATTGATATTAATACATCTCCTTGTATGCTAATATGTATTTTTCATATATTTTCATTGTTCTAATTGTTTGAAATGGATTAATGGAATATCAAAACCAAAAATTTTAAATAAGCATAAACATTTCTCAGAATGGATAGAAAAATACATTGGAAATACAAACCACTTGAAAATATTGGTATAAAAATGAAAATTGCAAAAATGAAAATATAGCTAAAGGAGAAAATAGAGAAAACAGATTTAGGGGAAGAAGATATTATTCAATTTTAATAATACAGAAAGCTACTCTAATATCTAGTAATTGCTAGAATTTGTTTAAAGACTATTGGATTTTCTGGCTTGGTTCTTCATAACAGCTGACATTATTGACCACTTCTTCCTATTTGAAATTTTATTTTGTTTTAACTCCTTCAACTTCATTAGTTTTTTGCTGCCTTCTGGTCCAGCAAATTTACTCTTTTTAGAGACTTCATATTCTACAGAAACCTTAAACATGATATTCCCTAGAGTTCTAGCCCCATCAGTCTTCTCCGTCACTTAATACAATTTTACTGAATCGATTTATTTTACATATAAAGTTAGTTTTCTAGCGTTAAATTTGAGTTCCAGCCACCAAAATAACAACAACCACCAAATAAATACAAAAAAAAATTATTTAGACCAGAAAGACACTAACATTATAGTAAATATTAGAGTAGTTTAGGAAGAAAAGCCTGTAAGGTAGTGGCTGGTTGCACTACCTACCTAAGACATAATTTGAAAATGTTGTTGGAAAGACTACATTCTTTATTGCTGCAAATTTTTCCAAAGCTGATATTTTTTTTTCTCTTCTCTACTACCAATTATAGATTATCCTCGACTTTGGCTATTATTTCAGAAGCGCTAGTTTGGTTGATCACATACTTCATCGTGAAAAAGTCAAAACCCCTAGTTGTTTTGCTCTCAATAGGCCATGGTGGTTACAATTGCACCTTTGCCACTATTGCTGGGCTTGGAAGAAAAAAGTGATACCCAATGAGTCCTATGAGTTCCATACTTATATTTTCCTGCACTCATAATGTAGCAGCACACCTAGCTTCTTGTGGTAATTAGAGCTAAAAATCCTAGCAAGTAAATTAACTGCCTGCTGTTCCACAAAAGGAGTCCAAACTGATAATACGGTAGTAATAACTACAATGTCTCCCTGTGCTCCCCTGGTGGAAGCATTTTCACCAGCTCCCACCACTAGGAACAGAATCCCAGACATCTGACTCAGCAAAGCCTAAGGATTTATGGTTTTAAAACAAAAATTCCCCAATGGCTTCACTAAATGATTGGTTTATATGTTACTGTTAGAAACACCACACATACTATCCTTGGATTCCATGTTAATAGAACATCATATATTGGATACTGGAGAAGTGTAAATAGTGGTTCTTCAAGGATATCACTCCCACACATCAGGGAGATTTATCTAAGCTAGTGCCATATTGAAGTATGTAATAGTACACTCTATTGTTTTAATAAGACTATTGCTTCTGGATGGTGATGACTAGACTAGAAAAACTTGATCCCTTGTCATGAGTCATTGTTATACCTCCTTTTGCCAAATACATCTCTTGGTCAGCAGCAATGTGTTTAGAGCTCTCATGGTGGGAAGGCAGGCATTTTTTCGTGACATGAATTATTGCACCAGCACTAAAGTAGCCAAGAGGAACTGACTTACATTCCTAGGAAAAGTGATCTTGTCCATATACATAAGAACATCGTTTGTGGTGATGCACTGTAATGGACATAAATAAAAAACACAAATATTTCTCACTTTATATCTACATATAGAGTTTTATTCACAGCCTTTTCCCCAAAACATTCTTGCATTTAGTCTTCTAAATTTGCTGCTTTCAGACCCTTAACTAACCAACCATCCATTTCCTACAATAACACCCTATGAACATCCTTGCCTCAGACCATTTCACCCTCCACAAAAAGTGATTGAACAAGTTTTCTGCTCATATTTCTGCCACTAGGTGAATTTATATTTCACCAACATATTTCTGAGCCACCTCTGAGTTGGTTTTTAGTGCAGCAGGTCATCTTCAATTTTCACTTAATATATCATAGTGGCACAACCCTTCTGTTAACTGAACTCTTTTTCTTCCTCTGGCAGTTAAAGAGAAGACTACTTTTCTTCTACTTTAGGCCCCATGTGAAATTTAAGAAAAAGACATGGGTGTAATACAGGAAACAGGTGTGAAAATTGTACATATGGGCCTCACCTCAAATGTACAGTTTTTGGGGTATGATATATTGCCGTTGCACTTCTGTGAATGTATGCCTCAGTGACTCTGATAATATCAATCTAGTTAGGAAGCATTCCATTCACAAATTAATTTGATGTCCCATTTTCAGCATCCAGACTTTGTTAGGGCTCAATAACATATCAGAAACCGTTTTTTTTTTTTTTTCCAAATGAACAGTACTATTGTACAGTAGGTATATTTCTGCTTTTGGATTTTAAGCATTCTTCTGTTGGAGTTGACTTTGAACACTACACAGCATTCTTTTTCACTACAGATTTCTTTAGCACCATTGGACCTGTTTTGTGATATGACTGATGTGGCAAGACATATGCCCCATTATCCTTGCTCTAGATTCACTAGAAATTTTGCATTCCTCTAAGTCACGTGACAAATTAATCAGAAGAATATTTCTATCTGTGATATATGTTGTTTGCCCAAATCCAAAAAGTCTCAACAAGGGTTATACCACTTAGATTGTGAAAGGGGGTGCAGCAATGTGCCTTTCACTAAAAGCAGAAATCCTGGCAGGACTCAGGCTATTGAGTCCATCATCATTTCATTGAGGTGGCAGGTCTGTCAGTCTACAAATCTGCATGGAGTTTATTCTCAACCATTTGGTCTATATGTGTTTTTCTAGAACATACACAGTAGTTACTGCTTCCTCCTTATTGAATTCTATTATGTAATGGCATAATGTTATTAATACAGTGTATCAGCTTATATTTTCTGAACTATTCAAGACTAGAAAATTTCCAGAATACTGTATTTTTACAAAAGAGAAATGTTAACAATTCTTTTTTTTTCTTTCTTTCTTTTTTGAGATGGAGTCTTGCTCTGTTGCCCAGGCTGGAGTGCAGTGGCATGATCTCTACTCACTGCAAGCTCTGCCACCCAGGTTCACGCCATTCTCCTGCCTCAGCCACCCGAGTAGCTAGGAATACAGACGCCCGCCACCACGCCTGGCTAATTTTTTGTATTTTTAGTAGAGGCGGGGTTTCACAGTGTTAGCCAGGATGGTCTCGATCTCCTGACCTCATGATCCGCCCTCCTCGGCCTCCCAAAGTGCTGTGATTACAGGCATGAGCCACCGCGCCTGGCTGAGAAATGTTAATAATTCTTAATAAGGCAATGAATGTGTGTTGCTGTATATCTCATTATAAAAATAACTGGTTTACGGGCGGTGATGGTGGCTCACTCCTGTAATCAATCCCAGCAATTTGAGACCAGTCTGAGCAACATGGTGAAACCCTGTCTCTACTAAAAAACACACAAAAATAGTTAGCTGGGTGTGGTGGTCCACACCTATAGTTGAGAGATGGGGCAGGAGAATCACCTGAGCCCAGGATGTCAAGGCAGCAGGGGGCAGTAATCTCACTGTTGCACTCCAACCTTGGATATGGTAAGACGCTCTCTCTCTCAAAAAAAAAAAAAAAAAAAAAAAAAAAAAAAATACTGGTTTTATTATCTTTATTTATGGGCATAATAAAAAAAAACCCATTTTCCTGTTTATTAGCCACATATATAGTGGCAGTGACATTTGCCACATATAAAGTGGCAGTGACATTTGCCCAACACAACAGCAACTGATGCTGTTATATAAGTTTTGGTAGTTGGTCATCATTCTCCATATTTCATCCAGTTTTTCAGAATCCAGGCAAGTGATTTAAATGGTTATATGTTAGAAAATCTACATTGGAGGTTTAGGTGGATTTGCCAGTGTCTATATTTTCTAATTGGATTCAGTAATACATCTAATGTGCTATCTTGGCTGAGGCAGGAAGGCACATTCAGGGGCTTATATTTGTGCTTTTCTGTAAAAATAATTCTCATTTCATGTTAGAAAAACAACACGAGGGTTCTGAAAGCTGAGCTATCTACTGATGATTATTACATTTGTCTTGCCCCTGAAGGTTAACTATTACCGTCTAACCTCTGCTTTTCTGGAATCCTGTCATTCCTATTTATGTGATTTTTGACTAGGCCCAAAGAAGCAATTCTTACCATCACCACTAGCTTAAGCAGTAACAAACAATCAACTTAAAATAATACAGTAATGTAACACATTCATGTTGTCTTAAGTACTAAGTTTGTGGTAATTTTTTGTGTAGCATTAGAAAACTAATATATCTCCTCCTTGGCTACCACAGTGGTGAAGCAAGAGGCTAAAGTAGGTGCTGTATGCACAGTGGACTTGCGTCACACTGAGGAACCCTAACTTTAAGAAACTCACCCTTTTATATTGGACACAAGCAAATAATTTCTTCCTTTATTCTAGAGGGACAACATCTTTCTATATGCCTAGGCATTTTTGAATATAAGGATCCTTGTGATGCTGGGAAGACAAGCCCAAAAACTGGGGCTTAGCACAGGAGGTTTTTTGGCTCTGCCCAGAAAATAATCAAGGGTGGGCTGGTAGTGTGAGACAGAAATTTTTATTGAAACAGTAGTGTACAGAAGTAGCAGAGGTACTTTGTTTTGCAGATCAGGGCTACTCTATAGGCAGTGTGCCCAGAGTAGCAGCTCAGGGGCAATTTTGCAGTCATATTCATATCCACTTTTAATTACATGAAAATTAAGAGGAAGATTAGATAGGATAGAAAAAAATGGTAACTTCTAGATCATTGGGTCATTTTCACAGAAAGGGGCACTAACCTCCAGGTGTTACCATGAAAATGATGAACTGACATGGCACTGGTTGACATGTCTTATCGAGAAGGTGTGTTTGCCACTTCTCTGTTTCAGCTAGACTTCAAGTTGGTCAAGTACAAACCCCACCTATGGTGTTGAGTCTTGCCTCCTACCTTACTTGAAAACGTAGTCTTGAGCAAAAATACCCAAGACCTCTGCACACACAATGTACAAACACATGATACGCTTTTCTCACAGCAGAAGTGATCGCTGGCCTCTGCAGTGAACATATTCATATGGAGGGTCTCTGGTCCCACAAAATAACCTTAACTCCACCATGTCTATCTAATATATAATTGGAAACTTACTTTCATCATACTCTACCTAATTTGATATTCAGGTGGCACAAAGTTATCTATTTGCTAACTATTGATTTAGTGTCATTATGAAGATATTGCTTATTGGAAAAGAATCTAAGTATATATGAAGTATACTGATTTGTTTTTATTGTTTCAAATCTGTCACTGATTTATTGTGTTATTGATTTATTATGTGTTATTATTATGTTTATCATTTTTTTCCCTGAGGTTAACTTTGAATGTTATATTGATTAAAAAATATAATGAATATGTAGACATCATATGTCAAAAGGTAATTTCAACATAACTATTCAGTATATACAGTTACATAATGTCTTATGTAAAAAATCATTTTTTTTCCTGAAAATTGTATAAGTGACAGGAATAAATGTGATATAATTTATCAGTTAAAATTATATATGTAGTTTTAGCACATTTAACAGAATTTTAATTTGGCGGGAGGGTACATATTATTTTTATTTTTCCTAGCTTGAAAATAAATTTTTTCTTTTTTTTTCTTTTCTTTTTTTTTTTTTTTTTTTTTTTTTTTTGAGATGGAGACTCGCTTTATTGCCCAGGCTGGAGTGCAGTGGCACAACCTCTGGCTCCCTGGTTCAAGCGATTCTGGTGCGACATCCCAAGCAGCGGGAACTACAGGCATGAGTCACCACACCTGGCTAATTTTTTTGTATTTTCAGTAGAGACAGGGTTTTGCCAGATTGGCCAGGCTGTTCTCAAACTCCTGACCTCAGGTGATTCACCTACATTGGCCTCCCAAAGTGCTGGGATACAGGTGTGAGCCACTGCGCCTGGCCCTAGCTTTAAAATCTTTGTTTGACATAGAATATTTCTAACTTTTAAATGAGCACTAAATTTCAGGAAAACAAACTTTGACTTAATAAGGTAAGTTTTGAAAAGATGTTTTGTCCCAGGAGGAAGGGAATGCTTCATCTCAACCTCTTCATACTGGAATAAACTGGAAGATTCCCATTTGGAAGGCCCCTCAGCATCAGGCCCTCAGTACGACTAATCTCTTTTTGTCTTCTTTCCTATTTTATAAAACTTTCAGAAATGAAACAGACAACATTTTGTGATGATGAATATCACAGCTGCCACATGGGCCAGCAGAATGAAATCACATCCAAAGAGTGATACTGAAATCAGAAGGGGTCATGAGCTATAGCCCAAATGTGTTTGGCTCCTTTGTGGCATGTTACAAACTTGATCAAAAAGATTGCTTGATCTAGGGGCTTCACTGGCTAGTCATGATGAATTATGAAAAAAAAAATTATAGCATTCTCTTTAGAAATAGGAACTGATATGTGTTTGTCTGTGTCCCCACCCAAATCTCATAAGGGGATTTACCCTGGCCTTCACTCATCTTTCTCTTTCCTGCCTCCATGGGAAGAAGGACATGTTTGCTGCCCCTCCAACGTGATTGTAAGTTTTCTGAGGCCTCTCCAGCTGTATTAGTTCATTTTCACAGTGTTGATAAAGACATACCCAAGACTGGGGAGAAAAAAGTTTTAATTGGACTTACAATTTCACGTGGCTGGGGAGGCCTCTGAATCATGGTGGGAAGTGAAAGACACTTTTTACATGGTGGCAGAAAGGGAAAATGAGGAAGATGCAAAAACAGAAACTTCTGATAAAACCATCAGATCTGGTGAGACTTATTACCTACCATGAGAACATTATGAGAGAAACTGACCCCATGATTTGAATAATCTCCCACTGGCTCCCTCCCACAACACATGAGAATTATGGGAGTACCATTCAAGATGAGATTTGGGTTGGCACACAGAGCCAAACCATATCATCCCGCCCAGACCCCTCCAAATCTCATGTCCTCACATTTCAAAACCAATAATGCCTTCCCAACAGTCCCCCAAAGTCTTAACTTATTTCAGCATTAACCCAAAAGTTTACAGTTAAAAGTCTCATCTGAGACAAGGCAAGTCCCTTCTGACTATGAGCCTGTAAAATCAACAGCAGGCTGGTTACTTCCTAGATGCAATGGAGGTACAGGTATTGGGTAAACACAGCCATTCCAAATGCGAGACGTTGGCCAAAACAAAGGAGTTACAGGGTCCATGCGAGTCAGAAATCCAGTGAGGTAGTCAAATTTTAAAGTTCTGAAATGATCTCCTTTGACTCCAGGTCTCACATTCAGGTCACACTGTTGCGAGGGGTGTGTTCCCATGGTCTTGGGCAGCTCTGCCCCTGTGGCTTTTCAAGGTATAACCTGCCTCCAGGCTGCTTTCTTGGGCTGGCATTGAGTGTCTTGCTTTTTCAGGCACACAGTACAACCTGTAGTTGGATCCACCATTCTGGAGTCTGGAGGACTGTGGCCCTCTTCTCACAGCTCCACTAGGCAGTGTCCCAGTAGGGGCTCTGTATGGGTGCTCCAAGCCCACATTTCCCTTCTGCACTGCCCTAGCAGAGGTTTTCCATGAGAGCTCTGCCCCTGCAACAAACTTCTGCCTGGGTAGCCAAGTGTTTCCATACATCGTCTAAAATCTAGGCGGAGGTTCCCAAACTCCAATTCTTGACTTCTGTGCACCTGCAGGCTCAACCCCACATGGAAGCTGCCAAGGCTTGGTTCTTGCACCCTCTGAACCCACAGCCTGAGCTCTACATTGGCCCCTTTCAGCCATGGCTGGAGTGGCTGAGACACAGGGCACCAAGTCCCTAGACTGCACACAGTATGGGGACCCTGGGCCCTGTCACAAAACCATTTTTTTCCTCCTAGATCTACGGGTCTGTGATGGGAGCAGCTGGCACAAAGTTCTCTGACATGTCCTGAAGATATTTTCCATTTTCTTTGGGATTAACATTCAGCTCCTCATTACTTATGCAAATATCTGCAGTTGGCTTAAATTTCTCCTCAGAAAATGAGATTTTCTTTTCTATTGCATTATCAGGCTGCAAATTTTCTGAACTTTTATGCTCTGCTTTCCTTTTAAAACTGAATGCCTTTAACAGAACCCAAGTCACATCTTGAATACTTTGCTGGTTAGAAATTTATTCTGCCAGTTACCTTAAATCATCTCTCTCAAGATCATAGATTCACAAATCTCTAGGGCAGGGGCAAAATGCCATCAGTCTCTGTGCTAAATGTAACAAGAGTCACCTTCGCTCTAGTTCCCAAGAAGTTTCTCATCTCCATCTGAGACCACCTCAGCCTGCATTTCATTGTCCATATCATATCATTATCAGCATTTTTGTCAAAACCATTTAATAAGCCTCTAGGAAGTTCCAAACTTTCCTATATTTTTCTGTCTTCTCTTGAGCCCTCCAAACTGTTCCAGCCTCTACCTATTACCCCGTTGCAAAGTGGCTTCCACATTTTCAGATATCTTTTGGGCAACACCCTACTCCTAGTATCAATTTACTGTATTAGACTGTTTTCATGCTGCTGATAAAAACATACCAGAGACTGGGAAGAAAACAAGTTTAATTGGACTTACAGTTCCACATGGCTAGGGAGGCTTCAGAATCTTTACGGGAGGTGAAAGGCACTTCTTACATGGTGGCAGCAAGAAA
This sequence comes from Homo sapiens, assembly GCF_000001405.40. NCBI lineage: Eukaryota > Metazoa > Chordata > Mammalia > Primates > Hominidae > Homo > Homo sapiens. The sequence goes on along the minus strand of NC_000014.9, from coordinate 42,986,967 downwards.
AAATGAGGAAGATGCAAAAGTGGAAACCCCTGATAAAACCATCAGATCTCTTGAGACGTATTCACTATGAGGAGAACAGTATGGGGGAAACTTCTCCCATGATTCAAATTATCCCCCAGTGGGTCCTTCTCACAACATGTGGTAATAATAAGAGTACAATTAAAGATGAGATTTGGATGGGGCACAGAGCCAAACCATATCACCAGCCATATGGAACTGTGAGGCAATTAAACCTCTTCTTTATAAATTACTCCATCTTGGGTTTTTCTTTACTAGCAGCATGAGAATGGACCAATACAGTAAATTGGTAATGGTAAAGTGAGGTGCTGCTGTAAGGATACCAGAAAATGTAGAAGCGACTTTGAAACTGGGTAAAAGGCAGAAGTTTGAACAGTTTGGAGGGCTCAGAAGAAGAGAGAAAAATGTGGGAAATTTTGTAGCTTCCCGGAGACTTGCAGGGCTCAGAAGACAGAAAGATGTGGGAAGGTTTGGAACTTCCCAGAGACTTGTTGAATGGCTTTGACCAAATTGCTGATAGTGATATAAACAATGAAGTACAGGCTGAAGTGTTCTCAGATGAAGATGAAGAACTTGTCTGGAACTGAAGTAAAGGTCACTCTTGCTATGCAAGGAGACTGGCAGCATTTTGCCCCTGCTCTAGAGATCTGTGGAACTTTGAACCTGAGAGAGATGATTTAGAGTATATGGTGGATAAAATTTATAAGCAGTGAAGCATTCAAGAGACGACAGAGAATAAAATTTTGGAAAACTTTCAGCCTGATGATACAGTAGAAAAGAAAAGCCCATTTTTGTTGGTGGAGATAGTCAAGCCAGCTGCACACATTTGCATAAGTAACTAGAAACCAAATGCTAATCATCAAGACAATGGTGTCCAGGGCATGTCAGAGACCTTTCCTCTGACATGGCAATCCCTCTCATTACAGGCCCTGAGGCCTAGGAGGAAATCATGATTTTGTGAGCTGGGCCCCGGGTCCCACTGTTTTGTGCAGTCTTGTGATTTTGTGCCTTGCATCCTAGCTGCTCCAGTGATACCTGAAAAGGGTCAAGGTACAACTTAGGCCATGGCTTCAGAGGGTGCAAGCCCCAAGCCTTGGCAGTTTCCACATGAAGTTAAGCCTGTGGCTGCAAAGAAGTCAAGAATTGAGGTTTGGGAACCTCTGCTTAGATTTCAGAGCATGTATGCAAATGCCTGCATGTCCAGGCAGAAGTCTCCTGCAGGGGCAGAGCCCTCATGGAGAACCTTTGCTCAGGCAGTGTAGAAAGAAAATGTGGAGTCAGAGCCCCCATAGAGAGTCCCAATAGGGCACTACCTAGTTGTGCTATGAGAAAAAAGCCACCCTTCTCCAGAACCCAGAATGGTAGATGCACCAACAGCTTGCACCATGTATCTGGAAAAGCTATGTTGAGTTTGAACTCAATGCAAGTTGTGAAAACAGCTGGTGGGCAGGGGGGTGGGGGTGGGGCTTAACTCTTCAAAGCCAGAGGGGCACAGCTGCCCAAGGCCATGAGATTCCACCTCTTGCTTCAGCATGACCTGGATGTGAGACATGGAGTAAACGGAGATCACATTGGAACTTTGAGGTTTAATGACTACCTTCTTGGATTTTGGACTTGCATGAGACCTGTAGCCCATTTGTTTTGTTCAATTTCTCCCATTTGAAAAGAGTATATTTATTCAATGCCAGTATCCTCTTTGTATCTAAGAAGTAACTAACTTGCTTTTGATTTTACAGGCTATTAGGCAGAAGGGACTTGCCTTGTCTGAGATGAGACTTTGGACTTTCACTTTTAGCTTAATACTGGAATGAATTAAGACTTTGGGGAACTGTTGGGAAGGCATGATTATGTTTTGAAATGTGAGGACATGAGATTTGGGAGGGGCCAGTGGGGGAATAATATGGTTTGGCTGTGTGTCTACGCAAATCTCATTTTAAATTGTAATTTTCATTATCCCCATGTGTCATTTGAGGGACCTGGTGGGAGGCAATTGAATCATGGGGGCAGTTATTGTCATGCTGTTCTCATGATAAAGAGTGAGTTCTCACAAGATCTGATGGTTTTATAAGGGACTTTCGCCCGTCTTTGCTAATCCTTCTCTCTCCTGCTGCCATGTGATGAAAGACGTGTTTGCTTCCCCTTCCACCATGATTGTAAGTTTCTTGAGGCCCCCTCAGCCATGCAAAACTGTAAGTCAATTAAGTCTCTTTTCTTTATAAATTAAACTGTATTGGGTATATCTTTATTAGCAGCATGAGAATGGACTAATACAGGATCATCAGTGAATATCTTTAAACCATTGAGCAAATCTATACTTGACATGGTGGTCAAGTCCACTCTAAAGGCTGCTGCCTTGGCTTTCATGTAAACAATGTTAGAATTTTAAGTTTTAATGTTTATAGTTCGATTATGCATAAAAAACTGACAAAATTTTTGCTATAGAGAATAGAGCAAAATATCAATAAAAGTTTAAACTTTATATACTTTACATATGCTAATCTTTCAATTTAACATTAAAGCACTGGGACTTCTAACAGTTCTCTATAATATGATTTCTCAAATAGTCTATCTTTAAAAAGACCTTTAATGAGTATGTAGCCTTGATGAAATTCAAAATATTAATAAGTATGTAGCCTTGATGAAATTCAAAATATCATTAAAATACTAACATTTTCAAGTTTGAACTATAACGCTGATGCTATGGGTTTCACAGAGAACAAACTGTTTATTCCTGCTTTAGGGACACATGTTGCAGTCAGATTTCCTCCAAAGTTCCTATCTTGAAAAGTTGTGTAATAGTGTGTAAATTGCAAAGAACTTAAATGGTGAAAAAAAACTTGTTATTTTGAAAAATTAGAGGAGTTATTTAAAATTTCAAATAGACATGTAAATACATATATCATGTGCATATAAATAAACATGTGCCTATGAATACATACATATAAGTCCTTCATTCAAAAAATATAATCAGTATCCATGCAATCACACTTTATCAACTTAATTTTTTTTTACCTACACAAAAGATCAGTAAAAGAAAATTCAGATAGATATAGATTTCTTGTTGATGTTAGGGAGAAATAGGCGGATGAAAACAAGTATCAAAAAGAGTTACATGGGAAAAAATATTTCAACAACCAAACCAAGTACAACAGTAATTTAGAGAAAGTAATTTGCTCTCAGGTAACATAAAGCTGATAATAAAGTAACATAAAGCTGATAATAAATTTTCATTTAAGATTTAAGGACATTTTCAATCAAACCTAAATTTAGACTAGTTTTCTTTCATTGAAAATTTATAAAATATAAGCATGCCATAGTTTATTCATTCAAAAAATGTTTATTTTACATGACTTAATAACTCATTCACTTGAAACATAAATATTTATATATTTAAATTTTCATTTTTTTCTGTGTATATGTTGATTTATATATGTAGGAATGTAATTTAGGAATAATATTATACACTTAGTTTATATCACTTACTCAAAATTACCAAAACTATTTCATTCCTCTTAATTTGCACCACTCTCAGCTTTTTAAAATCTCTTCCTGTCAACAAAACATTTACTTTTCTCTTGGTTTTTCATAGTTTTGCCATAACTTAGACAAATATCTAAAATAATATTGCTAAAATATGTCCCCGTAATTTTTAAAATTTATTTATGAAGCTGTTTGTTTATTTATTTTGTAGGTTGATGGAACACTTTTTGTATTTAGAAATTGAAAGGCAAAATAATATGTGTGTTATATTTCCCTGAATTACATTCCCACTAGCTATTGTTAGTCTTAACAACAAAAGCAACTATAATTTTACACTGAACAGGTAGGTGTCTGATGTATTCTGCAGAAAAATACTACAGCTTTCCTTTCTGAAGTATAAGGAAAAAAGGAAATAAGAATAACAAATGTTTTAATTTAGAGACAGGTATTACTTTACCAACACAGAAAAATATCTGACAGAAATAATGTTAAATATTAAAAATCCATATTCTAAATCAAATAACCTGTCATCTTTCTTGTAATTTATCACAATGTAATCAATTCATAAATTTGAAGAAAATAGGCAGTACTTTCACTAAATGGAAGGAGAAATATAGCCATGATAAGTGAATATAAAGTATAATTCAATGTTACGTCTCATTCTAAGTAACTATATAGCCCAGTGTTGACAATAACAGGCATAGTTATGTGTTTCAATATTTCTCAAAGCAACAGTAAGTATAAGAAATAATGTTTAACATTAGAAAAAAAGTCAGTGATTAAAAGTAAAAAATATATTGTTTTCACCCTCTAGTTCTTTGTACATATGGTTTTTGCTTTGTAGGTGGATTTAAAATAGAGATACTTATTACCACACTTTTTTTTACATCACTCTTTAAAAAGGACAAAGAAAAAACAAAACAACTAAGTCTGCTTTTAAAGACACTAAAATGTCCAGTGTATTACAAGCTGGCTTCCAAAGAGTTTCCTGTGCCTACTTGATGCCCCAAATCCTTTTAGCAAGAAGCATGTCCTTTTATTTAAAAATTAAGGATAAATGATTCAGATCAAAACATCTGCTTGATACAACTTTCAGAGTAATGTGTTTTCAAGCAAAATCACTAGAAACAGGAGAATAAGAGACCACAGACATTAGTTATCTTCAGTGATGCTAGAAAAAGAATGTATGATCCAAGATTATAGGTAGAGAGGACAGATTCAAATGTCTTTGCCTATGATAGATTTTTAAAAATTGTGTCCAAATGGACAAATAATAAATGTTTTTGTCATTCGAAGATGTGTGTGATTTCATGAGAGATGGCTTTGTAATGTTTGCTTTCTACTGTACATATACAAATAGCATGGCTAACATTGCATATAATTCATTCCAGAAGTTATCATTATTTCAGTACAGTATATTTTTACAGTGTAAATATAAGGATATGCATAACTTTACAAAAGAAATACGTTTTTAAATGGAAATGATTATATTATGCCTAACACTACTCTATCTATAGGTACCATATTTTACAGACTTTCAGAGATTCCATTAAGTACCTGAGCAGCAAAATCCCTGAACTGTATACAAGAGGTCACAATGAAGATACATGTTTAGAAGACATTTCTAATTTAAACTAAGAAAAGTGCACCATTCTATTGTCAAGAAATTAAAGAAATAAATGGCTGGTACAGAGAAAGGTTAGGTTATATGGCAAAGTCGTAGCTACTCTGTGACATTTCTGCTACAGGCAATAGTGATATCAACATCCTTTTATTTTCTATCTAGCTCACCTCTGCATCCCCAGAGATCAATTTTCAAGCTTCTCTTTTTACCTAGAAAAAGATAGGAAAGGTTTTTCGTGGACACATAACCCAATTTATTGTTTCTGTACAAAAATATCTTAACTGTAATACCTACATCATATGACATTTCATGATTATAAACCCTGGGAAAGGATATTCTCAGTTATATTATTTTTTAATAATGCTGAAAATGTCTTGAGCTTTTGTTACCTTGTATAGACCAATTGACTACTGAATTACTTTTTATGTTATTAATCAATCAATTAGCCAAGAACACTTACAATGAATGTGTCAAGCACAATGCTAACTCACTCATTGTAAAAATGGTATCCTCATGCCTTGAGCTAAGTGAAATTTATTAAACATCTCCAGTCAAGAAATCCTTATAGAATCTAGCCTTAAATAAATAACATACGCTTGAAGTAAATAAACACTCACTACAAAATTGTGTAGAAAAAAATTATTACACAATGCTATGCTGGCTTAAAAAGTAAGTAAGTTTTTTTCCCTTGTGATTTCAGAATTAATAATATAATGAAGAAAACAGACACGTTCAAATATTCATAAAGAAGAAAAAATATAGGAATTTTGGAAAACACAAGTTGTTTAATCAACTAAAATTTATAACCATAGGCAAACATTTCAGTGGCATTTCATGACAAAAATTAAGTATAGCTTTCCTGCACCAAAGTCAGAATGTGTGAAGATATCACATATCTGCAATATAGAAAGAGTCACTTGAGATGTTTCTGCATGAGATCCTGAGTATATTAGATAATAGTATATTAATTTTCATATTGCTAAAATTTATGACAATGCCAGGCACAAATTACACATTGTATAGCATTTTTAATATAGTAGGTAATTTAGTTCTAACAACCTCCAGTGTTATAACTTGAGGAAGAGGTTAATAGTAACACATTATGGCCTAAAAAACAGAAATACCAGGCATAGTTTAGACCAGGGGGTCCCCAAACCCATACCAGTCCATGGCCTGTTAGTAACCAGGCTGCCGCACAGCAGGGGGTGAGCAGAGGCTGAAACAGGAAAGCTTTCTATGTATTTACAGCCTCTCCCTAATGTTTATATTACCACCTGAGCTCCACTTCCTGTCAGATTAGCAGCACATTAGATTCTCATAGGAGCACAAACTATTGTGAGCTGTGCATGCAAGAGATCTAGGTTGTGTGCTCCTTATGAAAATATAATGCCTGATGATCTGTCATTGTCTCCCATTACCCCAGATGGGACTGTCTCGTTGGAGGAAAACAAGCTCAGGGCTCCCACTGATTCCACATTATGGTGAGTTGTATAATTACTTCATTATATATTACAATGTAATAATAATAGAAATAAAGCACACAATAAATGTAATGCACTTGAATAAACTCAAAACCATTCCCACTGACTCTGGTCTGTGGAAAAGTTGTTTTCCATGAACCAGTCCCTGGTTCCAAAAACGTTGGAAACTGCTAATTTAGCAGTTTACATACTGTCTTTGTGGTTTTGGAAAACTACTAAACAATTTCAAGTAATACATAAATAATTTAAGGACATAGACACGAACAATGAGAATGTGAACAACAGAACTCATGGGAAAATAAGTAGAGCAGTTACCCATGAAGGGGAAAAGAATTAATGAATTAGCAGAGAAAATGGGGAGGTAATGATCAATTGCAGCAATATGTAAAAATTGAAATTTTAGGATTTGGTGAATAGTTTGCTGTGTTGTGGTAAAAAGATAATCAAGAATGAACCCTAGATGGTTGACTTAGTTGACTAATTCAATTATGGTGGCATTGTAAAGGAAGATTAAGATTCTCTTTTATTGAATAATTTTTCTGATTTAAAATTAAAAATATGGTTTAATTATATTGAACAATTTTCTGATATAAACTCAATCACATATTTTTGAGATAAACCCCGTATGTTAATAATATCTCATTACTTTTTATGTATACTTAGATACTATACTAATGTTTTGTTAAGAAATTTTTGCATCTATATTCACGAAGGAATTAGATCCAGGGCTCTATTCCAGTTTTGATATTAAGGTTGTGAGAGACTCAAATAGGAGTAAAGAAACATGCCATTTTAAAAATCATTCTTAAATTATTTAGTGTAATATTTGTGTTACTGCTTTTGCATATTTTGTAAAACTAGCCTATAAAGTCTTGTGGGCTTATGGATTTCAACATGAGAAAGTTTTTTTTTTGTTGTTAGACAGAGTCTTGCTCTCGTCACCCAGGCTGGAGTGCAATGGCATGATTTCGGCTCATTGCAACCTCCGCCTCCTGGGTTCAAGTGATTCTCCCGCCTCAGCTTCCCGAGTAGCTGGGATTACAGGCATCCAGCATGATGCCTGGCTAATTTTTGTATTTTTAGTAGAGACGGGGTTTTACCATGTTGGCCAGGCTGGTCTTGAACTCCTGACCTCAGGTGATCCACCTGCCTTGGCCTCCCAAAGTGCTGGGATTACAGGCGTGAGCCATCGCACCTGGGCAAAGATTTTTTTAAAAGAACCTGAAGTCTGAGACAACAAAAGAAAAAATAGATGAAATATAATTGCATTTAACTAAAAAGCTTCTGCACAGAGAAAAAAAATAAAAACAATTAACAAAGTAAAGAGATACATCACAGTGTGGGAAAAATATTTACAAATCACATATCTGATGATAAGTAGTTAATATCCAAAATATATAAAGAACTCAAACAACTCAATGATGAGAAAACAAATAACCTGACTTAAAAAAATGGCAAAGAACCTGAACAGACATTTCTCAAAAGAAAACATGCCGACAGCCAACAGATCCATTAAAAAAAGTTCTCAGCATCATAATTATTAGGAAAATGAAGATCCAAACCACAGTGAGATATTATCTCATACCTGTTAGACTAGCTTTTATCAAAAACATGGAATATAGATAGATAGATAGTAAGTGTTGGTGAGGATGTGAAAAAAAAATGTAATCCTTGTACAATGAAGGTGATAATGTAAATTATTGTAGCCAGTATGGAAAATGGTATGGAGGTTCCTCACAAAAATAAAAATAGAAATTCCATGATCCAGTCATCTCACTTCTGGGAATATAAGCAAAGGAACTGAAATCAATATGTCAAATTGATATCTTCACGCCCACGTTTATAGTAACATTAGTTAGTTACAATACCCAATATATGAACTCAACCTAAATGTTCATCAGTGGATGAATAAGAAAGAAAATGTGGTACATATATGTAGAGAAATATAACACAGCCTTTAAAAAGAACAAAATTCTGTCACCTGAGACAACATGAGTGAATGTGGAAGGCATTATGCAAGGAGAAATAAGGTAGGCATAGAAAGACTAATACTGTATGATTTCATTTACAGGTGAAATCTAAAAAAAGTTGAATTCATAGAAGTAGAGAGTAGAAGGATGGTTACCAAGGGCTGGGAGCAGGGGAGGGGAGAGGCAAGTGAATTGGGAATTACTTGTCAAAGGGTACAAAGTTTCAGCTTTACAGAAAAACTATGTTTTGAGATCTATTGCAAAGCAGGATGACTACAGTCAATAATAATGATGCATTGTTTATTTTGAAATAATAGCAGAGTAAATTTCAAATATAGCACCACAAAAAATGTAAAACGAAGTGATGACTATTTTGATTAGCATGATTTAATCATAATAGCATGATGAGTCTATATTGTATACATATATAAAAACATGATTTCATACTCTATAAATTTAATTTAATGATTTGTCAATAAAAATAACAAATTAATAAATACTTTAAAGATCAGTTTTATATTTATTTCATGAAGTTTTTTATGTGGTCCTGTTATTACCTGTATTGTCAGTAGTTATGACTGAATTTTGATTCTTGACTTTGTTTTTTTCCTTTCCACTGACTTATTTTGTATGATACTGATCTATTCCACAAGTATTTCCAAAGTATCATCTTTGATTTTTTGAATCATTTAATAACCTCTATTTCATTAATTTCTTTTTATAATTTTATTGTTCTTTCAACCTAAATTTTTGAGGGTTTACTCTGTTTTGTTCATCTAACTTCTTCAGATGAATATTAGCTCATTAAATTATATAAAATTACAATGCTGCACAAATTCTTTTATATTTAATATTATAGCTTTATGCAAGTTTTCATATATTGTTATTTTTGCTATTGTTTTACAGATCTAAATATGTTCCGATATCAAATACAGGTTTTTCGGAGTTTTTTTTTTTTTTTTAATTTTCAAGTGCTTCTGATATGGTTTGACAGTGGCACCACTTAAACCTCATCTTGAATTGTAGCTCCCATAATTCCCACATGTGGTTAGAGAGACCAGATGGGAGGTAATTTAATCATGGGGGCAGATCTTTCCTGTGCTGTTCCTGTGATAGTGAATAAGTCTCATGAGATCTGATGATTTTATAAGGGGGAGCTCCCGCTGGAAAAGCTCTCTTGCCTGCCACCATGTAAAACATGACTTTGCTCCACATTTGCCTTCCACCATGATTGGGAGGCCTCCCTGGCCATGTGAAACTGTGAGTCAATTAAACCCCTTACCTTTAAAAATTGCCTAGTCTCGGATATGTATTTATTAGCAGCATGAGGACAGACTAATAGAGCTTCTTTTCTAGTCATCTTTCTTTGCACTGATTTCTGGCTCAGTTACATTGATTTCAAAGCATGTGACTTTACAGAATTAGAAGAAACAATTCTAAAATTCATATGGAACCCCAGAAGACCCCAAATAGCCAAAGCTGTATGAAGCAAAAATAACAAAGCTGGAAGCATCACATCACTGCACTTCAAATTATACTATAATACTATTCTAATCAAAACAGCATGGTACTGGTATAAAAATAGACACACAGATCAATTGAACAGAATTGAGAACCCAGAAATAAAGCCCCATACCTACAACCAGCTGATCTTCAACAAAGTCTAAAAAATATTCAATGGGGAAAGGACTCTCTATTCAATATATATTGCTGGGAATATCTAATAACCATAAATGGAATGAAACAGGACTCCTATTCCTCATCATATACAAAAATTAACTCAAGATGATGACAAACTTGAATGTAAAAGTTCAAACTATGACAGTACCAGAAGAAAACCGAGAAAAAAGTCATTCTGACATTGGCCTAGGCAAATAGTTTATAACTAAGACCTCAAAATCAAATCCAAGGAAACAAACATTAAAAAATGGAACTTAAACTGAAAAGCTTCTGCACAGCAAAAGATATCATTAACAGGGTAAACAGACAACCTATAGAATGGGAGAAATATTTGCAACCTAGGCATTTGACAAAGGACTAATATTCATAATCTATAAGGAACTCAAACAATTTAACAAGAAAAAGAGCCAAATAACTTCATTAAAAATGGACAATGAACACGAAAAAACATTTCTCAAAAGAAGACATAGAAACAGCCAACAAATATATGAGAAAAAGCTCAACATCACTGATCATCAGAGAAATGCAAATTGAAATCACAATGAAATACCATACCATCTTACAACAGTCAGAATAGTTACTAATAAGTCATAAAACAACAGATATTGCACAAAAGCAGAGAAAAGGAAATGCCGATATGCTGCTGGTGAGAAGGTAAATCTGTACAACTTGTATGGAAAACAGTACAGAGATTTCCCAAAGAAATAAAACTAGAAATTCCAATTAATCTATCATCTCCACTTCTGGGTATATACCAAAAGGAAAATAAATTTTTATTTCAGAAAGACACTTGCACTAGTATATTTATTGCAGCACTATTCATAATAGCAGAGTCATGGAATCAATGTAAGTGTCAATCATTGGGCGATTGAATAAAAAAAATGTGGTATACATACATACATACACCATAGAATACTAAACATCCATAGAAGAGAAAGAAATCATGTATTTTACAGCAGCATGGATGGAGCTGGAGCCATTATCCTAGGTGAAATAATTCAGAAACAGGAAATCAAATACCATATATTCTCACTCATAAGCTAAGCAGTGGAAAATAGCAGACCCTGGAAACTCCAAAAAGGAGAAGTGAGAGGGTAGAGGGAGTTGAAAACTCACCTATTGGGTGCAATATTCACTATTCAGGTAACAGGTACAACAGAAGTCCAAACCTTAGCATTATGCAGCATACCCATGTAACAAAACTACGTGTGTACCCCCGAATCTATAAAAATAAATAGAATAAAATAAAATAAAATAAAAGCATGTGACTTTTTTTAAAGAAATAACTCCTGGTTTTTTTTTTCTCAAGAGCTTAGCAATGAATATAACTTATTTTTATTCCATAATTTTTTTTTGGTGGAATATTCAGTATCTAATCAGAATAAGAAGGTAATGCATTAAAATGTGTACTAAGAAAATGTAGAACTACTTATTTAATTCATGTTCAGTTGACTAAGACAAATCTATATGTACTGCAAATTAATTTTGATAGAAAATAATACTTGTGATTTTTGTATTTGTTTCATAAAACATGGTATTACTTTAAATGTATTGAAATGTAGAGAACATAGAAAAATTAAACTATATTTCATATTTATTTGCATGCAATTTGCAAAAACACTAAAATTTAATAGTTTAACAAGATGAGTTTAAAGTGTGTTTACCAAAGATAATGATTGATTTCTATAGGCATTTCAATGGCATTGCTATTAATGCAAGAGTTTCAAATGTTGCGAAGTTTCTACAAAACTTGTCCAATGATATTAATAGATTTTTCAAAAATAGCAAAACAAACAATAATGATTATTTTAAAAAATATTTCACTGGAAATATTATATAAAGGTTGAATATGTTACTGACAGTATTGTAAGTTTGTTAAAAATGAAGATATTCTCAGTCATTTAAGCAGCTAGTTTAAATAATAATTCCTCAATAATCTGTTTGTTTTTTTATTGTAAACTCATAAATTTTTCATTTTCATACTTGAATGTCATCAATTCATTTTTATTTAGGGCAGTGTCAGAAAATTGTTGTCTGTGGTAGTCCAGAGAGTAAATATGTTAGGCTATGATGGCCATAACATATCAGTTACATCTACTCAAATCTGCCCATGTAGTGTGAAAGCAGCCATAGCCAAAGTGTGAAATAATGAATGTGGCTGTGTCTCAATAAAACTATATAGACGCTGAAATTTAAATTTTGTATGATTGTGCTTGTCACAAAATATTATTCTTTTTTAATTTTAATTATTAAAATAACAACGTTTGAAGCAAAGTATTGGAAGTTCTCAAAGAATTTGATGATACATTCATATGTTAGATTGCTTATTATTTAAAACTGAGTGCTAATGTCTTATTCATTATAAAGAAATTCCTTGCAATATATCAAAGCCCTAAATGTATTTATTTCTTAATTACCTAGATCTTTTATTTAAAGAAAACTCATAATTAAATTTATGAAGTGCAATTATTATCCAATAATTATTGAATCACTAAATAATTGTTTACCAAGAAAACATGTTTTTTAAAAGATGTTATTAAGAAATAGCCAAAAGCCAGGAGGTAGTTTGATTTTAATGCAGTCTCATTGGTGTCACTATATGATGTTTTTTGAAATTTACTCTGAAACATTTTAAATACAAATAAATCTGCATGACAGACATCATGGAAATATTGTTAAAAATGGTAATTTCTAATTTTTCTTGGTAAAATATAGTTAACATTAGTTGAGTAATCAATAAATGGCCAAGAGTGCATGAGAAAAATGCTAGAACATAAAAATATAAGTAAATTAGAAAGCATAATACTGCAACATATTAACCATATTACAGTTGCAATTACATTTGTTAGAATCCCATTTTATTTTAAAATACAAATTTAATAATTAAACATAATGAGAGCTATAAAAATAGAAAATATATTGAGTGACATTACATAAAATAATAAATGCTTATTTTAACAAGGCATAATTCATAATTATTAGATAATCTTAAAGCATGTTAGAGGAAACTTATCCTCATTAGCAACTCACAACAGAGTACCAAAATTATATGAATGAGTTAATGTTAGTAGAAAGCACATGACTTACTTATAGATAGTAATAGCCAGATTTTAACTCTTAGTCTAATATAAATTATCTTAAAAAATTAATTAATTTTATGGGGAGGAGCCAAGATGGCCGAATAGGAACAGCTCCAGTCTACAGCTCCCAGCCTGAGCAACGAAGAAGACGGGTGATTTCCGCATTTCCATGTGAGGTACCGGGTTCATCTCACTAGGGAGTGCCAGACAGTGGGCGCAGGTCAGTGGGTGTGCGCACCGTGCCTGAGCCGAAGCAGGGCGAGGCATTGCCTCAACTGGGAAGCGCAAGGGGTCAGAGAGTTCCCTTTCTGAGTCAAAGGAAGGGGTGATGGACGGCACCTGGAAAATCGGGTCACTCCCACCCGAATACTGTGTTTTTCTGACGGGCTTAAAAAATGGCGCACCACGAGATTATATCCCGCACCTGGCTCGGAGGGTCCTACGCCCACGGAGTCTGGCTGATTGCTAGCACAGCAGTCTGAGATCAAACTGCAAGGCAGCAGCCAGGCTGGGGGAGGGGTGCCCGCCATTGCCCAGGCTTGATTAGGTAAACAAAGCAGCCAGGAAGCTCCAACTGGGTGGAGCCCACCACAGCTCAAGGAGGCCTGCCTGCCTCTGTAGGCTCCACCTCTGGGGGCAGGACAAAGACAAACAAAAAGACAGCAGTAACCTCTGCAGACTTAAATGTCCCTGTCTGACAGCTTTGAAGAGAGCAGTGGTTCTCCCAGCACGCAGCTGGAGATCTGAGAATGGGCAGACTGCCTCCTCAAGTGGGTCCCTGATCCCTGACCCCCGAGCAGCCTAACTGGGAGACACCCCCCAGCAAGGGCACACTGACACCTCACACGGCAGGGTACTCCAACAGACCTGCAGCTGAGGGTCTTCTCTGTTAGAAGGAAAACTAACAAACAACAGAAAGGACATCCACACCAAAAACCCACCTGTACATCATACATCACCATCATCAAAGACCAAAAGTAGATAAAAACCACAAAGATGGGGAAAAAACAGAAAAGAAAAACTGGAAACTCTAAAAAGCAGAGCACCTCTCCTCCTCCAAATGAACGCAGTTCCTCACCAGCAATGGAACAAAGCTGGATGGAGAATGACTTTGACAAGCTGAGAGAAGAAGGCTTCAGACAATCAAATTACTCTGAGCTACGGGAGGACATCCAAACCAAAGGCAAAGAAGTTGAAAACTTTGAAAAAAATTTGGAAGAATGTATAACTAGAATAACCAATACAGAGAAGTGCTTAAAGGAGCTGATGGAGCTGAAAACCAAGGCCTGAGAACTATGTGAAGAATGCAGAAGCCTCAGGAGCCGATGCAATCAACTGGAAGAAAGGGTATCAGCAATGGAAGATGAAATGAATGAAATGAAGTGAGAAGGGAAGTCTAGAGAAAAATGAATAAAAAGAAATGAGCAAAGCCTCCAAGAAATATGGGACTATGTGAAAAGACCAAATCTACGTCTGATTGGTGTACCTGAAAGTGATGGGGAGAATGGAACCAAGTTGGAAAACACTCTGCAGGATATTATCCAGGAGAACTTCCCCAATCTAGCAAGGCAGGCCAACGTTCAGATTCAGGAAATACAGAGAATGCCACAAAGATACTCCTCGAGAAGAGCAACTCCAAGACACATAATTGTCAGATTCACCAAAGTTGAAATGAAGGAAAAGATGTTAAGGGCAGCCAGAGAGAAAGGTCGGGTTACCCTCAAAGGGAAGCCCATCAGACTAACAGCGGATCTCTCGGCAGAAACCCTACAAGCCAGAAGAGAGTGGGGGCCCAATATTCAACACTCTTAAAGAAAAAAGAATTTTCAACCCAGAATTTCATATCCAGCCAAACTAAGCTTCATAAGTGAAGGAGAAATAAAATATTTTACAGACAAGCAAATGCTGAGAGATTGTGTCACCACCAGGCCTGCCTTACAAGAGCTCCTGAAGGAAGCACTAAACATGGAAAGGAACAACTGGTACCAGCCACTGCAAAATCATGCCAAAATGTAAAGACCATCGAGACTAGGAAGAAACTGCATCAACTAACGAGCAAAATAACCAGCTAACATCATCATGACAGGATCAAATTCACACATAACAATATTAACTTTAAATGTAAATGGACTAAATGCTCCAATTAAAAGACACAGACAGGCAAATTGGATGAGTCAAGACCCATCAGTGTGCTGTATTCAGGAAACCCATCTCATATGCAGAGACACACATAGGCTCAAAATAAAAGGATGGAGGAAGATCTACCAAGCCAATGGAAAACAAAAAAAGGCAGGGGTTGCAATCCTAGTCTCTGATAAAACAGACTTTAAACCAACAAAGATCAAAAGAGACAAAGAAGGCCATTACATAATGGTAAAGGGATCAATTCAACAAGAAGAGCTAACTATCCTAAATATATATGCACCCAATACAGGAGCACCAAGATTCATAAAGCAAGTCCTGAGTAACCTACAAAGAGACTTAGACTCCCACACATTAATAATGGGAGACTTTAACACCCCACTGTCAACATTAGACAGATCAACGAGACAGAAAGTCAACAAGGATACCCAGGAATTGAACTCAGCTCTGCACCAAGCAGACCTAATAGACATCTACAGAACTCTCCACCCCAAATCAACAGAATATACATTTTTTTCAGCACCACACCACACCTATTCCAAAATTGACCACATACTGGGAAGTAAAGCTGTCCTCAGCAAATGTAAAAGAACAGAAATTATAACAAACTAAACTATCTCTCAGACCACAGTGCAATCAAACTAGAACTCAGGGTTAAGAATCTCACTCAAAACCACTCAACTACATGGAAACTGAACAACCTGCTCCTGAATGACTACTGGGTACATAATGAAATGAAGGCAGAAATAAAGATGTTCTTTGAAACCAACGAGAACAAAGACACAACATACCAGAATCTCTGGGATGCATTCAAAGCAGTGTGTAGAGGGAAATTTATAGCACTAAATGCCCACAAGAGAAAGCAGGAAAGATCCAAAACTGACACCCAAAATCACAATTGAAAGAACTAGAAAAGCAAGAGCAAACACATTCAAAAGCTAGCACAAGGCAAGAAATAACTAAAATCAGAGCAGAACTGAAGGAAATAGAGACACAAAAAACCCTTCAAAAAATTAATGAATCCAGGAGCTGGTTTTTTGAAAGGATCAACAAAATTGATAGACCGCTAGCAAGACTAATAAAGAAAAAAAGAGAGAAGAATCGAATAGACGCAGTAAAAAATGATAAAGGGGATATCACCACCGATCCCACAGAAATACAAACTACCATCAGAGAATACTACAAACACCTCTATGCAAATAAACTAGAAAATCTAGAAGAAATGGATAAATTCCTCGACACATACACTCTCCCAAGACTACACCAGGAAGAAGTTGAATCTCTGAATAGACCAATAACAGGAGCTGAAATTGTGGCAATAATCAATAGTTTACCAACCAAAAAGAGTCCAGGACCAGATGGATTCACAGCCGAATTCTACCAGAGGTAAAAGGAGGAACTGGTACCATTCCTTCTGAAACTATTCCAATCAATAGAAAAAGAGGGAATCCTCCCTCACTCATTTTATGAGGCCAGCATCATTCTGATACCAAAGCCAGGCAGAGACACAACAAAAAAAGAGAATTTTAGACCAATATCCTTGATGAACATTGATGCAAAAATCCTCAATAAAATACTGGCAAAACGAATCCAGCAGCACATCAAAAAGCTTATCCACCATGATCAAGTGGGCTTCATCCCTGGGATGCAAGGCTGGTTCAATATATGCAAATCAATCAATGTAATCCAGCATATAAACAGAGCCAAAGACAAAAACCACATGATTATCTCAATAGATGCAGAAAAAAAAAGCCTTTGACAAAATTCAACAACCCTTCATGCTAAAAACTCTCAATAAATTAGGTATTGACGGAACGTATTTCAAAATAATAAGAGCTATCTATGACAAACCCACAGCCAATATCATACAGAATGGGCAAAAACTGGAAGCATTCCCTTTGAAAACTGGCACAAGACAGGGATGCCCTCTCTCACCACTCCTAGTCAACATAGTGTTGGAAGTTCTGGCCAGGGCAATTAGGCAGGAGAAGGAAATAAAGGGTATTCAATTAGGAAAAGAGGAAGTCAAATTGTCCCTGTTTGCAGACGACATGATTGTATATCTAGAAAACCCCATTGTCTCAGCCCAAAATCTCCTGAAGCTGATAAGCAACTTCAGCAAAGTCTCAGGATACAAAATCAATGTACAAAAATCACAAGCATTCTTATACACCAACAACAGACAAACAGAGAGCCAAATCATGAGTGAACTCCCATTCACAATTGCTTCAAAGAGAATACAATACCTAGGAATCCAACTTACAAGGGATGTGAAGGACCTCTTCAAGCAGAACTACAAACCACTGCTCAAGGAAATAAAAGAGGATACAAACAAATGGAAGAACATTCCATGCTCATGGGTAGGAAGAATCAATATTGTGAAAATGGCCATACTGCCCAAGGTAATTTACAGATTCAATGCCATCCCCATCAAGCTACCAATGACTTTCTTCACAGAATTGGAAAAAACTACTTTAAAGTTCATATGGAACCAAAAAGGAGCCCGCATTGCCAAGTCAATCCTAAGCCAAAAGAACAAAGCTGGAGGCATCACACTACCTGACTTCAAACTATACTACAAGGCTACAGTAACCAAAACAGCATGGTACTGGTACCAAAACAGAGATATAGATCAATGGAACAGAACAGAGCCCTCAGAAATAATGCCGCATATCTACAACTATCTTATCTTTGACAAACCTGAGAAAAACAAGCAATGGGGAAAGGATTCCCTATTTAATAAATGGTGCTGGGAAAACTGGCTAGCCATATGTAGAAAGCTGGAACTGGATCCCTTCCTTACACCTTATACAAAAATCAATTCAAGATGGATTAAAGACTTAAACGTTAGACCTAAAACCATAAAAACCCTAGAAGAAAACCTAGGCATTACCATTCAGGACATAGGCATGGGCAAGGACTTCATGTCTAAAACACCAAAAGCAATGGCAACAAAAGACAAAATTGACAAATGAAATCTAATTAAACTAAAGAGCTTCTGCACAGCAAAAGAAACTACAATCAGAGTGAACAGGCAACCTACAAAATGGGAGAAAATTTTCGCAACCTACTCATCTGACAAACGGCTAATATCCAGAATCTACAATGAACTCAAACAAATTTACAAGAAAAAAACAAACAACCCCATCAAAAAGTGGGCAAAGGACATGAACAGACACTTCTCAAAAGAAGACATTTCTGCAGCCAAAAAACACATGAAAACATGCTCATCATCACTGGCCATCAGAGAAATGCAAATCAAAACCACAATGAGATACCATCTCACACCAGTTTGAATGGCAATCATTAAAAAGTCAGGGAACAACAGGTGCTGGAGAGGATGTGGAGAAATAGGAACATTTTTACACTGTTGTTGGGACTGTAGACTAGTTCTACCATTGTGGAAGTCAGTGTGGCGATTCCTCAGGGATCTAGAACTGGAAATACCATTTGACCCAGCCATCCCATTACTGGGTATATACCCAAAGGACTATAAATCATGCTGCTATAAAGACATATGCACCCGTATGTTTATTGCAGCATTATTCACAATAGCAAAGACTTGGAACCAACCCAAATGTCCAACAATGATAGACTGGATTAAGAAAATGTGGCACATATATATCATGGAATACTATGCAGCCGTAAAAAATGATGAGTTCATGTCCTTTGTAGGGACATGGATGAAATTGGAAATCATCATTCTCAGTAAACTATCACAAGAACAAAAAACCAAACACCGCATATTCTCACTCATAGGTGGGAATTGAACAATGAGATCACATGGACACAGGAAGGGGAATATCACACTCTGGGGACTGTTGTGGGGTGGGGGGAGGGGGGAGGGATAGCATCGGGAGATATACCTAATGCTAGATGACGAGTTAGTGGGTGCAGCGCACCAGCATGTCACATGTATACATATGTAAGTAACCTGCACAATGTGCACATGTACCCTAAAACTTAAAAAAATAATAATAATTATTATATGTATTTAAGATTAATATGCTTTCTTTCACCTGACATTTGGTCAATTTTGTTAATTTCTTTATTAAAAAGTTTAAAAATATATTTGGAAAAAAAATTAATTTTATAATGGTGTTATAAATTTCATGAGTAACATAAGTCTAGGAGAATAAATATTTTCCATTTCTATACATATGCATCTGCTTAATAAAACATTAAATTTGTAGGTATTTAATAAATCTTGAAAATAAGGGTTTACATGAGTGGAAAAAGATGGTATTTTTCTTTTTATGTATAATGGAAAGAGGGCAGTTACCACGGAACTGAAAAAGCAATTGAAGTTAGCAAAATTATAATATTGATTTGGCATTTCACTATTACTATGACCAAGTATAGGTCTCAGCTTTCTAGAATGAGTAAGTTTTCACAGGATTTGCCACAACAGGAGGGCAGAGAGTCAGGAAAAGAGGGAGTAAGAATAAAAGAAAAAGAAAATCTCCCCATGTATATAGTAATAGTTATTTATATAACTTAGTATACAAAATTAAGTAGACAGAATGTGTTTAAATTATGCTTATTAAAAGTAAGAAAACTTTCAACAAGTTAGACTATTTTTCTATATTTGACATTTTGATATAAGGGCCAAGTTTATGTGTGTGCACGTGTGCATGTGCATGTGTATAATTTTTGAATGCTAAAGTTAGAAAGAAAGCAGGCCTTGTCTGCATTTACCCAATACTGTATTCTTGGAAAAAATCAGCATATATTAAAACAATGCAAAAATGAGTTATGTTTTATTGTAAAAATGCAATCTGATTCTAAAATTAGATATTTAAAAAAAATCCGACCTCATGACTCGCTGTGGGTCATTAAAAATTTGAGAACATAAAAGTCTTAATAATGTTCTACCAACTTATGACCTTTAAACATTTAGCATTAAAAGCTCATGCCTAGAACATCTCCACAATAATTATGACAAGTGAAAATACCTCCATGCCTTTATACAATGTGCCTTTGTGGAAAGCACAGCTCCATTGAGAAACATGCCCTAGATTCTGAGTTTACTCTTGAAAAAGAATATTGTATTATTTTCTATAAGTAATTGAATATGAGTATCCTTCTATATAAAGCAGTATGAAATAACAGTAACATATATTTTTAATATGGCTGTGTATAATCATATAAATTTATATTGATATAGTTTTATTTTTGAAAATTGAAACATGTTATTAGCTGGTTCCGTTATATTTCAAACATGCTAGCCTGAAAAATCACACAAAGTATGAGGAAGAAACAATAAGTAGAGAGTAAGAAAGAGATGAATAAAAATGATCTATGCTACGTTGAAAGAAAAAAAGTAGTTTTAAAAGGGTATGCATTTGTTTCATTTTTGATAAATGTTTTAGGTAATTGTAAATCCTCATAGACACAGAAAATATAAATGTGGCAAAATATTATTAATATTGTGTTTTTGTTTCAGTACTTCTGGATAAAATATAGAATTGGGAACTATTTCTTTCCTTTATGATTGATTTGACAGGGAAATAACTTAGTCTAAGGCTTTGCATACACTGATTATAGATTTCAGAGTGAGTAATTTCAGAAAGGATTTAAATAATTCTGATTCTTCTTTTCCTGTGTGTTTCTTCCATTACGACAGTTGCAAGCTCCTACGAAGCTCCCACTCAAAAAGAAAAAAAAAACAAAACCTGAAATCTGAGTGAGTCTCTACTCTTTCCTTAGTAAACTAAAAGAACAGCCATTGTTACAGTTTCTTTGTGACACAGGCCTCAGGCAGAGCGGAACAATGACCAATATTCCTCAGCACAACAATAGTACATCATTGTGCTTAGAGGACAAGACCAAATCCTCCCTAACAGAGAGAATATTCTTTCTCCAATATGCCATTTTGCTGCAGAGAGAAAGTAAGGTATTAGACAGAGGTGCTAAGTTAATAGACTACTAAGTAAGAAAGCCTGCTGATCTGCTCTTGAATAAGAAAGCGTTGGATTAGAATTTGGTTCATCTCCATTGGCTAAATTTCATGACCCACCTTAAGCCTTCACTTCTCTGCAAAAGCAAACACACCCTTGTCCTCCTGACAGAGGCATATGATGTTAGGTGAGAATGACAATTTTAAAGCAATCATGAAGCAACAGTTTCTCCTGTGAATAGGGAGTGATTTGTCAAGAAGAAGGGATATACGTTTTCAGATGGAACCTTCTGAAGAGGAGGAGTGTGTGTGTATGTGTAAATACAAGTGTGAACATGAAGAAAGGATAATAAAGTGAAGAGTGGAAATACACATATGTCTAATGTGTATACACATAAATACATGGATACACATGTCTAAATGGCCTTCAGTTTTGAGCTGTCTTTCCTTACATACAGCAATAAAAATTTGATTTTGTGAGAACTTTATTCTTCCTAACCTTGAATTTTCTACAGGTATTGCTCTACACTTTCAGACTTTCATATAATTTTATATGTGCATATCACTTCTCTGTATTTACATTTTTCTAAAGAGAAGTGGTGGCTAGATGATAATCTTTTGGGTTCATTTCTTTGAGAGATAGGAATCATTATTCCCTTGTGTGAGCTATAACCTAGAATCTCCAATGACTTTGGGTAACAGTAGAGATACCCCATCTCAGTATGATAGCTATTAGTATAGTAGACAGTATATAGAAAAATATGCATGAGAGGAAGCAAGATTAAACCTTAATTATGCCCTTGAAAGAGCCAAAGAGAAAAATAATGGACCGATCTACAATTGAGTTACAGAAAATAACATGCAGTGATAATCCTTCAATCTTTTGGGCATATTACACAAAAGTTCATTTTTGAGTCAGTAATCACCTGCCATGTCTATTTCTCTCTTTTTTTTTTCTTCTCCAAATCCTGGATATTTCGTATTCTACTTATTCTGACCCCAGAGCATTCTCTTTTTTTTCATCTTCTATTTCCTTCCACTCTCTATCCCTTCCCTTGAAAACTAAAAATGGAAAAATAAAAGCAAACAAAAATAAAACATTTCTATTTTTCTATTTCTTGTTTTCATTTTTTTCTTGTAAATAAGAAATCGATATCTTTGTTACTTTTGTTGATCGGGGTTACACAATTTTTTGGGGGCTTACTTAATATCCAACTATACTGACATTTATATTGACATCTATCACTGCTCAGGTAAGGGTCAAGTGTATTGACAAGAACTCAGAAAGTTCATTTAGGAGAGCCAACAGATGGAATTGCATATATAAGGATAAGGAAACACAAATACTGCCACAGTGAACTAAAGCCTAGGAGGTGCATAACTCTGCAGGGATGAGCTCAGGACAATTCCCATATGGACAAAAAGTCTTTCTGGAGACTATGAAGGTCTAGAGTTGGCAAATTCAGAAAACAACACACTGTCAGTACTAGATTTGGAAACATCAGTGACAGGTTTCAAAACTTTTACAAAATAGCTTCATACACTTAATGAAACATGGCACATACAGGAAAAAGAGAGCAAGTAAAACATACTTTATAAAGATTATGATGTAATAACATTATTTTTATACCTTAAATTTTATACCTTAAATTCACACAATAAATTTATCCTGAAAAATAAAGATTATTCCATTTAACTTCACAAAAAATTTATTACCTCTATCAGAATCTCATTATATAAGCAGTTTGGAAAATAAATAATGCTCATTTTTAAGTAATAAAATACCATAGATGGGTTTTCTGCTCACTACAGTGTCCCAGTTTATAATTAAGTGTTTCTTACTGGTGGCAAATTAGTGGGTAAAATCACCTGCCTACTCTGTGAGCCTGATGTAGGATGAGTTCTGGCTTGGAATTAATAAAATACCCAGAATCAAACTTTAACTCTCTAGCCCACCCAGTTCCTAAGCCAACTAAAGACTGAGTGGATCCAACACGGAGACTGCTATCCTTACTATAAATTTACAGGAACGCGGACGGGCATTCTTACATGTAGTTCCTATTCACTTCTCAAGTCACTTAACTAAAAAGAATAATTCTGGTCTTGCAAGTATTCCATGTTACTACCCTGGAGAATGTCAGAGTCCAACTATCTGCATGCTGCAATTGAGCCTTTTTTGTTTTTGTACAGAGCAGGCACAGATATTGCCCACTTTATCAAATACTATTTGAGTAGTTTATTATTACTTACATCACAGGGAAAGAAGGATTTAAAACTATGGATGACTTCTAAACATGGGGACTAGAAAAAGTCTAGTAATTTGTCTTCTACTTCTTTAGGATCTATCATGTGATAAAGTTCTCAATCATTTTTTTAAAATTTAAGGAATTATCCTATAACCATATACACATTTTTTATAGCAAATGGTCATTACCAGGTGCTCCAAATTTAATCATTTTAATCATTTTGGGTTTATATGCTTTGACAGCTGGTGGGACTATTCAGTCCTAACCTATGTGTCATTGACCCGTTTTGCTTTTTGGAAGAACTCCTCCAAATTATTTTTTGGAAAATTCTTTGCTTGATTTTCTATATTATTTTCTGCATGCTTTCACACACATCAAATTGTGAGAAGGTCACTTGCTCCTAATCACATGACAGTGATTATGAAGCACTGCAAATACATGCCTTTTTATCTGAAATGGCAAATTTCTCATTGTATATCATGAATAACCTTTAATGTTAATCACAAAAAACTTTGTACTACTTCTAATTAACACTCTCCACAACCAGGTATATAAAGTTAAAACTATTACTTAGTTTCAATTCTAGGATAATAATTATATTAAAGATGCATATATTTACAATACTCCCCTCAAGATATTTCAGATGCATAAACCAATTATCAGCTCTGGTCCCTTGTCCTTGGAAATCTAAGTAAGTTAAAACCTATTATGTACATGGTGAAATATCCAGCCTTCTTTATCATTTTTTTGTTTGTTTGGTTTGGTTTGGTTTTTGGTTTTATATTCACCTCTTGGTCTAAGTTTTTGCTTCCATGGAATTAATGCATTTTGGTAATCATTTTACTAGCCTATGTATGCACTAGTTGATATTAAGTTGTATCAAATTATAAAACACTTCCTGCATGCTAATAACTTCTGGGAATTCTTTTCTCAAGAACTTTCTGTAAAATCATTAGTTTGAGTTAATAACTATTAATAATATGATCATAAAAACCAGGTTTCTGCAGCAAGCCTCAGCTAGTAAAAAACAAGATATATTCTCCATGAAATTTTCACATAAATGTATATGCATATAATAAGAAAGAGTACCATCAGTACCAGCAAATCAAACCAAATGCCAAGACATGTACTTATGGAATTATTTTGAAATGATTTTGCAGCACAGAGGTCTTGTGATACTGGTATAGTCAAATTAGAATGTCAGAATGTGAATATTTGTTTCTCTGGTGAAATGCTAAAGCAATTTAAGCCAAGATGCTACAGATATTCAACTACATTTTTGTAAGTTGGATTTTTCTGTCACTGTTTTAACATTTTTATGATTGTACAATAAGTTTTATTTGTAACATAGGCAGTCCATAACAAAGAAAGGGAAAAAAGATGTATTGACCCAAACTGCTTCAGATGTAGATTGACTGAGGAGAATTGAACTCATGGACTTGTCTAATAGCGACATATTGCTAAAACATTAAATACTTATCCATGGTGTGCCAGATTTCAGTTTACACACACCTACAAACACAAATTCTAAAGTCTCAGTTGACAAAGAAGGAACAAAACCCCTAACTACTGTCAGCTGGCAACTGGCCTATGACTAAGATATAGAACATGGTGTTCTCCTGATGACGACAGATACTTCTATGGAAAATTAATATCAAAAAAGATCATTCTGTTACTATGACAAGAGACACAAAAACAAGGCAAACGAATAATCATGCCAAAATATGCAAAAACAACCCCTTGAAAACCACAAAATTGACCACATATCTTTATTGCTTAGTTTATTGTTTTTTCCAAATGCAACTTAGCCCTGCTTTAATTCTCCCATTTCTACATAAAGGAAGGCATATTGACCCTGCTTTCAGGCAGTACTTAACCTAAACCAAGATCATGCTCCCTTAAGCCTTTTACCAATATCATTTAGCACAGGCCTAAATCTCCTCAACATCTTCTCTTTAACATGCCCCATAATATCTTAGGTGTGTTCCTGGTAGCCTTGACTGGTAAAGTTCTCTACATGTTTTTAAGATAGTCCCTAAATCCCATCATCAAGGTCCAAAATCAAATGTATTAAAACGTTTTCTAGCCACCATGTTAAAATGTTAGATGTGGGGTTGGGGAGTAAATTATAAAATGCCAGTACAATTTTTTTCTTTCCCTTCACTCATTCTCTTTGATACAGTCATCTCAAATGGATCTCAGATGGCTCTGTGACTTGTTTTGGCTAATGAGACATTACCAGTATGACATAAAATGACCCTTGTAAAATACTTCTGCTTGGGGGGTGTGCTCTTGATGTTTTTGGAATCCACTTGCCAGGTAAGGAAGCCTAGGCTACCCTGCCTTCAGGATAATGGACGTGACCAAGTTATCCTCATTACTTCAGCTAACATTGGGACAATCACTAGATATGTGCATTAGGTCATCCATATTGTCCAGTTGCAGTACAGTCAATTGGAAAGAACAATTGAGTTAATCCAGAGTAATAGAACCACCCAACTAAACCAGAGGATTGTGAGAAATAATACACGTTTGTGTTTAAACCCACTAGTAATTTGGGAACTGTTTGTTACATAAAGAATCTGACTGATGATAAGCAAGAGTGTCCATTATGAAGAGACCCATTTAATATGAAAAAGTCTTGAGTAAAGTCTATCCTTCTATTTACATAGAATAGAAATTATCAGCCCGAGAATGAGATGTCCCTAATGCATAAAGAGTTCTGCTAAGGAAATGAAGCATGTTCTTCAAGCAAGAAAGAAACTCTTTTCTGGATTACAGTTATTCTGACAGCCACAGGCCTCACAGAACTAGCATAGCCAAGATTTACACTTCAAAGGTAATATATGAAGCAGTAATATGTCACCTGATGATAATGCATATTCCTTTGTGTACTTGATCTTAGTGATATTAAATCCTTTTTTATATACACATGCAAATAAACTATGCCATGGTTAAATTTTGCTGTAAAATGTCCAATTGTTCAAGTGATTAGGAAAAGGTTATAATTTCTTAAGACCATATCAACACATTAACTCATTTTTTTCCTAGGAATAGAATAAAAAAATACATGACTATTATTTGTTTTAGTTTGCCTTATTTATTAATTATTTATTTTTGAGACAGTCTTGCTCTGTCACCCTGGCTGGAGTGCAGTGATAGGATCATAATTCACTGCAGTCTTGAACTCCTGGACTCAGGTGACCCTCCCACTTCAGCCTCCCAAGTAGCTGGGATTACAGGCATTCACCACAACACTGAGCCAGTTTCTAAATTTTTTGTAGAGATGAGTCTTGATATTTTGCCCAGGCTGGTCTTGAACTCCGGGGCTTAAGTGATTTTCCTGCCTTGGCTTCCCAAAGTGATTAGATTACAGGCATGAGCCACTTGGTGTGGCCGTGATTGTTACTTATAACTGCAACTATAAGATAATTTATATATTTAAATTTTCAAAGGAGATAAAATGTTTGTGTGAAAAACTGATAATACCTAATCAGTGAATAGACAAATAGTAAAAGCTCACTTTTAAGGTTTTAATGACCATGTTGTATGTTGTTTGCCCTTTTTATAGGCCACGTTGCTCTGGCTAAATGTCCTCAGTTTTACTGGTAATTGCAATAAGACAAAGAATAACAACAACACAAACTTAGCCTCTTAATATATTCTAATAATTTGATAATCTTGAAAATGTTATTCTAGTATATTATTGTAAAATCACTCAGGTGAATAAGGTTTTAACTTCATTAATCTGGACTATGTTTTGCTGGGAAAATCTAAGACAAAACCCACTGATGTTTCCTGTTACTGACACCAGGATTACACCAGGATTTTCTCTCTTATCATAGAGTTGCAATCCTCTTACACAGAGAGGTATTCTAGTGCTCTTTCACAAGACATAGCATGTGCCATAGCTTATCTTTAATTTTCACATTTCAAAAATTCAATTCAAGTACCTGAGGTTGTCAGATTAGTTTTCTTATGGTCAACCAAAACAAACTCATAAATTGCAAGAACAACAAACAACAGATTTGAGTTAGAAGAAGACTAATTTGGCTAACTTAAGTGCCAAGAAAATATGCTTGAAATTTGGTTCTGGGAGCCAAGATGGCTGAATAGGAACAGCACCAGTCTACAGCTCCCAGCATGAGCGACGCAGAAGACGGGTGATTTCTGCATTTCCGTCTGAGGTACCGGGTTCATCTCACTCGGGAGTGCCAGACAGTGGGCGCAGATAATTGGGTGCACCCACCGTGCACGAGCCGAAGCAGGGCGAGGCATTGCCTCACTTGGGAAGCGCAAGGGGTCAGGGAGTTCCCTTTCTGAGTCAAAGAAAGGGGTGAGGGACAGCACCTGGATAATCTGGTCACTCCCACCCGAATACTGCGCTTTTCCAACGGGCTTAAAAAACGGCACACCACGAGATTATATCCCACACCTGGCTCGGAGGGTCCTACGCCCACGGAGTCTCGCTGATTGCTAGCACAGCAGTCTGAGATCAAACTGCAAGGCACAGCGAGGCTAGGGGAGGGGTGCCCGCCATTGCCCAGGCTTGATTAGGAAAACAAAGCAGCCAGGAAGCTCCAACTGGGTGGAGCCCACCACAGCTCAAGGAGGCCTGCCTGTCTCTGTAGGCTACACCTCTGGGGGCAGGGCACAGACAAACAAAAAGACAGCAGTAACCTCTGCAGACTTAAATGTCCCTGTCTGACAGCTTTGAAGAGAGCAGTGGTTCTCCCAGCACGCAGCTGGAGATCTGAGAATCGGCAGACTGCCTACCCAAGTGGGTCCCTAACCCCTGACCCCCGAGCAGCCTAACTGGGAGGCACCCCCCAGCAGGGGCACACTGACACCTCACACGGCAGGGTACTCCAACAGACCTGCAGCTGAGGGTCCTCTCTGTTAGAAGGAAAACTAACAAACAGAAAGGACATCCACACCAAAAACCCATCTATACATCACCATCATCAAAGACCAAAAGTAGATAAAACCACAAAGATGCGGAAAAAACAGAACAGAAAAACTGAAAACTCTACAAAGCAGAGCGCCTCTCCTCCTCCAAAGGAATGCAGTTCCTCACCAGCAATGGAACAAAGCTG
The DNA here is from genome assembly GCF_000001405.40 of Homo sapiens. Taxonomy (NCBI): domain Eukaryota; kingdom Metazoa; phylum Chordata; class Mammalia; order Primates; family Hominidae; genus Homo; species Homo sapiens. The sequence continues at coordinate 42,958,251 of NC_000014.9, read as the reverse complement.
GATGGAGAATGACTTTGATGAGCTCAGAGAAGAAGGCTTCAGACAATCAAATTACTCTGAGCTACGGGAGGACATTCAAACCAAAGGCAAAGAAGTTGAAAACTTTGAAAAAAATTTAGAAGAATGTATAACTAGAATAACCAATACAGAGAAGTGCTTAAAGGAGCTGATGGAGCTGAAAACCAAGGCCTGAGAACTACGTGAAGAATGCAGAAGCCTCAGGAGCCGATGCGATCAACTGGAAGAAAGGGTATCAGCAATGGAAGATGAAATGAATGAAATGAAGTGAGAAGGGAAGTTTAGAGAAAAAAGATAAAAAGAAATGAGCAAAGCCTCCAAGAAATATGGGACTATGTGAAAAGACCAAATCTATGTCTGATTGGTGTACCTGAAAGTGATGGGGAGAATGGAACCAAGTTGGAAAACACTCTGCAGGATATTATCCAGGAGAACTTCCCCAATCTAGCAAGGCAGGCCAACGTTCAGATTCAGGAAATACAGAGAACACCACAAAGATACTCCTCAAGAAGAGCAACTCCAAGACACATAATTGTCAGATTCACCAAAGTTGAAATGAAGGAAAAGATGTTAAGGGCAGCCAGAGAGAAAGGTCGGGTTACCCTCAAAGGGAAGCCCATCAGACGAACAGCAGAACTCTCAGCAGAAACCCTACCAGCCAGAAGAGAGTGGGGGCCAATATTCAACACTCTTAAAGAAAAGAATTTTCAACCCAGAATTTCATATCCAGCCAAACTAAGCTTCATAAGTGAAGGAGAAATAAAATCCTTTACAGACAAGCAAATGCTGAGAGATTTTGTCACTACCAGGCCTGCCCTAAAAGAGCTCCTGAAGGAAGCACTAAACATGGAAAGGAACAAATGGTACCAGCCGCTGCAAAATCATGCCAAAATGTAAAGACCATCGAGACTAGGAAGAAACTGCATCAACTAACGAGCAAAATAACCAGTTAACATCATCATGACAGGATCAAATTCACACATAACAGTATTAACTTTAAATGTAAATGGACTAAATGCCCCAATTAAAAGACACAGACTGGCAAATTGGATAAAGAGTCAAGACCCATGAGCGTGCTGTATTCAGGAAACCCATCTCAAGTGCAGAGACACACATAGGCTCAAAATAAAAGGATGGAGGAAGATCTACCAAGCCAATGGAAAACAAAAAAAGGCAGGGGTTGCAATCCTAGTCTCTGATAAAACAGACTTTAAACCAACAAAGATCAAAAGAGACAAAGAAGGCCATTACATAATGGTAAAGGGATCAGTTAAACAAGAAGAGCTAACTATCCTAAATATATATGCACCCAATACAGGAGCACCCAGATTCATAAAGCAAGTCCTGAGTGACCTACAAAGAGACTTAGACTCCCAGACATTAATAATGGGAGACTTTAGCACCCCACTGTCAACATTAGACAGATCAACGAGACAGAAAGTCAACAAGGATACCCAGGAATTGAACTCAGCTCTGCACCAAGCGGACCTAATAGACATCTACAGAACTCTCCACCCCAAATCAACAGAATATACACTTTTTTTCAGCACCACACCACACCTATTCCAAAATTGAACACATACTTGGAAGTAAAGCTCTCCTCAGCAAATGTAAAAGAACAGAAATTATAACAAACTATCTCTCAGACCACAGTGCAATCAAACTAGAACTCAGGGTTAAGAATCTCACTCAAAACCGCTCAACTACATGGAAACTGAACAACCTGCTCCTGAATGACTACTGGGTACATAACGAAATGAAGGCAGAAATAAAGATGTTCTTTGAAACCAATGAGAACAAAGACACAACATACCAGAATCTCTGGGACACATTCAAAGCAGTATGTAGAGGGAAATTTATAGCACTAAATGCCCACAAGAGAAAGCAGGAAAGATCCAAAATTGACACCCTAACATCACAATTAAAAGAACTAGAAAAGCAAGAGCAAACACATTCAAAAGCTAGCAGAAGGCAAGAAATAACTAAAATCAGAGCAGAACTGAAGGAAATAGAGACACAAAAAACCCTTCAAAAAATTAATGAATCCAGGAGCTGGTTTTTTGAAAGGATCAACAAAATTGATAGACCACTAGCAAGACTAATAAAGAAAAAAAGAGAGAAGAATCAAATAGACGCAATAAAAAATGATAAAGGGGATATCACCACCGATCCCACAGAAATACAAACTATTCAAATTGTCCCTGTTTGAAGATGACATGACTGTATATCTAGAAAACCCCATTGTCTCAGCCCAAAATCTCCTGAAGCTGATAAGCAACTTCAGCAAAGTCTCAGGATACAAAATCAATGTACAAAAATCACAAGCATTCTTATACACCAACAACAGACAAACAGAGAGCCAAATCATGAGTGAACTCCCATTCACAATTGCTTCAAAGAGAATACAATACCTAGGAATCCAACTTACAAGGGATGTGAAGGACCTCTTCAAGCAGAACTACAAACCACTGCTCAAGGAAATAAAAGAGGATACAAACAAATGGAAGATCATTCCATGCTCATGGGTAGGAAGAATCAATATCATGAAAATGGCCATAATGCCCAAGGTAATTTACAGATTCAATGCCATCCCCATGAAGCTACCAATGCCTTCCTTCACAGAATTGGAAAAAACTACTTTAAAGTTCATATGGAACCAAAAAAGAGCCCGCATCGCCAAGTCAATCCTAAGCCAAAAGAACAAAGCTGGAGGCATCACACTACCTGACTTCAAACTATACTACAAGGCTACAGTAACCAAAACAGCATGGTACTGGTACCAAAACAGAGATATAGATCAATGGAAGAGAACAGAGCCCTGAGAAATAACACCGCATATCTACAACTATCTGATCTTTGACAAACCTGAGAAAAACAAGCAATGGGGAAAGGATTCCCTATTTAATAAATGGTGCTGGGAAAACTGGCTAGCCATATGTAGAAAGCTGAAACTGGATCCCTTCCTTACACCTTATACAAAAATCAATTCAAGATGGATTAAAGACTTAAACGTTAGACCTAAAACCATAAAAACCCTAGAAGAAAACCTAGGCATTACCATTCAGGACATAGGCATGGGCAAGGACTTCATGTCTAAAACACCAAAAGCAATGGCAACAAAAGCCAAAATTGACAAATGGGATCTAATTAAACTAAAGAGCTTCTGCACAGCAAAAGAAATTACCATCAGAGTGAACAGGCAACCTACAAAATGGGAGAAAATTTTCGCAACCTACTCATCTGACAAAGGGCTAATATCCAGAATCTACAATGAACTCAAACAAATTTACAAGAAAAAAACAAACAACCCCATCAAAAAGTGGGCAAAGTACATGAACAGACACTTCTCAAAAGAAGACATTTCTGCAGCCAAAAAACACATGAAAAAATGCTCATCATCACTGGCCATCAGAGAAATGCAAATCAAAACCACAATGAGATACCATCTCACACCAGTTAGAATGGCAATCATTAAAAAGTCAGGAAACAACAGGTGCTGGAGAGGATGTGGAGAAATAGGAACACTTTTACACTGTTGGTGGGACTGTAGACTAGTTCTACCATTGTGGAAGTCAGTGTGGCGATTCCTCAGGGATCTAGAACTGGAAATACCATTTGACCCAGCCATCCTATTACTGGGTATATACCCAAAGGACTATAAATCATGCTGCTATAAAGACACATGCACACGTATGTTTATTGCGGCATTATTCACAATAGCAACGACTTGGAACCAACCCAAATGTCCAACAATGATAGACTGGATGAAGAAAATGTGGCACATATATATCATGGAATACTATGCAGCCATAAAAAATGATGAGTTCATGTCCTTTGTAGGGACATGGATGAAATTGGAAATCATCATTCTCAGTAAACTATCGCAAGAACAAAAAACCAAACACCGCATATTCTCACTCGTAGGTGGGAACTGAACAATGAGATCACATGGACACAGGAAGCGGAATATCACACTCTGGGGACTGTGGTGGAGTGGGGGGAGGGGGGAGGGATAGCACTGGGAGATATACCTAATGCTAGATGACGAGTTAGTGGGTGCAGCGCACCAGCATGGCACATGTATACATATGTAACTAACCTGCACAATGTGCACATGTACCCTAAAACTTAAAGTATAATAAAAAAAAAATTCTTGAATATTTTGCTTATCACCAGATGTACCTTTGCAAGGATCATAAACTTACATATAAAAGTAATTCAAGGGGGTATTATTCTGTGTATTTTCTATCAGCAATAAAATACAGAACCATTGGAGGCTGCATGGAATCATGGCGACTTTATTAATAATCATGAATCTTCATTGAATGTGAAGCATCTGGAACACCTCCATACATACATACACACACACACACACACACACACAGTATAAAATATATATTAACATATAAAATATACATAAAATTATACATATATATTTTATATATAATGACAAACTGTATCTTGAAAACTATCTTGTCACTTATTCTTATTTTCATTGCCGTTGTCCATCATCTCTCTTCTGGCTTCTCGAAGTAGACTCAAATGGACTCTCAGGGTTCATCCTTAGTCACTATCATTGATTTTTATTTCAGTTTGGGTTATCTTCCTAAAATATAAATCTGAAGACATTTCTTTCTTACTAAAATTATTCCAGGGTTCCTTCTTACTCTCAGAATGAAGTCCATCCTCTTGGATTTGAGTCCAACTCATTAGCTGCTTCCTTCTTAGTTCTCCAGTGAGAGAGGAGGCAGGTAGAGACTGGTTAGGCAGATAAAGATAGAGGGTCTCAGAAGAGGGACAATGCCTGCACCACTCATGTTATATAGCTAGAAGGAGGAAATGTGGTTAAGAACTTCCTCTTATACCAAGATGCTTGTTCAGAGGGACTTTGTAGCTGCCTGTGCAGGTACACACAAGGACCAAGGGTATCCTAAAATGACCTGGAACTCATTATAATTCCATTAGCATTGTGGTTTTATCCAACTCCTCATGTGTTTCACTTAGGCACTCGTGGGTAATAACCAAGATGGAGTCACTATGGCAAACCCCATGCATGTGTAGATGCAAAACCCCCAAGGGGGATTTTTATCCCTCCTGTTACGGCAGAACCTACAGAAGACTTTCTTGATTCTGCCACATAAAAGACCCAGAACTCAGCCCCATTTTTGGCAACCCTCTTTGGGCCCTGTCTTGCTGCTGAGAGCTTTTCTGTTGCTTAATAAATTCTACTCCACCTTACTCACTCTCTGGTAAGGGACAAGAACATATTATTCTTCTTGGTCGTGGGATAAGAACTCAGACATCCCTAAACTAAGGAGTAAGGAGACTGAAACACCAGCATTATCTCTCATCACACCCTGAATAACAATGCCTTATTCACTTTTCTCACATTATGCACAGTTTCTTGGATTATATTTTGTTTCTTGAACAATTATTTAGCCTTGTTCTTATGTTTTTAACTGTAAAAACTTTTATATCATGATTTGCTCATTAACATTAAAACTTTTTTTAAAAAATTTATTTGTCACAGTATAGCTTCACCAGTCATTTTAAAGTAAATTCATTATAGGTACATGAATTATCCCTTTAATTCACAAACAATCTATCTGTTAAACCCTTTCATAGCTGATACTGTCTAATATATTTATCACTGTCAAAGTATCAGCAAATTAGCTATTTAAAATTATTAAATTAAAAAATAGGTTTTGCTATATATATGTTTTCCTGATCTAACAAGTTTCAGATACTTTAGGGAGAAAATGTTTTCAGGTGCTTTCTAAAATTGCCATTTTTAAAAACTTATATTTCTGGAGATGCATGTGGATTTTTTGAATCCTTGTAATTAAAAGAAAATGGCCCACTTGCATGTAAATGTAAATGTGTTTTTATGATGTTATTCTAATCTGTTTATAACATTTTTGCTCAATTCAGAGTTTTACTCCAATCACCTTCTGAATTATAAATCAGTTTCCAGTGGTTCAAGCTTCCTTTCCTCAAAGAATCAATAATCATTTGAACATGTGTCTATATATTCTCTTTGTCAAATGGGTCAGCTTCCTTATTATTCTTTTAAGATCTCTGTTATCTTCCAACATATCCAAGTTCTATTGTTCAATAGATTCACTTCTGTGCTATGCTCCATCAAAGACTGTAAACACTGATGTTAAAATTTTACACTTTTCATTTCATTCTTCTTTTGTATCTAGCTCATCTCCACTGAAGTTCACTGTACTTTTCTTGTAAAAGTCTTATTAACTTCAACCTTACTGAAGATTTCAAACAATTTTACAAAATGTTTTTACAGTTTCTGCTACAAATGATCTTTATTTTGTAAATGGATTAGAAGAATCAATATAATTAAAACGTTCATACTTCCCAAAGCAATCTACAGATTTAATGCTATTCCTATCAAGCTGGCAGTGTCATTTTCACAGAGCTAGAAAAAGCTATTTTAAATTTCACATGGAACCAAAGGAGCTTGAATAGCCAAAGCAACCCTACACCAAAAAGAACAAGGCTGGAGGCGTCACACTACCTGATTACAAACTATACTGTAAGGCTACAATAAACAAAACATCATGGTACTGGTACAAAAACAGATACATAGACCAATGGAACAGAATAGAGAACCCAGAAATAAAGCTTCACAGCTACAACCATCTGCTTATTGATGAGGTCAACAAAAATAAGCAATAGGAAAAGAATCCCCTATTCAAGAAGTGGTGCTGGTATAACTGGCTAGCCACATGCAGAAGAATGAGACTGGGCTCTCACCTTTCATCGTATGCAAAAATTAACACAAGATAGATTAAAGATTTAAATTTAAGACCTCAAACTCTAAGAATAAGAGGCCAGGTATGGTGGCTCATGCCTTTAATCCCAGCACTGTATCATGGGAGGCAGAGGCAGGCAGATCACCTGAGGTCAGGAGATAGGGACCAACGTGGCTAACATAGTGAAACACAATCTCTACTAGAAATACAAAAATTGGAGAGGTATGGTGGCTCATGCCTGTAATGTCAGCTACTCAAGAGGCTGAGGCTGGAAAATGTCTTGAACCTGGGAGGCAGAGGTTGCAGTGACCTAAGATTATGCCACTGCACTCCAGCCTGGGTGACAGAGTGAAACTCTACTACTACACGCCCCCCTGAACAACAACAACAAAAAGAATCCTAGAAGAAAATATCGAAAATACCATTCTGGACATTGGCCTTGGGAAAGAATTTATGACTGAGTCGTCAAAAGCAATTGCAACAAAAACAAAAATTGACAAGCAGGACTTAAGCAATCAACAGAGTAAACAACCATCCTACAAAAGGGGAGAAAATAGTTTCAAACTATACATCCCACTAAGGTCTAATATCCAGAATATGTAAAGAACTTAAATCAACAAACAAAAAACAACAACAACAACGAAACCTTAAGAAGTAGGCAAAGGACACAAACCGACACATCTAAAAAGAAAACATACAAGTGGCCAAAGAAAATTTGAAAAAATGCTGCATATCACGAATCATCAGGGAAAGTTAAATGAAATATCATCTTTATCTCATAGCAGTCACAATGGCTATAATCAAAAAGCCAAAAAGCAACAGACATTCTTGAGGCTGTGAAGAAACGTGAACGCTCATATATTGTTGGTGTGTAGGTAAGTTAGTTCATTCAGCACTGTGGAAAGCAATTCGGAGATTTCTTTTTTTCCTTCCTTCCTTCCCTTCCCTCCCTTCCTTCCTTCCTTTAGTTCTTTCTGTTTGTTTTGAGTAGGTGTCTCGCTCTGTTTCCCAGGCTGGAGTGCAGTGGCATGATCTCGGCTCACTGCATCCTCCACCTCCCAGGATCAAGTGATTGTCCTGCCTCAGCCTCCAGAGTAGTTGGATTACAGGCATGCACCACTGTGCCCAGCTAATTTTTGTGTTTTTTGGTAGAGATGGGGTTTCACAATGTTTGCCAGGCTGGTCTCAAACTCCTGATCTCAAGTGATCCACCTACCTCAGCCCCAAAAGTGCTGGGATTACAGGCATGGGCCACCATGCCCAGCTGGAGATTTCTCAAAGAACTTAAAACAGCACCAGCCTTCTACCCAGCAATCCCATTACTGCATATTTACCCAAAAGAAAAAAGATCATCATACCAAAAAGACACCTTCATTCCTATCTTCTTTGCCACACTCTTCACAATATCAGAGACATGGAATCAACCAAGGTGCCCACCAACTGTGGATTGGATAAATAAAATGTGGTACATATATACCATGGAATACTAGACTGCAGTAATAAAGAACACATATCTTTCCTTTGCAGCAAGATGGATGCAGCTGGAGGTTTTAATACTAAGTGAACTAATGCAGGAATAGAAAACTAAGTACCTCACGCCTGTAATCCCAGCACTTTGGGAGGCTGAGGGCAGATCACCTGAGGTCAGGGGTTCAAGACCAGGCTGACTAACATGGTGATAATATCGTCAGCAAAGGGAGACAGTTAAACTTCTTATTTTCCTATTTGGATGCTTTGTATTTATTTCTCCTGCCTGATTGCTTGGCTGGAACTTCCAGTACTATTTTTAATAGGAGTGTTCAGAGTTTGTATCCTGGTCTTTTTTTTTTTTTTTTCCTAAGGGAAAATGGTTCCAGCTTTTTCTGGTTCAGTATGATGTTAGCTGTGGGTTTGTCATAGATGGCTCATCATTTTGAAGTATGTTCCTTTGATGCCTAGTCTGTTGAGGGCTTTTATCAAGAAAGAATGTTGGATTTTAGCAAAAGGTTTTTCTGCATCTATTGAGATGATCATATAGCTTTTGTTAATAATTCTGTTTACGTAATAAATCACATTTATTGATTTGCATATTTTGAAACAACTTTGCATCCCAGGAATAAAGCCTATTTGATCATGGTGAATTAACTTTTTGATGTGCTGCTGAATTCATTTTGCAAGCAATATTTTGTTGAGGAGTTTTGCTTATATTTTCATCGGGGATGTTGGTTAGAAGTTGTCTTATTTTTGTTGTGTTTTTGCCAGATTTTTTTATCAGGCTGATTCTGCTTTCATTGAATAAGTTGGGGCAAAGAGCCTCCTCGTTGATTTTTTAGAAGAGTTTCACTAGTATTGGTACCAGTTTTTTTGATACATATGGTGTAATTTCCTTATGAATACATCTGGTCCTGGGCTTTTTTTTGAATGGTAGGATTTTTATCACTAATTCAATTTCTGAGTTTGATGTTTGTCTATTCAACACTGAAATCTTTTCTTTATTCAATCTTCAGAGATTGTGTGTTTCTAGGAACTGGTCCGTTTATTCTAGATTTGTTCATTGGTGTGCATGGAGGTTTTCATAGTATTCTCTAAAGATCTTTTGCATTTTTGTGTGATCTGATTGTATTTATTTGAAGCTTCTTTTTTGTTCTTTGTTTATTCTGTTGCCATCAATCTTGTTTATTAAAAACACTTCTTGGTTTAATTTATTTTTAAATGGGTTTTTGCATTTAGTGTCATTCAGTTCTCTAATTTTAGTTATTTATTGTCTCTGGTAGCTTGATTTTTTTTTCTATTTTTTTAAATACAAAGTTAGACTGTTGAGATCTTCCTGTCTCCTTGATGAAGGCATTTAGGATGACAAACTTTCTTCTCAACACTGCTTTAGTAGCATCCCAGAAATTTTGGTAAGTTTTATCTCTCTTTTCATTAATTTCAGAAATTTTTAAAATTATTGCCTTAATTTCAATGTTTACCCATGAGTTATTTACGGGCAAGTTGTTTAATTCCCACATATTTCTGTAGTTTTGAGTATTCCTCTTGATATTTGCTTCTATTTTTATTGCACTGTAGTCTGAGAATATGCTTGGTATGATTTCAGTTTTTTTGAATATATTAAAACTTACTTTATAACCAAGAATGTGGTTGATATTACAATATATTATATGTACAAATGAGAAGAATGTAAATTTTGTCATTGTAGAGTGGAGTGTTCTTTAGATGTCAAGTAGGTCCAATCAGTCAAGGGTTCAGTTTAAGTTCAGAGATTCTTTGTTAGATTTCTGCCTCAATAATCTGTTTAATGTTGTCATTTGGATGTTGAAATCTCACAGTTTACTGTGTAATTGTCAAGTCTTTTTGTAGGCCAGGAAGAACTTGCTTTATGAATCTGGGAGTTCCAATGTTTGGTGTGTACATGTTTAGGATAGTTAAGTTTTCTTGTTGGATTGTAACCTTTATTATTAGGTAATGTGCTGTATTTTTCTTCTTAATTTTATTAAAGTGTTTTATCTGATATAAAGTTAGTAACTCCTGCTCATTTTTGTTTTCTATTTGCATGATAGACCCTTCTTTGTCTTTTTGCTGTGAGTCTGTGGCTATCATTACACATGAGATGGATCTTTTGAAGACAACAGATGGTTGGGTCTGGGCATTTTATTTAGCTTGCCACTCTGTCTTTTACATGAGGAGTTTAGCTCATTTCCATTCAAAGTTAGTATTGATATATGTGATTTTGATTCTATTATCATGCTGTTAGCTGGTTATCATGTTGACTTGACTGTGTAGTTGTTTCATAGTGCCTGTGGGCTATGTACTTAACTGTCTTTTTGTGGTAGTAGGTAATGTTTCTTGGAATCCATGTTTGGCTCTCCCTTAAGGACTTCTTGTAAGGCTAGTCTAGTTGAAAAAAATTCCTTAAATGTTTCTTTGTCTGAGAAGAATTTTATTTCTTCTTCACTTATGAAGCTTAGTTTGGCAAGATATAAAATTCTTGATTGGATTTTTTTTCCTTAAGGACACTTAATATATGCCCCTAATCATTTATGTCTTGAAAGGTTTCTGCTGAGAGGTCTGCTGCTAGTCTGACCAGGTTCCAAAGCGACTTAGCCCATTTCTCTATATTGCTTTAAGATTTTTCCTTTTGCATTGGCCTTGGTGATTCTGATGACTATGTGGACTGGGGTTGGTTTTCTTGCATAGTACCTAGCTGAGGTTTTCTTTGTTTCTTGGATTTGCATGTCAACCTCTCTAGTGAGATTAGGGAAATATGCATGAGTTGTATCCTCAAATATATTTTTCTAGTTGTTTATTCTGTCTCCTCTCTCAGACATGTCAATGCATCATAGATTTGGTCTGTTTACACAATCCAACATTTCTAGGAAGCATTTTTGATTTTTAAAGTTCTTTTAAAATTTTTGTCTGACAGAGTTGATTTGAAGAACTAGTTCTTGAGTACGAAATTCTTTTCTCAGTTTGGTTTATTCTGCTGTTAATACCTCTGATTGTTTTATGAATTTCTTGTAATGAAAATTTCAGCTCTAGAATTTCAGTTTGGTTCTTTTGTAAATGGCTTTTTCACCTTTGAGATCTTCGATCATTTTACCGGATTCCTTGGATTGAATTTCAACTTTCCCCTGAATCTGAAGGAGCTTGCTTGTCATCCAGATTCTGAATTCTGTCTGTCATTTCACACTAGTTAAGAACCATTGCTGATGGGCTAGCAGACTAATTTGAGGTAAAGGGACACTCTGGATTTTTGAATTGCCAGAGTCCTTTCATTGATTCTTTCTCATCTGTGAGGGTTTGTATGCCTTTAACTATGGTATAAGTTGAGTATAGTCAGTTGGCTTCATTTATGGATGCTTGCAGAAGGCCAGGAGTCTGTACAGGATATTTACGTGTGGTTGAATTCTTGTATTTGGTTACAGAGTTTTATGTATTAGCCTAAAAATTTTTGGTGTTGTAGTTCTGGCTGCAATCTAGCAGACGGCACTTAAAAGCAACACACAGTAGCTAGGCTAATGCACAACCATGTGGTTCTTTTCTAGTTCCTCTTGTTTGCAGGCATGCTCTGATATGGAGTAAGGTGAGAGATGGGACTTGAACAGATCTGCTCCCAGGTCTTGGGGGAGCACCCTCTGCTCACTGCTGCTGTGCCCACATTTATTTTGTTAGGTGTTCCTGGCTGCATGGCTCTGTTAGGAAGAAGCTAAGGCAGGAGAATATGCCACATCCTTTCTGGCCTGGCCCTGTGAAAGGAGGCATGCCCCACTCCCCTGGACCAGAAACCTAAAAATATTGCCTCTCTCAGTGCTCTTATGCTAGGGGCTCTTCCCTACCTTGAGTGCTGGCCACAGATCTTGGATTAGTACTCCTGAGCTCTGCACCATGGCCCTGGAGCACTATGATGTCCTATGGCTCATAGTGAGGTTCCAGATGTGTTTGAGGATCCTAGGTGCTCCCCCTTCACCAAAATAGTACTCAGGTGGAACAACATACTCAGGCTGGGCTGTGAAGGTTGCACTGTCCAACTTCTTCTGCTAGGTGGCTAGGCACAGGCCCTGAAATGGGCTGGCAGGTAGAAAGCCTTATAGAGCAGAGGTACCACAGTCCAGCAAGGAAGCCAACCCTGTTGTCTTCTAGTTCACAGTTAGCTGGAGCCAGCACCTCCCAGAGGGAAATGGGACACCCTAGGAGGTGGGCTTCTATGGTCACCCTCCACTAGAGCTGCCCAGTGAACAAAAGTTCTTTGACTACATGCCATTTGAAAGTCTGTCTCTGCCTGCTCTCTGGATAGATGCCTCTGCCATCTGACAATTCCACAGGGTACAGAGTCCTAAGATCCCAGAGATCTGTAGTGAGAATGAGCTTTCTCTCAGTTCCCTCTCTTACCCTTTCCCCAGGAGCCATTCACGACTGGGAACTAGCCCTCCTCTTGAGTACCCTGTGCAGGGTTTCCAGCATCCTTCTTCTTAAGCATCACTTTAGCATCACTTCTTCATACACTCTCATCATTTTCTCTCTGAATATCTTCCCAAATTATGGTGGTTTACTCAATAATTTGATTTCTGTCAGTGGGAGCAGCACTCACTGGCTGCACATAGTCAGCCATCTTATCTCCATTTCCAATTTAAAAAGTTGAAGTTGTTTTCACATGTTCACACTGCATAAGACAGGTGCTGTCAGTGCCAGAAGGAGAGGAGGAGGTGGAAGAGGCCACACTGTGAAGCTGCTGCTGCTTCTCTCCTTCCGGGAATTCTGTTTTCCTCTCCTATGCCACTCCTCCCGTCTCCAAATGTAGGACTTCTTGAAAAAAGTTCATTTGTGCCTCAGGAATTTCAAACCCTCTAAGCTATGATTAAGTAGATGATCCAAGGATTAAATTTTGAGAAAGAGTAGACCCAATAACCTTTTATTTCATTTCTGATTTTAAAAGTATGATTCTCAGATTTCTGCTTCACAGTTTTGAAAGCAAATGATAAATTGTGTTGCAAGATGATTTTAAAATCTTTCATTCTACTGCCAAAGTGACACCTGTTTGCCTGCTGCTTTGCCCAAATACTTTTTGTAAAAATAAGGAACTACATCACTTACCCTACTTCTTTCCAGCGATTGTCTTTTGATGTGTTAGTGGTGGGGGTAGGAAGCATAAGCGTCTCTTTAGACTAATGTCCTTTGATGGAGAAGGACTACACTTTAGTTGCTGTACTCAATGATGACGCCGAAGCTGGCACATGTATACCTGGACAAGATTTAAAAGATGGAATTCTAGAACTTGAGCCTGTGCTTAATGCTGTAATAAATACAATTTTGGTAATCAATGGAGGGGAAGCTTGTATATCTTGAATGTGGCAGGACTGTAAATAGTTTGCAGGCAGACAGCAGATAATGTTACTTTTCATCTTCGTGGCAATGTTTTTGGGCATTCCTTCACAAAAATTAGAGTGTAATTCCCCACTTCTTAAATATGAGTCAGCTTAGTGACTCACTTTTAACAAAAAGAATGCAGTGGAAATTTGGCAACTGAGGTTATGTTAGAAAAAACAAACAGGTTTTCTCTTAGGTCTCTTTCAAATAGAATTCACATCTTTGGAGCCTGGAGTCTCCATGGAAGATATTTGACTGTTCTGAAGCCATCATGTTGGTGAGATCATGTGGAGAGAAAAAAATAAAGAAAGAGATGCCGAGGGAGTGTTACCTATTTCAACTGCCAGCTATTCAAGTTTTCCCAGTCCAGGTACCAAACACGAGAGTGAAGAAGCATTTGAAATGATCCTCTGACTGCATATACTCTACCAATGCAACATGAGATATCCCAGCCAGGACTGTCAGCCAAACGGCTCCTGAACTCCTGACCCAGAGAAACTGTAAAAGACAGCAAATTGCTATTATTGTTTTAAACCACTAAGTTTTAGATGATTTGTTATTTAGCAATAGACAACTAATACAGTAATTAAATAGTGAAATACTAGCCTTTTGACAAGTAATATTAGAAGAATTGTATATGCTGGTATGAATCAACTAAAATCTTAACACCAGTTTTTAAAAATTATCTTAACATTATTACTATAACTTGGCTAATTTATTTAACTGAACTTGATTTCCCAGTTAAAATAATAAAATAATGGTTCCCTTGAAGTAAATTTACTGAATTATATACATTACTTCCAATCAGATATTCTTATAATACTTTTTCAAGTGCAAACTATAATAAATGTGGAAGTGAGTTCGATAGGCTTAACTCTTTTTAATTACTGCTCTATTCTAGTGGTTATTTGTGCAGATACATCTAAATACCAGCCTCTATAACTGTATCACATCTTGTTAAAGCAAATATCATTTTTGAAATTCAATAAAATTATTAGCAGAAAATATTGCTGAAATATTTGGGTATTTCCATTAAAAGTATACTTCAACAGTACAAAAGGACACTCAAGTATGTTGTAAAATAGTATGTTGAGAAATTATGATTTATTACTTACATTACCACAAAAAAGTAACCTTAAATTTGATTTGGCAAAAATAAAGAAAAACATCAACTCAGTAGACTTTTCAAAGTGTGATTTTTTTTCTTGGGAATTCATGAAATAGCGTGGTATAGTATCTTAATCTCTGACACACTGGGGAAGAACAGATGCTATAATCCTATTCCCTAAGTGTGCTCACAGATCATCTCCAACTCATCCTGTTTTGTTAGCAGTATAATTTGTTATTTCAAAAGAAAAAATTATGCAAATTCATTGGATATCATGTGAGTTTCAGTTAAAAATATGGTATCTTTTGTTCAATTGCCTGTGTATACAGAATGGATATAAAAGACACAAATTTTTAGAAAATGAATATTATTGCAATTTATCAATTTTGTTGAAATGTATGGAAGGTAGATACAGTAAATGTGATCTGATTTATCTATTTTGTTGAGAGATATGGCAAGCAGATACAGTAAATATGATTCTTTAAGCATTTCTCTTAAGTATTTGTCTAATGTTTATAAATATCAGTGTGCTTGAACATATTGTGAATACATTTACTTTTTTATTTAAAGCAAGATACAAGATAAACAATAGCTGACTATTATTTTTGTAGTATTAACTCAGTAGATTTACCCCAAGTTTTTCACCAGTTTGTGGATCTAGAAGATCCAAAGTTGATTAGTCTGACACTGTTCAAAATTACAAAAGGTAACCTGATATATCAGAGTAATAAAAAACACACAGGAGATACCTTGGTGAACACCACACCTGGACAAATGAACAAATAGGTCTTTCCTGACTGAATTTTCAAGGCTAATGCTCTAAACCTCCACTGCAGTGATATATGTGGCAGGTGAATGCAAACACCTGTGTTAATTAACCAGCACACTATCTTCTCAGATAGTTCTGGAGTCAGCCTGAACTATAATACCAAAAACAAAAAATAGGCAAAATTATTTTATATGTTTGACGTCTCTGTGAGGACCACATCCTTCTCTCTGTACAATTTGTACTCAGTCATTCAAGGTATAGAACTAACGTAGGTTAATTTTTCTATAATAAGCATATACAAAGTGACTTTGATTAGATACAACAATTTTCCGATTGTCAAAATATTACATTTACTTCTGCAGGAAGCTATTTTTATAGTATTGATTAGTATTAGTTTCACATTCAAATGACAACTTCTGTTTTGACACTCTGTTTAAAGTTTTTTTTTTTATTCTATCATTATTGGTTTGGTTAATTCACTGCACAGAAATGTTCTAACTACAGGTATTGCCAGTGTTCCTGTGTCTTCCAACTTCCTACTTAACCCTGCCATTTTTCCACTTATTTCATTGAAATGATATCTTTTTATTTAATATGCACTTTTATTATTGATTACATGTGGAAAAAACAATACATACATAAAATCAATTAGATGTACATCAGAATAAATGATAGTATTTTTTACAGCATAATTAATTTAGCAATCTCGTTTCAGAATAATTTTAAATAAAAGACAATTTAGTCAAAATCATGTTTATTTTGAAATAAATATATATTCATTTTATTATTAACATTTTGACTACTTTTAAAATGAAAGACCTGCCAATGTTTAGCTGATAACTAATCAGCAATACTAATATGGAAGAAAAAAGATAAGACAGGTGGCTAAAGAAAGGTAAGATTGGAAAAGCAAAACATCTTTGCAACATACTTCAGCTAAAAAAGAGGCTACATGGTTACAATTACAATGTTTATAAAACTGAGTGGCTAAATTCGTATTGCAAAACAATAGCCACTCTTGTGGTTCTAGCAGTAGGGAAAAGAGTATTGTTCCCTAAAATAGTGCATAGTCATTATATTAAACAGAGAAGCTAACATTTGCAGAACACCTGAGATGTTTAAAGCACATGATTTGTTTTCAAAACAATTCTGCAATGTAGATATCGCATTCCTATTTTACAGATCCAGTACCTGTGGAATGTACACTAGATCTAAAAATAGTAACATACTCTGTATTTCAATGAGCACCAATTGTGCAGAGCCCAAATGTTCATACACACTACCCCAGGAAGCCTCTCCATCTGTGTATTCTCTGCATCACTATTTGCCTACAGAGTATGAGGCATTCACCATGTGAATTGCTTTGCAGTATGGAAAAAAAAAATCTGTAGCCCAATTAAAATGTAAACTATTAAACAAATTATCTTTAAACAAGATCATAAAGTGATACCATTCTACATATGCTTTTAAAACCTAAGTCCACACAAGTTTCCTATGTTTTCATCATATTTTATCATCTTATTGAAAGGTTTACTTTTTACTTACCAACCTATCACATTTTAAAATTTATTGTTGTCCCATGACAGAAGATAGAATTCAGTGAAATAGTTATTTGTAATGCTTTGAAAAAATGTAAAAAATAAATGGGCTAAACTAATTATTTGCATTTCTGTGGCTTAAAATACGGTGTCTGTTAGATTTTTTTTTCTGTTGACTTAACTTCAATGTAGTTTTTGACAGAATTAAAACAATTAAAGGAAGAATGTTGAATAATAAATATCAAAAATAAATTCCAAGTTTAAAAGGATGTATAGATGGTTATTTAATATATTTGACTATTTTAAATTACAGAAGTCTCTAAGGACAATGATGCCTGGGGTATTTTAAAGAAAATATAAAATTGTGAACTCTAATGATATTTTTAAAATTATTGTTTTAAACATATCTGTAGTACATAAAAAGAAAAATGACTGAAATTGAAATGAATATTTTAAAAATATTGGTAAAATTAAATATAATGTAATTCAAGGTCCTATTTTTTATCTATATATTCCATATAAGGCATTTATTCATTTCCTCATGGGAACCAGTACAATTGTGAGATAAAACCACCAAAAAATGACATCAGCCACTGTGAACACTTTTGGTAGCATGGCCCAAGACAGGCTGTCTGGTTTGTGCAGAGTCTCTGAAATTCTTTCAGAGTAGGCAAGATTTTCCCTAATTTTGCATTAACAAAGGAAAAACAAAGTTAGAGTCAAGATAACTTGTCAAGAATGGGCTAGGCTTTATTATCAGCAGCACCTTAAAAGAAAGGGCTGTAGATGAGGTTAATGTACCACTTCTCACAAATTGAAACTGATTAAAATGCATAATTACAACATTTAATTGGGAAGTACTAATACATTGGAAAAGCAAAATATTCATCAAAAACAATGAGCACCTTTTTCTACATGCTAGGCATGGGTGAACTCTTGAAATAGATGAGGAATAATTTTAACCATAAATACAAGAACCCTGGAAAATACAATGATATTTAAGAGAAAATAATGACCATGAGACATGTAGGCATTCATATTTGACTTTGATTCATATTTGACATTTATACTGTTTAGTGTAATAATTCAGATTTCATGAGGTCACCATCTAACACTGCATTTAATTATTTAATGTTACAAATAAGTTTAAGCTGTGTATTTGGATGCACTTCTATAACTTGCATAGAGCAATATAGATGTAAACATCAATCACTAGAAAAGGCTGATACTGGAAAATCCCCAAGGAAGAGGGGCAAAAACTCTAATATTGCAGAGTATTCTGAATATTGTCAAACATCACCTGATGAGAAGAGAAACAAGTCATAAGGCACCTTGACATTGCTTAATACTTTCTATAAACATATCATTGTGGAGAGAAGTTACCAAGGACACTTGGAGTGGGTATAAGCAATGTGTTGTAGGGTAGAGTTGCCTTAAGAGTTATTAAAACAATGATATTGGAACAATTTAATTTTAGTACTGACTCTTTCACTAACTGTGTGTGTGAAGTTTACCAAGTTACTTTGATTTTGGGGGCCTCATTTCTTTTCTTTCCCATTATAGATTCAAGGGGTACATGTGCAGGTTTGTTTTTTTACATTGATATATTGCATAATGGTGAGGGTTAGGTTTCTAGTGTATCCATCACCAGAGTAGTGAACATTATACCCAACAGGTAATTTTTTGACCATGTCCCTCCCAAAATTCCCTTCTGGAGTCCCCAGAATCCACCCCACCCATCCCCAGCTGCAGCAATCAAAGTTGTCTCCGCATATTGCCAAATGTCCCCTGGGGGAAAAATTGGCCCCTGTTAAGAACAACTGGTCTAATGTTTTAAAAATATTCTTTACTGTCCAAAACATGTTAAAGATGTTCAAGAATAGCATTAAATATCTAAATATTTGAACTATTTAAAAAACATATATCAATATTTGATGAATTTTCATTGGCTCTTCCAAGCATTCCAATCTAAAGTATTTGAAATATTATATAAATCAGCAAATTCCTTCCTGAATAATGAACATTATACCCATTAGGTAATTTTTCAAACATGCCCCTCCCAACATCCACACTTCTGGAGTCCTCAGAGTCCATTATTTCCTTCTGTATGTACATGTGTACCCATCATTTAGCTTGCAGGTCTAAGTGAGAAAATGTGGTATTTGATTTTCTGTTTCTGAGATTTTTTACTTAGGATAATGGCTCCAGCTACATACATACTGCTGTAAAACACATGATTTTATTCTTTTTTATGGCCACATAGTGTTCCATTAAATATACATTTTTTATATAAATGTCAGAAAACAGATATATAAATACATATTATATAAATATATTTATAGATATATAAATTATATATATAAAGAAATTATATATAATATATATAATATAAAGAAATTATATATAATATATATAAAGAAATTATATATATTATATATAAAGAAATTATATATAATATATATAAAGAAATTATATATATAATATATATAAAGAAATTATATATATAATATATAAAGAAATTATATATATAATATATATAAAGAAATTATATATATAATATATATATTTATAATTTTCTTTATCCAATCGCCCATTAATGGACACTTAGTTTGATTCCATGGATTTTCTATTCTTAGCAGTGCTGCAAAAAACATACAAGTGCAGGCTGGGAGCGGTGGCTCACGCTTGTAATCCCAGCACTTTGGAAGGCCGAGGCGGGTGTATCACGAGGTCAGCAGAGCGACCATCTTGGCTAGCACAGTGAAACCCCGTCTCTACTAAAAATACGAAAAATTAGCTGGGCCTGGTGGCGGGCGCCTGTATTCCCAGCTACTTGGGAGGCTGAGGCAGGAGAATAGCCTGAACCTGGGAGGCGGAGGTTGCAGTGAGCTGAGATAGCGCCACTGCACTCCAGCCTGGGCGACAGAGCGAGACTTCATCTCAAACAAACAAACAAACAAACATACGAGTGCAGGTATCTTTTGAGACAGTGATTTCTTTTCCATTAAATAGGCACCCAGCAGTGGGATTGCTGGTTAGAATAATAGTTCTATTTTTAGTTATTTGAGGAATTTCCATATTTTTTTCCATAGAGCTTATACTAATTTACATTCTCACCAAGACTGTGAGTTTCTTCCTTTCTCTGAACCTTGGCAAATATCTTTTGTTTTCTGATATTTTAATAACCATTCTGACTAGTGTGAGATGGTATTTTCTTGGGGTTTTTATTTGCATTTATTTGATGATGAGAGATGCTGAGAATTTTCTCATATGTTTCTTGGCTTCTTGTATGTCTTCTTTTGAGAGATGTTTGTTCATGTCCCTTGCTCAATTTTTAATGGTTTTATTTAGCTATTTTTTTCTAGTTTGAGTTCCTTGTAGATTCTGGATCTTAGTCTTTTCGTCAGATTGCATAGGTTGCAAATATTTTCTCCATTCTGTATGTTGTCTGTTTACTCGGTTAATTATTTCTTTTTCTGTGCATAAGCTTTTTAGTTTAATTAAGTCGCATTTGTCTTTTTGTTTTTCTTGCATTTGCTTCTTAATTCTTAGTCATTAGTCATAAGGCTTCATTGAGGTCTAGTCAATTATTTGCCTAGGCCAACGTCCAGAATAGTTTTTCTGAGATGTTGTTCTAGGAATTTTATAGTTTCAGATGTTACATTTAAGTATTTAGTCCATCTTCAGTTAATTTTTATATATTGTGAGAGATGGGGGTCCAGTTTTGTTCTTCTACGTACAGACATCCAATTTTCCCAGCACTGTATATTGAATAGGTTGTTCTTTCCCCATTGTAAATTTTTGTCAGCATTATCAAAGATCAGTTGGTTATAGTCCTATGAATTTATTTCTGCGTTCTCTGTTCTGTTTCATTGATCTATGTGTCTTTTTCTATTAGTACCATGTTGTTTTGGTTACAATAGTATAGTTTGAAGTCAGGTAATTTGATGCCACCAGCTTTGTGTTTGTGTGTGTGTGTGTGTGTGTAGGATTGCTTTTGCTTTCAGGATCTTTTTTGGTTCCATATGAATTTTAGGATGTTTTTTCGGATTTTGTGAAAACTAGTATTGGTAAATCGATAATTATGTTGAATTTGTGTATTTTGTGTCTCATTTCTGAAATTAAGATTGAATACTTACATGATCTCTCAAATTTGTTGTCATTTTTGAAGTCTTGTTATTTTAAAATTCTGTTTTCTAGTACAGAAATCTGATTCTTTAAATATAACAGCTAGATGGAACACCTTTGTCTAATCTGTAGACAATACTATATTTAAATACTATTTACAATTCTCAAGGCATTTTTCTTAGCACAACTTTCAGTTGATTCTTGAACTACATTTTTTAAATAAGTGAACCTACACCCACACCCCCACACTCACACACACTTATATACACTTATATATTTGCACAGAGTAGAAAATTCTTTTGCTGCATAATAAAATAACAGCTAATAACGTAAGTAAACATATCTAAAGTTTTAAAAACTCAACATATTGAAAAGAAAATAGATTTAAAAGTGGTCATTTAGGGTTCAGTAAGATGCTTTTTCTAAAAATTCTATTTAAAATATATTTAACAAAGGGATATTATAAATAAAAGAAAGGCTAAAATTTTTCTTCCAGATGAAATATTTGTCTAAATTAGTTAAATGTGATGCTTTCCATGAATTTTTAATATAGTACTAAATATTGTAAATAATTTAATCTTTTCTGGAATCTAACAATTATCAATTCTACTTACAAAAACTGTACTCTATTTACAGATATCTGTATTATCCTATTGGTCAATCAAACTTAGTTATTACATAAATTTTATAATTACTGTAATAGAAGTATGTGATATATATACTGGAATACTTTCAGTATTTTTAAAACAAGATTGATTTTTTCTGAAAATAAAATTACTAATTACTGTGTAAATGACTCCTACTAACATGTACAATTTGCATGCAGAAAATTTTAGTACATACTGTGAATTACCTAATACTATACCAATTATATCCATTTTGAAAAATGTTATTTGATATGACATAGATGTTCAGTGTAGGTTGGCTGGTTACCTATGAGTGAGTATGTAATATATGCATATATACATAAACATATGTATACACACACTGGTAATACCTATAATTTAAAAATTATTATTTATAAATTCATACATGTTTAAGGGTTATGATATGTAAAGATAATAGGCAAACACATCCTTAATAATAATTTTGAAAAGTAATATATGCCAATTATAGCATGCCAGGATTTCCTTTTCAGATTGTTATAATATTAAATAGATATACAGAATTGCTGTTTCTACAGTAACAGCATAGACTTAGGGAACCAAATATGGGGTAATTTTTTTTCTGATGTTCACAGTAATCCACTCAATTCCACGTACACATTAAAAATGTTTTACTTTTGATGTATAACATTGGTTACATGTTTTTATAAATAATAAAAAATAAGATGACTATTTTTCTCTAATATATTTAAGTATAGACACATTCTAAAACCTTTGAATAGGTTAAAACTAAGATTTTATGTTGATATTGTGTTCTTATTTATGTTATGTATTATTTTTTATGGCTCACTGACAAAGACATATGATTAATACAGGTAGAGATAGAAATATGATTGATACATGTAGAGATAGAATTTTACATTTGTGTAATATTTTACAGGTAGATTAATCTTTATCATTGATAGAATATAACTATATACTTTAATTTCAGATGCAAATGTGTATATATATGTATATATATTTCACTAATGTTGAAATACCTGATATACGTATATACACACATGTACATACATTGGTGTATGTATATATAATATAGATTTTCAGATGCAAATGTGTATATATATATACACATATGTATACACATATACATACACACATATACATATATACATATATATGTACACATATACATATATACACATATACATATATACATGTATACACATATATACATATATACACATATATACATATATACACATTTGCATCTGACAATCTTTATATATTATATATACATACACCAATGTATGTACGTGTGTGTATATATGTATATCAGGTATTTCAACATTAATGAAATTGACATTTGGGCCAGATAGTTCTTTGCTGTGGGAGTTTGTTCTGTACATTATATGATCCCTGGCCCTACCCAATAAACACCAGTAAATGCCAGTATCAATCACCCCACCTATCCCCAGTTGCAACAATCAAAATTGTCTCCACGTATTGCCAAAAGTCCCCCGAGGGACAAATTGGCACCTGTTAAGAACTGGTCTAATATTCTAAAAATATTCTTTACCGTCCACATACATATTAAAGATGACCTGGAACAATATTAAACACCTAAGCATTTGAAATATTTTAAAAATATTTATAAATATTTGATGAATTTTAATGACTCTTCTAAACGTTCCAATCTTGGATGTTTAAAATATGAGATAAATTGGCAAATTCCTCCCCTAATGAAAAATCCACTTTATCATGTATAGTAAAAAATTACACATTGCATGTGTTAAAAACTGTATAAGGTCTTGTGATTTTACACTATTTGCAAGCTAATGAATTAGCTTGTTACAGTTTTATGGATGCTAGCAGGTCACATGAGATTACTGAGTCAAAGAACAGTTTATTGCTCAAAAAAGAGCAGTAGCCTGAGTATCAGTTTTATTTGTATCATTTTCTTGGGCCCCAGTTTCCACAGAGACACAAACTGAGCCAGATGATAACATGTGGGATGTATTTTATTCTAGGAGGAGAGCTCTGAGTTAAATGAATTGTAATGTCTTATAATAGAGAATTAGTGTAACTGTCTTTTATTCGAGAGGGCAACAATATCTCTAGCTTTCCACCTGTTCACTATAAAAATATCCTTGAATAAAAAGTCTGGAAGAAAAGGCAGTTAGTGCTTTGCTCACAAGATATACAGATACACAAGAGACCCAGAAAGAATAGTCTCTTAATAGGTACTGTATACTAATGGATTACATTATATGTAAACTGATTTAATTACTGCTAAATAAATATTAAAATAACTTAAAATATATTGGTTTTGTTATCAGACCAAAATTTTGGGCATATATATATTATATGCTAAATAGCATACATGTTTAACATATAATATATATATATATATGCCTCAAATTTTAAAACCAATGCAATTATACTTTTAATTATCCCCCTGATTTCCACTTTTAGAAAGGCAGTTTTCTGTGATAGTTATAGAATAGATTTGGAAGTCAGAGTGTCTGGATTGAAATTCTTGATTTTCTCTTCAGTGGTGTGACTTTAGAAGAGTTTCTTCATATGTAACATGAGAAAGATTCTAGTACTTATTTCACCAGCTATTGCAAAAATTACACATGATAACTCAAGGAACATATACAGTGTAGAACAAAATAAATACTCGCGATGTATTAAACATTATTAGTCCTTTTTTATTTTATGTGTGCATTCAGTGTACAAGGCAATAAAACAAACATTGGAAGTGAGAAAAAGATAGTTTAGTGGATGACAGAACCATTCAACAAATTTTAAGAAAATCTTTACATAGGGTAAGGATAAGTAGAAACTGATTTTCCCCCTAAGAAAGTCTGCAACTTTTGCTGCTATATAGCTAAAGAGAAATATGAGCATAATTTATAATTTTTTAAGTAAAGGTTTAACAAATATTTTTAAGTTAGCCTGAGAAGTGAGCAGTCTATATGTCACAAAAATATACGAGTATAGCATATTTTGTATTATGATGATTTGAAAATTGAATAAAAATGAAATTGTTATGGTTTTATATTTTTAAAACCATTTAACTTACATGTGGGAAATAATAGAGCAAAAAGAAAAAAGTGACATTGAAGTTACAAATGTGAAACATACCTGTTGCATACATACTGTATATTGGCTGAATGGGAATTAATAGATTTTTACATAGTAATGTCTTCTTCCACTCTTTCTCTTTCTGATTTTTTTAAAGCACATTTACAGTTACATTTTTGAAAATTTTTGGGGGTACATAATAGTATGTATTTATGTGGTACATGTGCTATTTTGATACACTCATACAATGTGTAATGATCAAATCAGGATAATTGAGATATCTATCTCCTCAAATATTTATTTTCCTGTGTTTGGAAAATTCTAAATTCACTCTTCTAGTTATTTTGAAATATACAAATTATTATTGCTAACAATAGTTGCCCTATTTTGCTACTGAACACTAGATTGTATTCCTTCTATCTCACTGTGTTTTTGTACCCATTATTCAACCTTTCTTTATTCCCCACTTCTCGCTATTCTTCTGAACATCTGATAACAATCATTCTACTCTCTACCTCCATGAGATCTGAATATCTGATTTGAAATTATTATTATTATTATTATTTTACTGTTAAAAGATTTATTGCAGTAATACAATAAAAGTTTACCCCAAGTTAATATTTGGAAAACAACCCATTCTATGTTTTTTTACTCTAGCCAATATCTATAAATTATAAATTGTTTTATTTATTCATATTGAAGACTATAACATTTATATTCTGTTCTACCATCCTCCTCTCCAACAATCATTCCTCTATTTTAAATACTTTTAATGTTCATTTTCATAACATATAATAAAGTTTCTTTATATCTTTCTTATTTATCGACAGCTTATTCTAAAGAGTGGATAAAATCAATGTTCCATGAGGCACTGCATTTTTATTGTCTGTTCCACTCTTTCTTGTAAGACACCATTGCTTAGTAAAACTAATATATATCCTGAAAATGTCACTCCATTCTGTTTTGGAATAAAATATTGCTTTAAGGAGTTATGAGTTCAATCTGATTTTTTCCCTTATAAGTCATCTAGTCTTATGAGGTTACCTCAATTTTTTTTATTATTTTCAGAGTCTAAAAGCTTTACTCTGATATTTCTTGATGTTGAACATTTTGGGTTTGCTTCACTGTAAATTATGTGTTCTTTTCCAGTATGTATATTCAAATCTTCTTTTATTTCAGAAAATTTTCTGAGTTAATAGGTTTAAATAATGTTTCCTTCTATTACTTTTGTCTTTTTTTCTAATTAGAAAAATACTCCAAAGTATAAGACACAGCATTAAAAATATTAAAAATTAAATACATATTGTCATAAGTAATCATGTTGAGTGTAGCTTTTCCTGATGAGGTGTAATCAGGATGTGATAGGGAAACACACGGAAGTTAGCCTCACAGGTCCCCCATTTGAGTTCCTGTTCTGCCACTCTTTACCTATGTGATGTATGGAAAATTTGCCATTGTAAAGCTCTATATAAATGCAGAAAATTATTGGAATCTAAGAATTGTGGGTACATTCATAGGATAGCTGAATCTTTCTATATTCCCCCAAAGAAATGAAACTCTCAGAATAAAAAAAAAAGTTAATTCAGTTACTTCCCACCTTTTTGCATCTTCCAGAGCTTTATACATCTTTCTTTCAAGGTGGTGCTCTTGGTTATGAAGAATGTATTTTGCTGCTAAACTACCTTCTGAATTATCTCTTCCCTGAACCACTCATCCTTCTTATTTGAACCTTCTGTATGTCTGTGATTCCTAATATTTGTGCCCAAAATTTGTGTTTCTGACAGAGTTTGGGGATGAGCTTCCCTTAATTGAAAAAAAGTAGTTCGTTTTGCACTTTCAGCAATTTGAAGTCTGTAAGAATTTTGAGTTTTGTCAATTTTCTCACTTTTGCTCACATAGTTGCTACTCAGCCAAGTGTTCCTCTTTTAGAGACTGTAAAATTTGTTGGCAGTATCTTCATCCTCAAACTTGTTTGCTTCTTCTGTATTATACTTCTCCGCTATCACTTCTGTTGAAAGCTGTGTCCTGGCCATGCATACCTAGAGGTTCAGAGATCAGTGGGGATTCCTTGCTACCTTCTATCGTAAAACAGGCATGGGTGGGTTTTTCCTTTCACTCTACAACTGTCTGGTGTGTGTGTGTGTGTATGTGTGTGTGTATTTTATTAATGTTGTACCATATTCTTGTCAGTGGGAGTCTTTAATGGTATTAGAAAACATGAAATTGTATAAGGTAGCCTAGTAAGTAAACAAAAGTAGGTAAGAGGTCTTGAGAAGCTGTTATATGTAAGGATTGAAAAGTGGAAGAGATAGAGTAGAGAGTCCAGAGGATTTAAAAACGAACTTGGAATATTGAAAACTAAATTTTAAAACATTTCAACCAGAAGAACATGCTACTGATGGGTTAACCACAGTAAAAATTAATATATAATGGAAATCATTTTATGTTAGAATAGCCCAACAACTACATAAATGTTTTAATCTGTCAGTGCAAATAAATTTCTAATATACGGTGTCAGTTTGGCCAATATTGCAGATGACCGAAGATAAAATATTTTCTTGAAGATTGGTCACCAATTGTGGACATTATCTTAAATATTATAACTGCAAATAATATTTTGTATTATAGAATCCCCACTAGAATAAAATGTGTTCAACACATCAGGACAAATAATAGAAGTATAAGTTTTCATTTTCATATTGTTTATTTCTGCTTTATTGTGGCTGTTGTTGATTTTTTGCCTTTCAGCTCCAAATTTACTGTGCTTTGTGAAAATGGTACTTGACTCTGTAAAGATTATTTTTCTGTGCCAGCCTGCATGAAGCTTTGTCAGAAGAAGGGTTGGAGAAGCATAATAGGCAGAGGGAGTTTACCTTCTCAGTCCAGGTCACCTCACATGAAACAACAGACTCCTCCTAGAGGTACTTGCAGCCTCTTAGTGCCTGTTCTTGTGGGAGTCAGAGGCCAGCAGCACTAAGAAGCCAGCACTCTCTGCCCTCTTCGCAGGCAATTTGATAGCAGAATCTCTTCAGATCCTTCAATGCTTGCAGGTTCTCCAATTCCTTGCCCTGCAGTCCACAGCTGTGAGCACTCAGCTGCCAGCTGCTTCCTCAGCACCTGACCCCATGACCAGGAAGTTAAGCAGCATCCCTCTGGCTCCTGCGTCACATCTGGTTTCTCCAGTGTTCTGCTCCTGTGGTGTACGACAACCAGCAGCACACGATAGCAAACAGCTTTCCTTGGCACTTTGCAAGGAAGATTTTTAAGGCCTCTGCCAACACAGGTGGAAGATAACAAATATTTCTCTGCCGTTTAGTGAGGCATGACTTTGCCTTTTCCAGCAAGATCTGAATGTCAGCTTGGAGTAAGCAGGGGTTTTCCTTGTGCATTCTGTCTCAATCTTATGGTTAGTGACTGTTCTTTCTATATTTAGAGCTATCTTTACTTCTTACTAGCCAATTTCTCCTTATGCTAATTCTCTAGTGTTATTAATAATTCTTCATGTCAAACTTTTTTGTTCAAATTACAGTGTGGTTTGTCTTGCCTGATTGGACAGTAATTGATGTAAATATGATTGCAAGAATTGCAAAATTCAAGGTCCACAATTTCATGTATTAAGCTTATACTATAAGTTTAAATTTGATTATATCTCCTAATATTCTAGCTTTATTATAATTGTGTCTCATTATCACCATATCTTATTCTGATTATTTAACATGAACCTTATACTATTAAATATCTCAAGTCAGTTATGTAACACATGGATCAAGTAAAAAAAATGAGGAACATAACATTATTTTTCTATTTTAATCGATATGTTAACTGATACTAACCAGTTTAAGACTTTGAATAACAGCCAAAATGGCTGACAAAATGCAGCCAGGAGAAACATTTCTCACCTAGAGACCATCAAACCAAAAAGATTGGTGTCATGGCACACTGTGAGCAGGTCTTTGGAGGGAAGGAATTAAGAGTGAAAGCAGGGAGGATGGAAACACTGGGCTGAAGTGGGAGGAATCTGGGAACCCTGCATGGAGCTACTGAGCACCAGGACTCATGCCTGGCCCCCAGTGACTCCTGAGGAAAGGATGAGTTGAATAGATGAGGAGTGGAATACTCTTACCACAAAAACAAAAGGGACAATTAAGCTAACAGGGATAGTTGGTTAGAGAAGTGGTAGGGACAGGAATCTAGCCTGTGCAGAACCCAGGGGGTTTGGTGCGGGAATGTCTGTAGTGGAGCACGACCAGTGATGCCCACACCCCAAGGCTTGCCATGCTCCTCTAGGAAGTTTTAGCCTTAGGAGACTGTTGGACCTGTACAGAGCAGGGCAGTCCTTTCCATGATACATAGCCAGTCTGATCTGAGCACTGCCCTGTCTGCTGACCTCTTCTGTGGCCCCAGCCTAGCTGTGCCCACTTGGAGTGCATCCTTGGTTGCCCAACTTGGGTGCTTCCCAGGAGTCTTCCTCATAGATCCTTTACCAGTAGACGATGCCTGACTGTTGGAGAGCTCCAGCAGATCTATCTAGCTGACACACAGTAGCCCATCTGCACCTTCCCCCACCACAGCTTCACCTCACCACTTTGCTGGCATGCACTTACCTACAGCCATCCCCTCACTTACTTCCCCAGTACAGATACTCAGGTAGACCTTGCCTTCCTTCCCCAGACACGGTGCATTTATGCACACATTCGACTGCACCACTGCTGCTGGTGAGAGCACACCCTGCCACCCCACCCTGCTAATGCACAAGCAACCAGCTGCACCATCATTGCCAGCATGAATGTGCAATCAGATATCAGCAACCCTGCCACCCATGTGCCACTGCCATCACCAGTATGAATGCACACAAGGGCACCTGAGGGCCCTCTCCTGCCAGCACCCCAACACTGCCATAACCAGGCATGGGCATGAGAAAGAACACTGCAGCCCCCCTCCCATCAGTAACTTACCCAGCCAATGTGTCTTCACACTGACATGCTGCCACAGCTGCTGAAAAGATCAAGCAAACATGGATCTCACTGCTCTGGCCCCAGTGAAGCACTTTGGCCAGCATCACCAATTGGATTGTTCTGGACAGCAGACTTGGAACACCTCAGTCCCTCCAGCTCATCAGGTCTCTAACCTTGAGGGGGTCAGAGAACAAAGCTGGGGACCCTGTAAGAGCCACTGCCCCCACTCTCCCAACAGAGTCAGAACATGCAGCCAAAGAGAGCAGAGCTGAGACTTGACCCTTAAAATCATTCAGAAATACAGCCAGTTGACCAACTCACCTTGTACCACAATCAAGACCCCACGGGCATCATAGAAGATAAAAGCAAAACACTCTATCCAAAGGACAGCAGCTTCAAAGACTGAAGGAACATCAGGCCAAACATATGAAAAACCATGAGTGTGAGAACTCTGGCATCTCAAAAAGCCAGAATATCTTCCTTTCTCCAAGTGGCTGCACTAGTTCCCTAGCAATGGTTCTTAAACAGCCTGTAATGGCTGAAATGACAGAAATAGAATTTAGAATATGGATAGGAATTAAGATCATTGAGATTCAGGAGAAATTCAATCCAAGGAATCTAAGGAATGTAATAAAATGATACAGGAGCTGAAAGATAAAATGGGCATTGTAAAAAAGACCAAAACTGCTCTCATAGAGCCAAAAAGCTCACTTCAAGAAGTACATAATACTATCGCAAATATTAACAGCAGATTAGACCAAGCTGAGGAAAGAATTTCAGAGTTGGAAGACTCTGAAGTTCTCTGAAGTAACTCAGTCTGACAAAAATAAAGACAAAAGAATGAAGATGAATGAACTAAATCTATGATAAATATGGTATTATGTGAAGAGATAAAATCTATGACTCACCGGCATCCCTGAGAGAAAGGGAGCAAAAGCAAACAACTTGAAATACATATTTGAAATGATAGTCCATGAAAATTACACCAACTTCACTAGAGAGGACAACACTCAAATTCAGGAAATGCAGGGAACCCCTGTGAGATGCTATATGAGATTACTATTTCCAAGACACATAGTCAACAGTTTTTCCAAGGTCAAAAGAAAAAAGAAAAAATGCTAGGGGCAGCTAGAGAGAAGGGACAGGTCACATAGAAAGGAAACCCTATATGGCTAACAGTGGCTCTTTAAGCAGAAACCCTACAATCCAGAAGATGTTGGAGGCCAGCATTCTGCATTCTTAAAGAAAAGAATACTGCAACCAAGAATTTCACATCCAGCCAAACTAAGCAACGTTAGTGAAGGAGAAGTAAGATCCTTTACAGGTAAGCAATTCTAATGGGAATTGTGCCAGATGCTATGGGTCATGCCTATAATCCCAGCACTTTGGGAGGCCGAGACGGGCAGATCACCTGAGGTCAGGAGTTCGAGACCAGCCTTGCCAACATGGGGAAACCCCATCTCTACTAAAAATACAAAAGTTAGCCAGGCATGGTGTCGGGAGCCTGTAATCCCAGCTACTCCAGAGGCTGAGGCAGGAGAATTGTTTGAATCTGGGAGGTGTAGTTTGCAGTGAGCTGAGATTGCACCATTGCACTCCAGCCTGAGTGACAGAGAGAGGTTCCATCTCAAAACAAAAACAAAAAAAAAAGGAAATTGTTACCAGTAGCCTGCCTTTTAAGAGATCCTTAATGGAGTGCTAAATATGGAAAGGAAAAACCATTACTGGCCACCACAAAAACACCCTTAAGTACATAGACTATTAATACTACAAAGCAACTACACAATCAAGTCTGCATAAAAACCAGTTAACTACACAATGGGAGGAACAAATCTGCACATATCAAAATTAACCTTGAATGTTAACAGGCTAACTTCCTCCAATTAAAAGGTACAGAGTGGCAAGTGGAATAAAGAAGCAAGATGCAACTGTATCCCGTCTTCAAGAGGCCCATCTCATGCAATGACACCTGTAAGCTCAAATAAAGGTATGGAGAAAAACCTACCAAGCAAACAGGAAGCAGAAAAAAGCAGGAGTTGCTCTTCTAATTTCATACAAAACATACTTTAACCCAACAACAATTTAAAAAGACAAGGAAGGGCATTACATAATGGTAAAAGATTCAATTAAATAAGAAAACCCAACTTTCCTAAATGTATATGCACCAACACAAGAGCACCCAGATTCATAAAATAAGTTCTTAGAGACCCATGAAGAGACTTAGATAACCATAAGAAAATATTATGAGTCTTCAAAACCCCAATGACATTATTAGACAAATCACTGAGGTAGAAAACTAACAAAGACATTCAGGACCTGTTCTTGACACTTGACCAAATGAACCTAGCAGATATCTACAGAACTCTCCACCCAAAAATAACAGAATATGCATTATTCTCATTCCCACATGGCGTATACTCTAAAATCAACCACACAATCAGCCATAAAACAACTCTCAGCAAATTCACAAAAACTGAAATCATACCAACCACATTGTCAGACACAGAGTAATAGAATATAGAAATCAATACTAAGAAAATCACTCAAAACTACAATTACGTGGAAATTAAACAACCCTTTCCTGAGTGAAACAACCCTTTCCTTTCCATTTTTTGTGTAAACAATGAAACTAAAGTAGAAATCAAGAAATTCTTAAAAACTGATGGGTCAAAAAATACAATGTACCAGAAACTGTGGGACACAAATAAAGCAGTGTTAAGAGAAAAATTTATAGCGCTAAACGCCCACATCAGAATGTTGGGAAAATCTCAAACTGAAACCTAACAACATATCTTGAGGAACTGGAGAAATAAGAGCAAATCAACTCACAAGCTATCAGAAGACAGGAAACAACCAAAATCAGAACTGAAGTGAGGTAAATTGAAATGCAAAAAACTGCACAAAAGATCAACAATAATTGATAGATCACTACCCCGACAAAGTAAAAAAAGATCCAAATAAACATAATCAGAAGTGACAAAGTGGGCTGGGTGCAGTGGCTCACACCTGTAATCCCAGCACTTTGGGAGGGCAAGGAAGAGCAGGTGGATCAACTAAGGTCAGGAGTTTGAGACCAACCTGGCCAAAAAGGTGAAACCCCTTCTCTATTAACAATCCAAAAATTAGCCAGGTGTGGTGGCATGCTCTGGTAATCTCAGCTACTCGGGAGGCTGAGGCAGGAGAATCGCTTGAACGTGGGAGGCAGAGGTTACAGTGAGCCAAGATCGCACCACTGCACTCCAGCCTGGGCAACAGAGTAAGATTCTGTCTCAAAAAAAAAAAAAGAAAAAGAAAAGAAAAGCCAAAGAGAAGTGACAAAGTGCAAAGCAGATATTACCACTGACTCCACAGAAATATAGAAAGCCCTCACAGACTATAATGAACAAGCATTTGTTCATTTCCATGAATAAATTCCTGGAATCATAAAACCTCCTAAGATTGAACCAGGAAGAAATTGAATCCCTGCACAGACCAATAACGAGTTCCAAATTTCATTCGTAATAAAAAGCCTACCAACCAGAAAAAAACCAGGACCAGATGGATTCAAAAGCTGAATTTTACCATGTGTATAAAGAAGAGTTGAAATCATTCCTAGAGATACTATTCCAAAAAATTGAAAAGGATGGACTCCTCCCTAACTCATTCTATGAGGTCAACATCATTCTGATACCAATTGTACCAGCAGTGACACAAAAACAACAAAAAAACTCAAGCTAATATCCTTGATAAACATAGATGCAAAAATCCTCAGCAAAATATTAGCAGGCCACATTCAGTAGCACATCAAAAAGTGAATCCAGCATGATAAAGTAGGTTTTATCCATGGGATGCAAGGTAGGTTCAAAATATACATATCAATAAATATGATTTATCACATAAACAGAACTAAAAACAAAAAACCACATAATTATCTCAATAGATTATATAAGTCTTATGATAAAATTCACCATCTCTTCATGCTAAAAGCCCTCAATAAATTAGGCACTGAAGGAACATACCTCAAAATTATAAGAGCAGTCCATGACAAACCTACAGCCAACATGACACTGAATAGGCAAAAGCTGGAAGCGCTCCCCTTGAGAACCAAAACATGATAGAATATCCACTCTTACCACTCTAATTCAACATAGCACTGAAAGTTCAGGCCACAGCAATTCAAGCAAGTGAAAGAAAGAAAAGGCATCCAAAAATAAAGATAGGAAGTCAAAACTCTCTCTGTTAGCAGACAATTTCATTATATACTTTATAATGTATATAAATACACCAACAATATCCAAGCTGACAGCCAAATCAAGAATGAAATCTCATTCAAAATAGCCACAAAAAGAATAAATTACCAGGAATACAGCTAACCAGGGAGGTGAAAGATCTCTATAACTAGAATTACAAAACACTGCTGAAGAAAAAAGATCAGAGATTACATAAACAAATGGAAAAACATTCCATGCTCATAAATAGGAAGAATCAATATTGTTTAAATGGCCATACTTCTCAAAGTAATTTACAGACTCAATGATATTCCTATCAAAATACCAATGACATTCTTCACCTAATTAGATTTTAAAATTCATATAAAAATAAAAGTTGCCCGAATAACCAAAACAAGTGTAAGCCAAAAAAAAAAAAAAAAAAAAAAAAAAAGCTGTAAGCATCATGTCACCCAAATTCAAACTATACTACAAGGCCACAGTAACCAAAACAGCATGGTACTTATACAAAGCACATAGACCAATGGAGCCAGAATAGAGAGCCCAGAAATAAAGCAGCATACATGTAATCATCTGATCTTCAACAAAGGTAACAAAAACAACCAATGGAGAATGGACTCCCTCTTCAATAAATGGTAATGGGATAACTGGCTAACCATATGCAGAAGACTGAAATTGGACCCCTTCCCTACCAAATACTTTGTGTTGTCACTTATAAGTTGGAGCTAAACATTGAGTACAAATCGACCCAAATAAGTGAATAGACACTGGGGCCAACTTGAAGATAGAGAGTGGGAGGAGAGTGAGCATTGACAAACTACCTATGAAGCACTATGCTTATTAGCCGGGTGATGGAATAATCAACAATCCCTGTAACATGCAGTTTACCTAAATGACAAAGCTGCCTATGTACCCTTGAACCTAAAATAAAAGTTTAAAAAGACAGGTTAGGTATCTTGTCCATGAATATGTAGCTGAATTAAGTAGCATGCTGAGATTCACACACACTGACCGGGTCTAGATCCAGAATCCATGTTAACAATACATGATACAGATCTAAGGTTTTACTGCATTAAAAATATGTCTACATCTCTGTACATAAAAACATACCTGTATTATTCATGCTAATAATGCAGGTAAATGTAACCTAAGCATCTCTCTACAATTAATCTGCCTTGGGTTATTTCTATACTAGCTGAGAAGGACAGTAAATCTTTAGCACAGTACCCCATAAAATTTTTAGTTACCATTGGGTTATTTATAGGTTCAGAACATATCTAAATCTGTATGTATGGTATACATTTAAGCAGACACAGTAAGCAAATTGGCCAGGGCAATAAACTGTCATTTACTCTTCAATACAATTGGATTTGCATCCAGAGTTAGTTACTTCATTTTTTTTTCTTGTAAATATATGTTTATCTTCATTATGGTTAAAATAACTGAGAAAATGCAGTATATTCAGATTTCACAAGTCATACTCAGCCTACTGAATAGCAAATATTAACATCCTAGACTTTTCCTTTCTGACACTTACCATTTATCAGTATCTAATTTTTATATAACTACATATATGTTAGCTGTTTCACCTTATGGAATGTAAGCTACTTGTGGCTAAGAGTTATATTCTTCTCATTCATCTTTAAAAATTAGCATAGACCCGTTTGTCTTCAATAAATGAATGCATGATGGAAAATAAAATAATTACTTCAAATTTATTTCTAATATCTTTAAATATGGATTTTTTTGCTTATTTTAAGGAACTCTGTTTGTACATGTTTTAATCATTTAGACCACACTGAACTTTGTTTCTTTTCCCTGTATATCAACACCATTTTCTTAAAGTAAGTTTTATAATTTTACTATTAAGTTACTGCCCATATTTAATAGGCTCTGAACACAATGTGTTCTCAGTAAGAGTTGTTGACAAATTCTTTAATCTACAGTTTCTAACTCCAAACAAGAGAGTATAATGAAGTAACACAATGCATTGCATTTGCTAGATGTCAGTGCTTAAAATTATGTGTTTCTTCTAATGATGCTATGTTGAGGAAATGGAATGTGAAGTGCCATTCTGAGCCTATAAATGTGGCATGTTGCATAATCAAAAAGAAAAAGTGGCAGTTGTTCAGAGATATGTTGGTGGAGCCTTACTGCAGAATTGTAACAAAGAATACTGAGGGCGAGCTAGCAGATATTTTAAGCCCTGTTCTCATCTCTTTCATTTGTTTCTTCTCCAGTTCTATGTTTTAATTAAAAGAGTAAATTGAAACAGCCTGAATCTTTTACCACCAATGTTCTCAAGGGATGTCACACAGCCAATTGGGTTAAGAATCAGGCATCTAGAATATAATTTTCAGCCAACTAGTCAATGACTAGCACTCTGGCCCTGGATAAATCTCATAATCCCTTTGTAGCAGTTTCAATACTGGCAAAGTGTAAAGGCAAGTGTATCAGCTCATAGTTCCACTCACTAGAAATAAAGTTTCTCTAAAACAGCACTCATGACTAGGGGCTATTAGATTCACTCCAAACCCAATACTACAAAGGAAAAAAGTTCACAAGTCTTGGTGATCTATTTCAAATCACTATGCAAGGAATTTACTAATATTTAAGTGCTAATAGGAACAGTTAATAAAAGAATAATAAACATGCAATATCAAACTAGCAATCAACTTATATGTATTTGTGGTGAATAGACTAACCATTTTGGCACACTGTCAAATTGACATTTTTCACTGTAATTTACTGATTTCTATGTAGGCAGTTTGTGATATATATAATTGCGGATAAGAATGTGGCTTTGAACATCACGTTGTATTTTGATTTAAATAGCTACGACCTTCATAAGACTGAATTATGGACACATTTTTCTTTAACGACTCAAGGATGGAAAAGAAAACAAAACTAACATTAAAAAAAAAACCACTATCAACAAACTAAAGGAAAAAAGTTACAACAAAGTATTCTCCCAAATTTATTGGCTTGGTGAAGCTGCACATGTAATGCTCAGAGAGTCAGAACTTATATTTTCAAAATAATCTACACATATATGCTCATGTTTAATATATTAATGTCATAACTTCTAATGAGTAAAACTACACTATTATTCCTGAGTGGATTTTCTTATCTTATGGGATGCATGTTGTAGAACTCTGAAGAACTGATACTAAAGCAAAGCTAGTTTGATTTCTATTCCTTTATCTCCTTTATCAATACTTAAAATAATTTTTACATACTGAATCATTTGTTTTCTTAGATAACATTATATTTTTGCCTATTTGTTTTAGTGAGGAATAAACATGTATCTCAACCAGAACACCTACATATGTTTAACATATTTCCATAATTTGTACAGGACTAGAAATAAAAAAGATGTAAGGGAGCATGGGCATTATAAAAAAGAAGAAAATAAAAAAGAAAGAAAGAAAAAAAACAGAAACAGAAAGAAAGAAGGAAAGAAAGGAAGCAAGCAATAGGGGATTGGGACAAGGAAATAAGTGAGAGGGAGAAATGTACAACAAGTAAAGGAGGCCATGATTTCTGTTATGGATTCAAAATTTGTGTCACTTGAAAATTCTAAAATTCTTGTGTTGAATCCTAATCCCCAGTGTGATGATATTTGGAGGTGAGATATTTAGTAGGTAACTAAATGTAGATAAGATCATGAAGGCTCAAGATGGGATTGCTATATTTATCAGAAAGAGAGAGAGAGAAGAGCTTTCTCTCTCCCTGCCACGTGAGGACTCAGTGAGAAGGTGCCTGTCTGCAAGCCAGAAGAGGAATCTCAAGAAATTGGCCAACACTTTATCTTGGACTTCCCATCCTCTAGAACTGTGAGAAATAAATGTCTGTAATTTAAGCCATAACATCTATTGCATTCTGTTGTAGCCATTCAAGCTGACTAAGACAATCCCTATCAAAAGAGATTTGCATTCGTAATTTAAATACTTTGAATTAAGTCATTGTCTAATCTAGACAGGGTCTCCAAATCTAGAGACATTCTCCTGAGAAACAATATATTTGTAAGTAAGTGAATGGATAAAGGAAAGGTGAAGAATTGATGCTTTAGTTGTAAGTCAAGGGTTTCAGCCGACTGTGAGATATCTTTATGTGTAAATTTTATCTCCACAGGTTTGACAACATAGACTCTAGGCTCTCACCACACAAACAAGTCAACTACTGCATATGCTAATTCTGTATATGCCACCTTTTGGGGGACTGTTCATATTCATCAAAGGGTAACTTGGGCACATCCTTCAAATTCTGTTAGATGCCACACTATAAAACAAACTTTCTCTGAACTCTCAGATTCAGATAAAGCATCCCACTTTCATGATTACCTAAAACATTGTACTTCTATGTGATATTATTTATTATAAAATGCTGTCAGTGTCTATTTACTTGTTTTTATCTCCGGTTCAATGGTAAGCTAAGTATTAATGTTACAAATAATGTTAGCAATAATATATATTTTATAATATGTAAAGCTCCTTATATGTGAAGCATAGTTCTTTATATAAATTATAGTGCTAAATGCTTTACATTAATTTAATCCTTACAATAACTTTTGAGGTTAGGTGATATTATCCTTTTTTCGTCATTAGATGGAGGGAGGCAAATAGAAATGGAAAGTTTTTCACAGGGCAGCTATTAAGTAATGTAACCAGAATTCACACACAGGAAAACTGGTACCAAAGACTTTGATCTTAACAATTATAATATTTTGTGTCATTATTTTTGCTCCAAGTTATAGCCCCAGTGTCTAGCACATAACTTGCACTCAATAGACATGGCTAAAAATTACTTGTTCTAATGTTTGCTAGTGCAAAACTATATGGAAAATGAATCTAGTATTTTCAGATATTTTAATTTTATTTTCAAAATCTTTATACTGACTCCAGTTGTTACATTAGCATTGGCCCTCATTCATTAACAATACATTATCTTCTCTCTGAATATATATTTCTGTTCTATTTACTTTGATAATTATCTAAACTAGAGGGCAAAGAAAAGAATATCAAAATGGCATCTTGTATAAAGAGGTATTCTGTATAATTGTGCCCATGATAACCTCCCTCTGAAAGAAAAGTCATATCACTTTATTTAAAGTTCATTCATCCATCTACTAATACATAAATCAATTTAAAATATTGAATTTCTTCCATAAACCAGGCACTGTGTTACACTTTGGAGGTATAATGGTGTGTTAGAAAAGCATAGTCTTTTCCCTTGTGAATCTTATTAGACTAGTGACACAAATAAGCATAAGTAATATTAAAAGATATACATGTTATTTCAAACCCTGGTAATACTCTGAAGAAAAATTACATGGAACAGAGGGAGCATAGGGCAGGAAACCCACCATTTGCTGTGAGACCAGGGAAAACGCTGATTCAGGAAGAAAAGTTAACAACAAAATCTTAAAAAAGGACTTGGGGTAAAGCCTGGAAACACATCACCAAGAGCCTTAGAGGTTGTTGGTTTTCATTCCAAGAAAACTAGAAGAGAAATAATTAGTTTTTAGTCTGAAGATGGCATGACAAAATTTGTATTTTGAAAGAACCATTCTTTCTCCAATGTGGAAAACTGATAATGTTGGAACATTTAGCATGAAAGTAAAGCTATTAAGCACCAATTGCTATTTCCAGGAGAGAGATATATTAGTCTGTTTTCCTGTTGCTGATAAAGACACCTGAGACTGGGCAATTTACAAAGGAAAAAGGTATAATGGAGAACTCACATATCCACATGGCTTGGGAAGCCTCATGATCATGGCAGAAGGCAAGGAGGAACAAGTCACATTTTACGTGGATGGTGGCAGGTGAAAAGAGAGCTTGTGCAGGCAAACTCCCCTTTTTAAAGCCATCAAATGTCATGATAACTTATTCACTATCTCCAGAACAGTTCAGGGAAGACCCACCGCCAGGATTCAGTTATCTCCCACTGGGTCCCTCACACAACTCTGGGAATTATGGGAGCTAAAAGATGAGATATGGATGAGGACACAAAGCCAAATTACATCAGGAGATTATGTAAATGCTAAGTTTATTGAACTTTTATTGACATTTTATAGGCATATCAAATTATGAATATACTTAATCTTCAAATAACTCTTATTATTAATTTAATTTTTATAGCTGAGGAAACTGAAGGAAGAGGTTATATAACTTGCCTGAGATCAATTTAGGCACCATGCAGTGGTGTCTCTTTCAAAACATTTTGGGTCAGTGTCTTCGGAGTAAACATAGAAACTAGGAATTTACTCAAGAGTACTTTACGAGGTAAAACACAGTAGACTCACAGTAATTTGGGGAAGCTCTGGAGGAAGACAGTGAGGAAGAAGTGTAAAGATGACTGTTAGGTTTCTTACTGATGCACTAGACATGAATGTTCCCATTCGCTAAGATGGGGAAGAAGACCCAATCTTCCAGAGAAAATAAAAACTTCATTTTGGGACATACTGTCTTTGGATGATTTTGAGATATTTAAGGTGGCATACCATGTGAGAATTGAGTGCAAATTTTTGTAAGTAATAGGTGAGATCTGTTTAAAAAAAAAAAAAAAAAAGAAGGCCCTAAGTAATTGGGGTACCAATTGGGAACCATCAGCAGCTGTCGCAAATGACAATGACAGAGGTGCGATTCTGTTGGAAACATGAATATCCAGAGAAGTGGAATTATGCCTACATCTTTAGAAGCTTCAAGATTTAAAGGTAAAGCTGTGTGCTTTAAAAGAAATGCATAAAGGATGGCTACAGTTATAGGGAAAATTCAGGTAATTATGGATAGAGTATGTTTCTATACAGAGGCACTAAAGTGTGTAGAATGAGGATATAAAATCAAGTTATGTAAGACAAAATACATTTTTAAATTTCAAGTAATAGAAGTATGCTGACCCTAATGAGAACCCTTTTACTGTAGTGACAGAGACAAAGGCAAGATAAGTTGGGAAGTTGGTGTCAGGTGAGAAAATTGAAACAGAGAATATGGGGGAACATTTAGGCTCTTAAGAGAATGGCCAGAATAACAGAAAGAGGGGGAATACATTTGAAGGCATATACTTGATTTTTGTTTTATTATAAAAAAGATATCCTGCATTTAAAATTTAAATAAGAAGAATCAAGTTTCCAAGGCAAGATAGAAGACAGAAGAGAGGCTGGGGAGTCAATATCGTTAAGGTTATTAGAGGGCTTGGAAAGATATGATCCTGTTGTTTATGAGGAAGGTCACTTCCTTGATCATAATGACATTAAATGATAACTATGCCTATGTTTAAAATATAGAGTGAATCACAAAAAAAATTTACTTTGGCCATCACAATTACATTAGGAAAGTGTTTTGCTTTTTAAATATAAATCAATTTTATAGCCTTGTCAAGTGAATATATTTGAACAAATATTTGGGAGAGCTCTACATTTGAAAAGTTATCTTCTAAATTGTATTGAAGACTAGCTTATTTCTGGTTCTAGATCTTTGAGGAATCGCCATACTGTCTTCCACAATGGTTAAACTAATTTACATTCCAACCAATATTGAAGAAGCTATCCTCTTTCTCCACACCCTCACTAGCATCTATTTTTTCTTGAATTTTTAATAGTTGCCATTCTGACTGTTGTGGACGGTATCTCATTGTGGTTTTGATTTGCACTTCTCTAATGAGCAGTGATGCTGAGCTTTTTTTCGTAAGTTTGTTGGCTTTTTTTCATGTTTGTTGACTAATTAAATTTTTTCTTTTGAGAAGTGTCTGCTCATATCCTTTGCCCACTTTTTGATGGGATTGGTTGTTTTTTTCTTGTAAGTTTGTTTAACTTCCTTGTAAATTCTGGATATTAGACTTTTGTCAGATGGGTAGATTGCAAAAATTTTCTCCCATTCTGCAGGTTGCCTGTTTTCTTTGATGTTAGTTTCTTCTGTTGAGCAGAAGCTCTTTAGTTTAATTAGATCCCATTTGTCAATTTTGGCTTTTGTTGCAATTGCTTTTGGCGTTTTCATCATGAAGTCTTTGCCCATGCCTATGTCCTGAATGGTATTGCCTAGGTTTTCTTCTACAGTTTTTATGGTTTTGGTTTTTACATTTAAGTCTATAATCCATCTTGAATCAATTTTCGTATAAGGTGTAAGAAAGGGGCCCAGTTTCAGTTTTCTGATACCATTTGACCCAGCAATCTCATTAGTGTGTATATACCTGATATGCTTTGACTGTGTCCCCACCCAAAACTCATCTTGAATTCCTGCATATGTGGGAGAGACCAGTAGGAGGTAACTGAATCATGGGGGCAAGTCTTTACTGTGCTGTTCTCATGATATTGAATAAGTCTCATGACATCTGATTGTTTTAAAAAGGGGAGTTTTCCTGCACAAGCTCTCTTCTCTTGTTTGCTGCCATGTGAGACATGCCTTTCACTTTCTGCCATGATTGTGAGGCCTCCACAGCCACGTGGAACTGTAAGCCCATTAAACCTCTTTCTTTTGTAAATTGCCCAATCTCAGGCATGTCTTTATCAGCAGTGTGAAACAGACTAATAAAGTAAATTGGTACCAGAAGAGTGGGGTGTTGCTGAAAAGATATCCAAAAATGTGGAAGCGACTTTGGAACTGGGTCACAGGCAGAGATTGGAACAGTTTGAAGGGCTCAGAAGAAGACAGGAAAATGTGGGAAAGTTTGGAACTTCCAAGAGACTCCTTAAAGGGCTTTGAACAAAATGCTGATAGTGATATGGACAATGAAATCCAGTTTGAGATGTCACAGATGGAGATGAGGAACTTGTTGGGAACTAGAGCAAAGGTGACTCTTGTTATGTTTTAGTGAAGAGACTGGCAGCATTTTGACACTGCCCTAGAGATCTGTATAACTTTGAACTTGAGAGAGATTATTAGGCTATCTGGCAGAAGAAATTTCTAAAGAGCAAAGCACTCAAGAGGTGACTTGTGTGTTGTTAAAGGCATTCAGTTTTAAAAGGGAAATAGAGCATAGAAGTTCAGAAAATGTGCAGCCTGACAATACAATAGAAAAGAAAATCTCATTTTCCAAGGAGAAATTTAAGCTGGCTGCAGAAATTTGCATAAGTAACGAGGAGCGGAATCTTCCCAAGATGATAGGGAAAATGTCTCTAGGGCATGTCGAAAATCTTCACAGCAGCCCCTCCCATTACAGACCTGGAGGCCTTGGAGGAAAAAATAGTATCCTTGGCTGGGCCCAGGGTCCCTGTGCTGTGTGCAGATTGGGGACTTGGTGCCCTGCATCCCAGCCACTCCAGCCATGGCTGAAAGGGGCCAATGTAGAGCTTGGGCCATGGCTTCACAGGATGCAAGCCCCAAGCCTTGGCAGCTTCCATGTGGTGTTGAACCTGAGAGTGCACAGAAGTCAAAAATTGAGATTTGGGAACCTCTGCCTAGATTTTCAGATGATGTATGGTAATGGCTGGATGCCCAGGCAGAAATTGGCTGCAGGGGTGAGGCCCTCATGAAGAACCTTTGTTAGGGAGTGTTAAAGGGAAATGTGGGGTTGAAGCCCCCATGCAGAGTCCCTACTGGGACACTGACTAGTGGAGCTGTGAGAAGAGGGCCACCATTTTCCAGCTCCCAGAATACGGCAGATCCACCAACAGCTTGCACCGTGCACCTGGAAAAGCCACAGACACTCCATGCCAGCTTGTGAAATCAGCCAGGAGGGGCTATATCCTTCAAAGTCACAGAGGTGGAGCTGCCCAAGACAATGGGAACCCACCACTTGCATCAGCATGACCCAAATGTGAGACATGCAATAAAAGGAAATCATTTGTTCTTTAAGATTTGCCTGCCCTGCTGGATTTCAGACTTGCTTGGGGCCTGTAATCCCTTTGTTTTGGCCAATTTCTCACATTTGAAATGGCTATATTTACCCAATGCCTATAC
Source organism: Homo sapiens (assembly GCF_000001405.40). Lineage (NCBI taxonomy): Eukaryota > Metazoa > Chordata > Mammalia > Primates > Hominidae > Homo > Homo sapiens. Next base: position 42,914,323 of record NC_000014.9, on the reverse strand, counting down.
CACCATTGAATCTAGGAAGTAACTAACTTGCTTTTGATTTTACGTGCTCATAGGCAAAATAGACTTGCCCTGTCTTGGATGAGACTTTGAATTGTGGACTTTTGAGTTAGTGATGAAATGAGTTAAGACTTTGGGGGACTGTTGGGGTGGCATGATTGGTTTTGAAATGTGAGGGCATGAGATTTGGGAGAGACCAGGGGTGGAATGATATGGTCTGGCTCTCTCCCCACCCAAATCTCATCTTGAATTTCCATGTGTTGTGGGAGGGACTCAGTAGGAGGTAATTGAATCATGGGGGCAGGTCTTTCTTCTGTTGTTCTTGTGGTAGTGAATAAGTGTCATGACAGCTGATCATTTTCAAAAGCGAAGTTTTCCTGCACAAGCTCTCTTCTCTTGTCTACTGCCATGTGACACATGCCTTTCACCTTCTGCCATGATTGTGAGGCCTCCACAGCCACATGAAACTACAAGTCCATTAAAGTCTTTCTTTTGTAAATTGCCGAATCTCTGGTATGTTTTTATCAGCAGCTTAAAAATGGACTAATACAATACCCAAAGGAATATAAATTATTCTACTATAAAGACACATGCACGTGTATATTTATGCAGCACTATTTACAACAGCCAAGTCATGTAACCAACCCAAATGCTCATAAATGATAGATTGGATAAAGAAAATGTGGTATATATACACCATGGAATCTATGCAGCCATAAAAAGTAATGGGATCATGTCCTTTGCAGAGACATGGATGAAGCTGGAAGCCAACATCATTAGCAAACTAAAACTAGAACAGGAAACCAAACACCATATGTTCTCACCTAAGTGGAAATTGAACAATGAGAACACATTGACACAGGGAGGGGAACAGCACACACCAGGGCCTGTTAGAGGGTGTGGGGGAGTGAGGGGAGGGAGCTTAGAGGACAATTCAATAGGTGCAGCAAACCACCATGGTGCACATATACCTATGTAAAATACCTGCACGTTCTGCCCATGTATGCTGGAACTTAAAGGAAAATTAAAAAAAAAAATCTAGCTTAGAGAGATGTGTAAGGAGACCAGTACTTGACGGACAAGAACATGAAGTTGTGGCATGAGTTCAGACAGTAAGACCTTTACAGCATACATCTAGCCTGCTCAAGTGACATTTTAAGAGCAAATTCAAATCACATTGATTTCCACCATGAAGAGTAAGCAAAATACTTGGAAATCAAAGCTTTGAAGTAGTCATGTTTCTTTGTCCTAAATAAAATAGCAGCCACTTTCATCTAGGGACTGTATATACAGATGTTGAAGATTTCTTGCACTAGAGCCTTGGCTAGAAGAATGGGGAGTTGCTTAATTTCATGCCTGCTATTTACAATGCTTTTGCTTGTTTGTTTGCTTATCATTTGCATATTTTTTTACGTATTGGTCTATAACACCCATATGAACTAGCTTCTCTTTAACTAATGGTCTTGTAATGAGTAGTCTGCTTGGTTGATCTATTTAAGATAGGCTGAGAAAAATTTGCATAAATGAGTTCCTTAATTCGTGTTGCTTAAAAATCCATTCAGCAATAATATAGCTTAGGAAGAATGGTACAAAATTTGTTCAATAGATTTCCTAACCTAAAATGAGAAGCCATGTGTTTTTACAAGATAAAAACAGATAGATACCTGGTATATTACCTATGAATCTAAAATAAAACTGAAGCACAAAATTTCTTATATAATGAACAAAATAAATAATGGAAAGACCCTAACAAACTAGATTTCCTTGCAATTTTATAAATATTGTTGGTGTCTGATGACATTGCAACTGATAATAAAATATGTTTTAAAGGTTCATATAAAACTTTATTATTTTGATTTAAAAATATACAAATGGACTTTTTTCACCAAGATTGTTATAAGCAAAAAAGGCCTTTAAATATAGATCACAAAATAATAGTTCTCTGGAAAAATACTCGCAGAAAACACATGTACAATGAATGTTCTACTATTTGAATTTTTTCTATTTCTTTAGAAATGACCAAGAGATTCAGTATGCCTACAAAATGTTTTCAGTATTGAATTCTTATATTTTTAGTTTATTTTTCTATTGAATACATGACAAGTAATGCTGATTTGATAGACTTTTTGAAGCTTTTCTAAATATTTCCATAATGATTTATGATTTATTGGAAACACGCTTTGTTTTCCAAATCATAATTCATCTAGTATTTAATAACATGATTTTTCTAGTATTTGAGGAAATAACTATCAAAGTGAAATTAACAAATACAGATTGAAAGAAAACATATAGAAAATTCACATTGCAGCTAATGGGATTATAAGAGAGTATGAGGTAGCCCACTACATGTGGGTCATATGAGTCTTTGTGTTTCATAAACTGATTCAGTATTTTTTTAAATTTCAACTTTTATATTAGATATAAAGTATACATGGCCAGGTTTGTTACATGAGTATATTGCACCCTGGTGGTGAGCATAGCTCACCAGATAGATAGCTTTTCAACACACACCCCACTCTGTCCTTCCCTACTCTAGTAGGCTGCAGTACTTATTGTTCCTATGTTTATGTTCATATGTGCTCAATGTTTAGTTCCCACTTAAAAGTGAGAGCATACAATATTTAGTTTTCTGTCTCTAAGTTAATTTGCTTAGGACTTGGCCTCCAGCTCCATCTATGTTGTGGCAAAGAATATATCATTCTTTTTATGGCTGGGTAGTATTGCATGGTGTATATGGGCCATGTTACCTTTGTCTGACCCACCATTGATAAGCACTATAAGCACTTAGGTTGATGTCATATCCTTGGTATTGTGAATGGCACCACAATGAACATATGAGTGCATATATCTTTTTGGTATAATGATCTATTTTCTTTTTTATTGCCACACTATTGAAAAGACTCAGTATGTTTAAATAAGAAACAGGAGTGCCTGAATCCAGTAAGTCAGTCTCATGGAAAAATTTATTCTTCCACACATTAGCAAGTAAGTTTATTAATAATAAATGCCCTGCAAAGGCTGTAAAAGTATGTAGATTAGGAAAAGGAAGAGTTGTGAATACTTATTGACAGTGAAACTTCTCATGAATGTTTTGGTAAGATCCAATGTGCATTTTTATCAATGTAAAATAATTAAGACATGCTAATATCCATTGCTAATAAAAAGAGAAGGTAAACTCAATAACATAAGTATCAAACAGTACTTATGATTTCTCTTGGCATCAAATAGATTAACATATTCACCCACTATTTTAAAGTGATATCTAAATTTCTTTAACAATATGGAGCGATGTAAGATCTTTGATTTCAAAATATTGCTATATTTAGTATTTAGAAAATCAGATAAAAAATAAAAGTAGAGGAGAAAGAAAGTTAAACATGTATTATTATGTAATCCAGACAAAGAGTATATTTGGTTTTTTAAAGGATTTTTCAATCTATACATCTGACAAAGGTCTAATATCCAGAGTCTACAAGAAACTTAAATAAAGTTACAAGAAAAAGAAAACAACTAACTCCATTATAAAGTGGGCAAAGAACATGAACAGACACTTCTCAAAAGAAGACATGCATTTGGCTAACAAACATATGAAAAAAAATCTCAGCATCACTGATAATTAGAGAAATGCAAATCAAAACCACGATGAGATACAATATCATGCCAGGCAGAATGATGATTATTAAAAAGTCAAAAAACAATAGACGCTGGCTAGGTTGTGGAGAAAAAGCACAATTTCACACTTTTGGTTGGAGTGTAAATTAGTTCAACTGCTTTGTAAGACAATGTGGCAATTTCTCAGAGATCTAGAGGCAGATATATCATATGACCCAGCAATCTCCTTACTGGGTATATACCTAAAGGAATATAAATCATTCTATTTGAAGATACATGCACATGTATGTTCACTGCCACACTAGTCACAATAGCAAAGACATAGAATCAACTCAAATGTCCATCAATGATAGACTGGATATAGAAAATGTAGTACATATACACCATGGAATACTATGCAGACATAAAATAGAAACCAAACACCACATGGTATCGCTTATAAGTCGGGGCGGAATGATGAGAACACGTGGACACATGGTGGGGAACAACTCATACTGGGCCCCATGGGGTAGGGGGAGGGGGAGGGGAAGAATCAGGAAGAATACCTAATGGATGCTGGGCTTAATACCTAGGTGATGGGATAATATGTGCAACAAACCACTATGACACATATTTACCTATGTAACAAACCTGCATATTCTGCACATGTGCTTCTGAACTTAAAATTAAAATTGAAGATGAAAGAAGGAAAATAAATGGTTTTGACAGAATGGCTAAATACATACAACTGACATATCTTAGAATTATTAAAATGTTGACTATAATCTTAGAAGTGACATTATGAAAAATTTATTCAAATTGGTTGAGACATGAACACAGTCACAAAGACTGACTGAAAAATGACACAATGTTTAACGATAAATGGCACTGTGTCAAAGTGTCAAATTTATGTGAAGGCCTCCAATTGAGAGCCCACAGAATCTGTAATATTTTCAGATATACTGAAAATTTTCATGTGATGCAGAAGAGAAGAAACAAAAATAATTACAAAGAAATAAACTGCTAACTTTGTGGTTTTTAGTATACTAAAAATTCACAAATCATTTGGATATATTGAGGGTTGTATTATTTTATTTACCAGTTTTCTCTTTCTTATCTTCATCTTCTTAGACACTTAAACACATCAGCAAACTCTTCACCAATTTAAATTTTCATTAAAATGTACAAAGAGAATGTTACAATAACTTGACCTCACAACTTATGTTTTTACACTTAAATGATAACATTGATTTAAAAGTACTATGCTTTGTATTCTTTTCATTCATTTTGTATTAGTGGGTAGGAGAAGAAACATATCACAGAACAAATATGTTATTATAAACCTACAGTTATGTTTATGAAATATACTATCCTTGAATATTTATAAATTGGTTATTATATCTAAAATCTATGACTATTAGCAAAATAACAATCTAAAAGAAAAAAAGCTCAAGTTATTCATTAGCAAAAAATTGTTAAGAAACAAAAGGATGTTCCCTTTGTTCTTCCTAATATTATTTTTCTTTTACATTTTTTATTTAAAAATATTACTGGAAATAAGTTTCTTGCATTTTTTAAAGAGGGTTTTTTTTTAACTCTCTCTCAAACTCTCGTATTTTTTCAATTTCATGATTTCTGTCCTAATTTTTATATCTTTTTTACACCTCAGCTAGTTAATTCAGATTTATCTTGTTGTACTTTTATTGACTTCCTCTGTAGAATATACTATACCTTTATTTTAATATAGAATTTATAAAAATAAATTTAAATTATCAGTAATATCTCTAATTACTACTCTAGCTTTATTCCACCTGCTTTGACACATAGTATTAATACCATTCAGTTTTAATTTTTTTTTTTTGAGACGGAGTCTCACTCTTCCGCCGAGACTGGAGTGCAGTGGCGCGATCTCAGTTCACTGCAACGTCCCCCTCCTGGGTTCAAGCCATTCTCTTGTCTCAGCCTTCCAAGTAGCTGGGATTACAGTTGTGCGCCACCACACCCAGCAAATTTTTGTATTCTTAGTAGAGACGGGGTTTCACCATGTTGGTCAGACTGGTCTCAAACTCTTGACCTCTTGATCTGCCTTCCTCGGTCTCCCAAAGTGCTGGGATGCAGGTGTGAGCCACCATGCCTGGCCTCAGTTTTAAATTTATAAAAATTTCTAGTGTGATTCCCTTTCTATGCCTAAATAATATTGAGCTTCATTTAAAAATTAAAAAAAAATAAACGTGTATTATATATATATACATATATAATTTCTAATTTGGTTAAAATATTGTTTTCAAAAATAGCATGCGTTTTACTGATATTATTCTTTAAAGTTTATTGAAACTTCTTTGTGTCTGTATTGTCAAATTAATTAAAGGTTTTTATGTACATGATATGGTTTGGCTGTGTCCCCAGCCAAATCTTATCTCAAATTTTAATCTGAATTGTAATCCCCACATGTTGGGGGAGGGACCTGGAGAGAGGTGACTGGATCATGGGGGCGAATTCCCCCATGCTGTTATCATGATAGTGAGTGAGTTCTCACGAGATCTGATGGTTTTATAAGGGATTCTTCCTCCTTTTTGCACTCTCTCTCTCTGTCTCACACCTGCCGCCATGTAAGAAGTGCCTGCTTCCCCTTCTGCTATGATGGTAAGTTTCCCGAGGCTTCCCCAGCCATGTGGAACTGTCAGTTAATTAAACCTCTTTTCTTTGCAAATTACCCAGTCTTTGGCAGTTCTTTATAGCAGTGTAGCAGTGTGAGAACGGACTAATACAGGAAACACAACAATGCACTTTTTAAATTTTGTATAAATATGTATTCAGTTTGTTAATTTTTTATTTGCATAATCTTGATTACTAACATTTTCTGCTTGACCTATACATAGCTATTTGTTAATATTTTCATAATTAATTTCATTAATGATTAATGCAATAACATAAATATTTATTTAATTGATTTACCATTATGTATTTATTTCCTTTTTCTTTTTAAGTTTCAATGTATTCCTTTTGTTCCCATTGTTAGTTTAAAATTTTATGATGGCAAGAAAAGAACTGGAATGGGCTTGTAATCTTTCTTTTGAACAGGGACAGCTGAGGAGTAAAAAGTGACTCAGTCAAATCCCTTTTAAACATATTAATAACCAGACCTTTTCTAAAAATACTTAGAATGCTTACTAGAAAAATACTCATGCATGTATCTTGCCTATGAATTGTGAGCACGAGATACCTGTTCTCTCTAGGCCACTTATTGTAAACACAACAAAGCAAAACAAAACTTCGATTCATAAATGTATAGGGGTTTATGATGGTTGGATGGAAAATGAATGAAAATAATGTAAGCTTTATAAGCAATGGAATATAAAATAAATATGCTCCATACTCAAATGGTACCCTTTATAAGTGATGGCTCCACATGAATTGGTTTGAATGAACCTTGCATGTCGAATCCAATTTGAAATGAATTCCAATTTTGAACCAGGGTCTCTGGGAATCAGATTCGACAATCTGACCTTTTGTGTTACTACATACCCTTATTAACATTTTTGGTAAAATGTATTTTCCAAATATACTTTATAATATAATACAGCATATGCTTTTCAACTATGATAGGAACATTTCAAAAACAAATCTTCCTTTCCAGTTGGATGCTTCCTCAACAAGGCAGTTTAATGTATTTTACTTTCTTACTCTCCAACCTATTCACCTCCCGGCCACTCTCTCCTCCTTCCACCAATATGTTTTGTGTAATTGATTTAAATATTTGGTGTTAGAAAATATTTGAGACTCATTACACATATCTAATCATATTTAAATTATTTGAAACAATAAAAATGTGCAATGTATTTCCACTTTTTTTTTTATAATTTTCCTTTATCTCAATCTTTTGTTTAGAATATGTTAGAATATATAGTTCTTTCAAATACAGGAGGGGAGTACTGTTGGTATTTTTACATGCCTTCATTTTTTTTTGACTTGACAGAGAAATTATTTCAAGATTGGCTATTGCTTTCAGAATTCTACTCCCCTAACCTATTATATCATAATTTATTTGTTCACATTGATGAAAATAAGAAATTCAATTTCAACAGGATTTTCTTTCTTCTAAATCTATCATTTTTCTTTTGTCTAGAATATTTTACATTCTTAAAGTATTTCTTAATGCTTAAATTTATAATTTTTACTAAGATATTGATGTGTGGGTGTTTAATAACTTACTATAGGATTCTAGAAAGCTATAAAATCTGCAAATCAAGCCATTCTTCATCTCAGATAAATATTCTATTGTTTGCAGATAGTTATTTTCATCATGTTTTGTTTTTCTTTGAGAATTCCTATTATTTGCATTATAGATCAGATCCATCTTCCAAGTCTTTCACATAATTTTCTATTTTTCTCAATATTACCAAATATTTTTTTCTGTTTTTATTCTAATTGGGAATCCAGCAGTTCCATTACTCAGTATATAGGCAGCTTTTCTGGTCAATATTGACAAGTATTTTTATGTTTTATTTAAAATTTTCTCAGAGGTCTAATACAAATTTTATAGATTTCATATTTTCGACTTCCTTCAATATAATTATCTACTACTCCCTTTAATAAATACTCACTATGACTTTCTTTTCATCAAATTTGTGACTAATTTTAAGAGAGTTGTTATTTTATGGTATCTCAGTGTTTGCAAAGATGTAGGTATTAAAATCTTCCTAATCAAAATTGTAAGTGTTCAAAAACAGAAACACAGTTTCTAGTTTTCTGTGCTTATTAAGAAATTTGTATCCTGTTTTGAGAAATAAATCTGTTCTGCATTTAGCTCCCTAGAGTCTTAGATTCATTATTCCAATCAAGAAGTTTGGGCACAAATTCTTCTAACAGAAAGCTGCTATACAAGTGAAGCCAGAAGATCTGGATGACTTTTCTAGGTACACAGAAGGCAACTTAATTCTTCTTTTGGCCTTTGGAAGACTTATGTGTATTGAAAACTTTAAAAAAAAAATACTATATTTTCTTATCAGAGCTGAGAAGCAAAATAATAAAACCCAAAAAATATTTAGCCTCTTGTACGGCATTAAGAAGAAATATGCTTCATATGTCTTCTCTGTCCTTGAGAGTCTGCAGAATGTGGTGCTGAAATAATATGGAGTTTAGATTGAGATATTGAAGATTATGAGGATTCTGTTTTGCCCTGCATGGGTTTTGAGTATACATTTTTGCCTTCTTTCCATACTGTCCCTTTGGCTGCATAGATTTCAAGCCTTTCAAATATCTTAATAGAGAGAGTGATTGAAAGATTGAAGAAGGCCTCTTTTGTATAGTAGTCATTTAACTCCTAAATATCGAGCGAGATGGGATTTTTTGGCTCTTTAAAGTCTGTATTATAGCTCTCCTGCCTCTAATGTAGCCCAAGAAAACAATAAGTGTCCTGAAGAGAAAGCTTGCCAGGTTTTTGGGCCTCTTCATATTTCTCATATGTTAGACTATGTGACAAATCTGTTATTTTTGCCTTTCCTTTTTATAATACAATATGCCTTTTTCTTATCTCTAGCTAATTTTAAATTATTTTATTTCTTTTTTTCAAAAAAAAAAAAAAAAGATTAGGTGTGTTAAGGAATAAATTTTCCTCCATCACAAGCTTAAATGTTGACTTCTAACTCTCAGTACCCTAGAAGGTGACCTTATTTGGAGACAATATCTTTAAGCAGGTAATTAAATTCAAATGAGGTCATCAGGATGGGTGTAATCCAATATGACTAGTGTTCCTATAAGAAGAGAAAACTGAGACCAAGACCCCACGTACAGGGAAAAGACAATGTGAAGACACAGGGAGAAAATGCCCATCTGCAAGCCTGGATCAGAGTCTCATCACAGCCCTCAGAAAAGGAACCAATCCTGCTGAAACTTCATTGTTGGGTTTCTAGTGTTCAGAACTGTGAGAAGACAAATTTTTTTATAGCCACCCAGTCTGTGGTATTTTGTTATGACAGTTCTCACAAATTAATACAAAGTATTTTGATGCAATTTTCTTCCTGTGTATTTTGCATGAGTTTTGTTAAGTGTCTTGGATATTTGTTTGTATTTTTCACCAAATTTGCAAATATTTGGCCATTGCTTTTTTTTTTCTATATGTTTGTCCATACTGGCATGTAAGGATCTTGGGAGTTGTTATAGAATGAATGGTTTTGTCACCCTTCAAATTCATATATATCAGCCTAATCTCCAATGTGATGGCATTTGAAAGTGGGGCCTTTGGAAAATAATTAAGACATGTGAGTGGAGCTCTCCTGAATGGAGTTAGTGCTTTTATAAGAGACAGATGAGAGATGAACTCTGCCTTGGTTACTTAAAGATATAGGCAGAAGGCTGCTGTATACAAGCAAGGAAGCAGGTCTTCACCAGACCCTAGATCTGTTGACACTTTGATCTTGAATTTTTTAGCCTCTAGAACTGAGAGAAATAAGTGTTTGTTGTTCTTAAGCTACCTAGTCTATGATTTCTTTTAATAGTGATACAAATTGACTGAGATAGAAATTGTCACTCCAGTCTTCACTAGAAGAGAATAGCTAACTGAATTGAAAACGTTGACTCTTCTTAGAGTCATGAGTATGGAGCTCACAGGGAAAACAGCTGCCTCCAAAAATGGAGACACAAACAGGCAGATAGGGAGAATCACGGAGCTTGGAAAAAGAAACCTTCATTGGAATTATAACAGAGGAGGAAAACTTAAAGTATTGCTGAGGGTCAGTGTGTTAGGCTCTTTTTGTTTTGCTATAAAGAAATACCTGAGATTGGGTAATTTATAAAGAAAAGAGGTTGGCTTATGGTTCTGCAGACAGTACAAGAAGTGCGGTGCCAGCATCTACTTCTGGTGAAGAACTCAGAAAGTCCAATCATGGCAGAAGGCACGGGGAGTCAGTCTGTCACATGGTGAGAGTGGGAGCAAGAAGTGGGGAGGTGCCATACACATTGAAACAGCCAGGTCTCACATAAACTCTGAGTAAGAATTCACTTATCACCAAGGGGATGGTGCTAAACCATTCATGAGAAATCCACCCCCATGATTCAATCACCTCCATCAGGCCCCACCTCCAACACTGAGGATGACATTTCAACATAAGATTTAGAGAAGACAAGCATCCAGACTACACACTCAGTGTAGACAAGTTTGAGTATTGAAAATTCCCAGACTCTGCAGTATTGGAGAATTCCCTTGCAGTTGTGAGTTCTACCTGCAGAAGCCCTACGTGTTCCCACAGTGAAGATCAGGAAAAAATCCTCTCCTGCTTCCAATTACCAGAGAGAAAAGGTAGCCATTTTGGAATATGCCCTTAGTGTTATATTTTATTCTCCTTAAGATGGCCAGCCCTCAACGGGAACTATTTTATGAGTGCAAATTGGCTTGGGCTTTATCAGTATGTGACTTGGGGGAAGGAAAAACCCCAACTACAACCCTCTCCTTTTTGTCTCACTTAAGGAGGCATGGAGTACAAAACTGAGAAACACTTGTGAAGGTCATAGTCTAGGGACACAGGCTCCCTGGAAGACTGAGGACTAATGATAGAATTATGAAATGCTTCCCCATCCCTTAACCTTACCCCAACATCATTAGGGTACCTGTATAATAATTGGGATTATGCACTGGGCACGGTGGCTCATGCCTGTAATCCCAGCACTTTGGGAGGCCGGGGTGGGTGGATCATGATGTCAAGAGATCGAGACTATCCTGGCCAACGTGGTGAAACCCCATCTCTACTAAAAATACAAAAATTAGCTGGGTGTGGTGGTGCACACCTGTAGTCCCAGCTACTCAGGAGGCTGAGGCAGGAGGATTGCTTGAACCTGATGCAGGAGGCAGAGGTTGCAGTGAGCTAAGATTGTGCCACTGCACTCCAGCCTGGTGACAGAAAGAGACTCTGTCTCAAAAAAAAAAAAAAAAAAAAAAAAAAAAAAAAACAGGATTATGACTAAAATAACACATCTCAGATTTTATTTAAGAAGTCTTTAGGGAAATCCAAAGACAACAAGAGGGGACAAAATAAGACATTAGAGGACATTTTAGCTTCTGACACTTGCAGCTATAACAATCAGTAAACAGCCTAACTCCTAGCCAGATAAATGTAAAAATTCACATTAAGGCTGATTTACTTTAATTACTTTACCCAGTCTTTCAAATTTCAAATTCAGCTTTCAAAAAATGGCAGAACATGCTAAAAGACAAAATACACACTTTGAAGATACAGAAATAATATCAGAATCAGATTTGAATATGGCAGAAATATTGAAGTTATTAGACCTCAAACATAAAATACATATGATTAATATGTTTAGAGCTGATGAATAAAGTGGACAACAAGCAAGAACATATGGGTAATTTAAACATAAAGACGGAATCTCTAAAAAGGAGTCAAAAGGCGTGCAGGAAAGCAAAAGCAGAGTAATAGAAATGAAGAAGGCCTTTAATGGGCTCCTCAATGTGCTAGATAATGTGAAGTGAAGAATCAGTGAGCTTAAAGAAATGTCAACACAAATTTTCCAACACTGAAACTCAGAGAAAACAAAAACAAAACAGGAAAAAGATGAAACAGAATATCCAAGAACACGAACAAGATGAAACAGAATATCCGAGAACAATGTGGCAATTAGAAAATATGTAAATATATGTAATGGGAATACCAGAAGGAGGAGAAAGAAGATAACAGAAGAAACATTTGAACAATAGTGACTTCGAAATTTTCAAAATTAATAATAGAAACCAAGGCACAAATTCAGAAAACTCAGAGAATGCAAAACAGAATAAACACACACACACACACACACACACACACACACACACAAATCTACATTTAGGCATATTGTATTCAACCTTAAAAAATAAGTGAATAAAAACATTTCAAAGACAAGCAAAAAATCTTGACAGATGCCAGCGGGGAGAAAACAAGCAAACATACATACAATTCTGCTTTACAGAGAAATAAAAATTATTATTACATGAGAAATCTCTTCAGAAACCATGCAAGCAAGAAGAGAGTGGAGTAAAATATTCAAAGAAAAAAATGTTTTTGGTATTCTCTTGCATTTATCTCCTTTGAGGACTGTAATTACACATATATTTGGTTACCTGACGTTTTCTGCAAATTCATGGATGCTTTATAAAAATATTTAATTATTTTTTCTGTGTTTTATTTTGCACATTTTCTGCTACTATATGTATTAGTCTTTATATTTGGCCAGTTTCTATGTATGGATTGTTTCTATTGATATATTTACTGATCTTTTCCTTCTGCAATTTCTTCTGAAATGCTCATTTTTTCTTTTAGCTCAAGAGTCAGTAAATTACAGCCAGCACCCAAGACCAAAATAATACTACTTTTGTGAATACATTTATACTTAAATATAGCCTTATCTATTCATTAACATATTATTTATGGCTGCTTTCACATTATAATTTCAACAAAACTATGGCCAACAAACTTAAAATATTTACTATACAGCTTTAAAACAACTTTCCTGACCCTCATTCTAGTTAAACTTTTAGAATAGAGTAGTAATGGCTATTTTAATTTCCTCTCTCTCTTTTTTTTTTTTTTTTTTTTTTTTTTTTTTTTGAGAGACGGAGTCTCTCTCTGTCGCCCAGGCTGGAGCGCAGTGGCATGATCTCGGCTCACTGCAAGCTCCACCTCCCAAGTTCACACCATTCTCCTGCCTCAGCCTTCCAAGTAGCTGGGAGTACAGGCGCCCACCACCACGCCTGGCAAAGTTTTTGTATTTTTTAGTAGAGACGGGGTTTCACCGTGTTAGCCAGGATGGTCTCAATCTCCTGACCTTGTGATTCACCCGCCTTGGCCTCCCAAAGTGCTGGGATTACAGACGTGAGCCACCGCGCCCAGCCTCCTCTCCCTTAAATATATAACCAGTCATTTTGGATTCCATTTTGATTGATTGACTTTTCTCCTCATTATGTGTTGTATTTCCCTGCTTTCTTGTATGTCTGAAAATTTTTCATTAAATATCAGACATTGTGAGTTTATTGAATATGAGACCTTGTAAAGTACAGGATCCTTTTGCCTTTAAAATATTCTGTAAAACTCTGTTCTGGGACATAATTAGATTACTTAGACACAGTTGATGTGTTCAGTTATTTTAAGCTTTTCTTTTTTGGTGGGAACAGAGTGTGATTTATACTAGGTTAATTTTTTCCACAATTGAGGCAAGAATCTTGTTATTCTAACTGACTTACCATAGACTATGAGATTTTCTCATCTGGCTTTTGCTAACAAACATTTTCCAGGTCCTTATCTAAGCTCCAGGACCTGTAATTTTATTCCCACTTTGGCTCTTTTCTTGATTCAAGTAGTTTCTTTACAAGCATATTGAAGACTCAACTGAATATTCAAGAGTGACCTTCTGAAATTGTACTAATAAAATTAATAAAATTAGTTGCCAGGTGTTTTTAACAAAAGCGTAAGCTTAGGACAGATTTACAGCTCAACATTAACCATTAATCAGCTTGTCTTTTAGCCCAATTCCTTATATTTCTTTACTGCTTCTAAATCACATAGCTCAAGGTACAAACTTCCTGTAATTGTTTCTATACATATCTTTAATGTTGAGAAACATTATGTTTTTCATTTAAGATAATTTTTAGAGTCTGCATTCTGGTGAAACAACCAATCATAGGGATGTAGAAACTAAACTATTTGGTTGAAGAGTTGAAGGCAATTTCCACATCCTTATTTCATACCCTGGATCTGCCCAATCATTAACCTCAACTCTCCAGCCCTATGCTTGCCATCATTCCCTTAAAAACCCTAGGTCAGTACACCTTGTGTAGATAGATTTAAGTGTTCCTATAATCTCCTCTTTTGGCTTCCACAAAATTATTAAACTCTTTCTCTGCTGCAACTCCTGATGTGTTGGTGTGTAGGTATGTGTATCATTCTGTTTTCACACTGCTATAAAGACATTACCTGAGACTGGGTAATTTATGAAAAAAGAGGTTTAATTGACTTACAGCTCTGCATGGCTGGGGAGTCCTCATGGTAGAAGGCAAAGGAGAAGTAAGACACATCTTACATGGTGTCAGGAGAGACTCAAACTCAGCATCTTGAGCTTAGAAATTCAGTACAAGGATTTCATAATATAATTGGAAGTATTAACATGAGAATAGACCAAGCTGAGGAAAGAATTTCAGACCTCAAAGATGTAAAAAGATCAAATCTATGACTCAAAGGCCTTCCTAAGAAGGAATAGTAAATGTAAATAAACCACTTGGAAAAAAAGTTTCAGGATATAATACATGAAAAATTTCCTAATTGAACCAGAGAGGTGGATTTGCAAATGAAATACAGCCTGATACTATATAAGACAACTATCCCAAGGCATACAGTTACCAGATGCACCAAGGTCAATGCACAATTTAAAAAAATCTTTTTTATTTTATTTTATTTTATTTTTGAGACGGAGTCTCACTCTGTCGCCCAGGCTGGAGTGCAGTGGCACAATCTTCGCTCACTGCAAGTTCCACCTCCTGCGTTCACGCCATTCTCCTGCCTCAGCCTCCCGAGTAGCTGGGAATACAGGCACCCACCACCACGCCCGTCTAATTTTTTGTATTTTTAGTAGAGACGGGGTTTCACCGTGTTAGCCAGGATGGTCTTGATCTCCTGACCTCATGATCCGCCTGCCTCGGCCTCCTAAAGTGCTGGGATTACAGGTGTGAGCCACTGCGTCTGGCTAAAAAAAATCTTGAAAGCAGCTAGAAAGAAGGGGCAGGTTACCTACAGAGGAAAACTCATTAGGAGCAGATGTCTCAGCAGAAACCTTACAAGCCAGAAGACATTGGGAGACCTATTTTCTGTATCCTTTAAAAACGAAATTTTAACCAAGAGTTTTATATCCTGCCAAACTAAGCTACATAGGTGGAGGAAAAATAAAATCCTTTGACAAGCAAATGCTGAAGGAATATGTTTAAACTAGACCAGCCATAGCAGAAGTCCTTAAAGGAATACTAAACAGGGATTCAAAGGAATGACACCCATTACCACAAAAGCACACTTAAGCACAGAGCCCACAGACGCTATAAAGCAACTAAACAAATTTATGTAACAGCCAGCTAATAACACCATGATCAGATCAATATCACACATATCAGTACTAACCTTTAACGTAAATTGGCAAAATGCCCCACTTGAAGACACAGAATGGAAGGCTGAATAAAGAGACAAGACTCTACTATATATTGTCATCAAGAGACCCATCTCATATGTAACAATACAAGACCCTCAAAGTAAAAGGGTGGAGTAAAATCTACCATGCAAGCAGAAACAAAAAGAGCAGGAGTCTATATCCTTACATCAGATAGGACAGACTTTAAACCAATACAAATTAAAGACAATAGAGGTCATTTCATAATCATAAAGGGTGCAATCCAAGAAGAAGAGTTAACTATCCTAAATATATACTCATTCAACATTGGTGCACCCAGATTTATAAAACATGTTCTTTTGGCCTATGAAAAGATTTCCTTGACCACACAATAATAGTGGGTCACCCCAACACCACACTAACAGCATTAGACAAATCAATGAGGTAGATTTAACACTTGACCGATTGGACCTAATAAAAATTTACCAAACATTTCACCCTACCACCAAAGAATATGCATTGTTCTCATGTGCAGGATGGAACATTGTTCTAATAGTGACCACATGCTCAGTAATAAAACCATCTCGATATTTTCAAAAAATCGTACCAAGCACTCTCAGACCACAGTGCAATAAAATACCAAGAAGACCACTCAAAACTACAGAAACCCATGGAAATTGAACAAATTACTCCTGAATAACTTCTGGGTAAATATTGAAATTAAGGCAGAAATTTAAAAACAATGAAATTAATAGAAATAGGGACACAACTTACCAAAATCTCTATGGTGCAGAAAAAGCAGTATTAAAAGGAAAGTTTATAGCCATATAATGTCTTCATCAAGAAGTTGGAAAGTCTGACATTAACAATCTTACTTTCCACCTAAAGAACTAAAGAAAAAAAAAGGAACAAACCAACCCCAAAGCTGGAAGAAGAAAGGAAATAACTAAGATTTGAGAATAATTGAATGAAATTGAAATGTAAAAGTTTATACAAAAGATCAATGAAATGAAGAGTTGGCTTTTGAAAAATAAGATTGATTGGCTGCTAGCTAGATTAACAAAGAAAAAGAAGGAAATCCAAATAATCACAATCACAAATGACAAAGGTGATATTAACAGTGATCCTACAAAAATATGAAAGATTCTCAAAGACTACTATGAAAAACTCTGTGAACAAATTAGAAAATTTAGTGGAAATGAATAAAGTCCTGGAAGCATACAGTCTGCCAGGATTGAATCAGGAAGAGATTGAAACTGAACAGACAAACATGAACTGCTGAAATTGAATCATTAATAAAGAATCAGATGGATTCATAGATGAGATGAATTCTACCAGATTTACAAAGAGCTGATACCCATCCTACTAATATTATTCCAATAAATCGAGGAGAGGCTCCCTCTTAACTCATTCTATGAAGCTAGCCTCAGCCTTTTACCATATCTGGCAGACACAGAATGAAGAAAATAAACTTTAGAACAATATCATTCATGACACAAAAATCCTAAATAAAATACTAACACATTGAATCCAGCGGCATATCAAAAAGCTAATACACCATAATCAAGTAGTCTGTGTTCCTCCGATGCAAGGCTTGTTCAACATATTTAAATCAATATATGTGATTCACCACATAAACAAAAGAAAAAGCAAAAACCATATGATTATCTCTATAGACACAGAGAAAGCATTCGATAAGTTCCAACATCTCTTAATGATAAAAAACTTCAAAGGACTAGGCATCAAAAAAAATACCTCAAAACCATAAGAGCCAGCTTGGATAAACCCACAGCAAACAACACAATGAAAGAGCAAAAGCTTAAGAAGTTTCCCTTGAGAAATAGAACAAGATAAAGATGTCTACTCTAACCACTTCTATTCAACAAAATACTGGAAGTCCTGGCCCAGCCAATCAGGCAAGAACAAGTAATAAAAGGCATCAACATAGAAAACTCAAGTATATCTCTTCATTTACTATATGCTTCTATACCAAGAACATCCTAAAGACTCTGCTAAAAGGCTCCTAAAATTTATAGACAACTTCAGTAAACTTTCAGGACCCTTGCTGGGTGTGGTGGCTCATGCCTGTGATCCCAGCACTTTGAGAAGTGGTGGCGGGCAGATCGCTTGAGCTCAGGAGTTGGAGACCAACCTGGGCAACATGGCGAAACACCATCTCTACCAAAAACACAAAAATTTTCCGAGTGTGGTGGTACAATCCTGTGGTCCCATCTACTTGGGAGGCTGAGTTGGGAGAATGGCTTGAGGCTGTGAGGCGGAGGTTGCAGTGAGTTGAGATAGCACCTCTGCACTCTGGCCTGAGTGATAGAGCCAGGCCTTGTCTGAAAAAAATAAAAATAAAAAAATAAAGTTTCAGGACACAAAATCAATATACAAAAAGCAGTAGCATTTCTATACACCTATAACATCCAGGCTGAGAGTGAAATCAAGAACACAACCCCACTCATAATAGCCAAAATGAAAAAAAAGAATTGAAAATACCTAGGAGTACAGCTAACCAAGGAGATGAAAAACATCTCTACAAGATAAACTGCAAAACATCATTGAAGGAAATCACAGACAACACAAATAAATGGAAAAGCATTTGATGCTCATGGATTGGAACAATCAATATTGTTAAAATGGCCATGCAACCTAAAGCAATTTTCAGATTCCATGCCATTTCTATGAAACCAACAACATGATTCTTTACAGAATTAGAAAAAAACTTATCTAAAATTTATGTGGAACTAAAAAGGAGCCTGAAGGGCCAAAACAATCCTAAATAAAAAGAATGAAGCTGGAGGCATCACTCTACCTGATTTCAAACTATATAAAACCATAATAACCAAAACAGGTGGTACTGCATCAAAAACAGACATATAGACCAATGGAAAATTATGGAAAACTCAGAAATATCTGATCTTTGACAAGACCAAGAAAAACAGGCAATGAGGAAAGGAAGCCCTATTCAATAAATAGTGCTGGGATAATCGGCTAGTCGTATGCAGAACATAAAACCTGGGCCCCTACTTTTCACCATATATGAAGATTAACTCAAAAGATTAAAGTGTAAAGATTAAAGATTTAAGATTTCAAACTAGAAAAATCCTGAAAGACAACCTAGGAAATACTTTTCTTGACTTCAGTCTCAGCAAAGAATTTTGGCTATGTCCTCAAATGAATTTGAAACAAAAACAAAAATTGACAAGTGAGATCTTATTAAAATAAGGAACTTCTGCCTAGCAAAAGAAACTAATATCCAGAATCTATTAGGAAGTTAAGCAAATCAACAAGCAAAGAACAAATGACCCCATTAAAAAATTGGCATTGATAGGTGCAGCAAATTACCATGCCACATGTATACCTATGTAACAAACCTGCACATTCTGCACATGTATCCCGGAACTTAAAGTAAAATTTAAAAAAATAATGGCAAAGAACATGAACAGACACTTCTTGATAAAAGACATACAATTGACCAACAAACAGGAAAAAATGCCAAGCATCACTAATCATCAGAGAAATGCAAATCAAAACTACAATGAGGCACCATCTAACATTCAGAATGGCTATTATTAAAAAGTCAAAAACAACAGATGCTGACAAGACTATGGAGAAAAGGAAATGCTTGTGTACTGTTGGTGGGAATGTAAATTGGTCCAACACTGTAGAAAGCAGTTTCGTGATCTCTCAAGGAACGTAAAGCAGTTACCATTTGACCCAACAATCCCATTACTGGGTTTATACATCCTCCAAAAAGAAATCATTCTATCAAAAAGACACATGTGTGCATATGTTTATTATTGCACTATTCCCAATAGCAAAGACTTGGAATCAACCCAGGTTCCCATCAATGGTTGATTGGATAAAAAAATGTGGTACATATACACCATAGGATCATCTATAAAAGGATGAAATCATATCCTTTGCAGCAACATCAGTGGAGCTAGAGGCCATCAACCTAACCAAATTAGTGCAGAAACGAAAAACCAAATACTGCATATTCTCACTTATAATTGGGAGCTAAGCATTGAGCACACATGGACACAAATAAGGAAACAGTAGATACTGTGGACTACCAGAGGGTGGAGGGAGGGTGTGTGGGTTAAAAAAATACCTATCTGATACTACAACCACTACCGGGGTAAGGGGATCCATATTACAAACCTCAGTGTCATGCAATACTCAGTGTCATGCAATTAGTAATAAATATGTACATGTAACTTCTGTACCTAAAACAAAAACTAAATGTAAAAAAAGATTGCATTGCAAAAATTCCAAATTTCATAACTAAAAATATAATAACTTGTCTTCCTTTATAAAATAACTTCAGATGTTGATACTTGTCGAAAATATTGATGATTTAATTAACATAAATATTGTGAATTATAATTTGATATAATTCTTGTGATGTTGTGCTCGTAAACTTTACTACAGATTTTGTACATAAGACAAACATTGAATTATAATATTCTGCAATTTTTTTATGTTTTAATAATATTTAAATAGTATTATTTTTTATTTTAATTCTATTCTGGTAGTTGTCTTACTTTGAATATGAGCATCAAAAAATGAAATAATTTTTAAATATTGGTACTTGTTAATTTATTACTCTCGATTTTTTTTGTCCAGCTAAAATACAGATGATTGAATTGCACATGTAAGTGTAAAGAGTATTTTGGCTATGTTTTATTTTCTTTATAGTTATTCATGAACTGAGAAAATGTAAAGTTAACTTTTTTGCATGTTCAAAAGTATTAAGTAATTTTATAAATATTTTTCTGCTTGTCAATTTTTTCATAAAACTTGAAGATTAACCTGTAATATCACAGATCAAAAGACAAAGTAGTGTATCTATATTGTGTTATTTTAAAGTTAAATTTATAAACCTAATATATAATATTTGTTTGTTTTTAATGAAAAATAAAATGTATATTTTAGTAATACCTATTATTTTCTCAGTCAAAAGAAATATTTACTAAAAAACAAAAAATAAATATGAAGAATATCAAAACTAGCAACTGGCATCATTTACAATACATTCTATTATCAGGATAAGATATATCTTTCAAATGAGTGTTAGCTTTTAAAAACTTGTTTTTAATGTCCTCTATGAAAAACATGTTGCTGTCCAACTTTCGTTCTGAAAAAATTTCAATTGCAGAATTACAAATAGATGAAAATATAAAATTATAATGGAAATGCTGACACAGCCTTAACTACAATGTTACAAATGTGGCACTAGAATAAGATAAACAGGTAATGAATCAGTTATATGTAGTTATAGGCAAAAAATATAAGTTTTTTAATGTCAAAAGATGATAAAATTATGGTATTTACTCATATTTAAATGATATTACAGTTTGACTTATTTATTTTAGTTTTCTCTGTCTTCATTACCCATTCATTTATTTGACAGACTAAAAGATTATCACTTATGTGTAATCACAACTTGTTAGTTCTGGCTTATTATTCATTATGTATTCTTGTAATTAGTTATTAAATTGTGTAAGCAATAATTATAGATCTTTAGACAATACACTTGGAAAGCAACTGTTATTAATACTTTTGTATGTAGTACATATTATAAAATGTTGAACCATTCAAAAAATGTAAAATATATATAAAATATTTCAAAACTAATATTGGTTGGAAATTGGAACTTTCTACATTTTTATATGGATAATGACATCTTTTATATTCTTATTATCTTTATAAATATATGTTGCAGCTCGTTCATATTGTATTTTATGTGACTAACTGCTTAAGGCACCATTTTTTTCACAGAGTAAATATTGGTATTTCTTGTTATAAACACAAAATCATAAGATGCTATTTTCTTTGAATTTTCCATACATATTTTATAGTGAGAATATTAGGTTTTTAATTATAAACATATGAGGCTTTCACTTTCATTTTTTGTTGGTTACACATAAGTCAAATATCTTAAGGGGAAATATATTATTAATAAAAGACAGAATATTAAGTACATAAATCAGTATTCAGTGGACTTACGCTGTATATATTCTAAATGCATGTATGAAAATAAAGTATTGATTTTTAATAAAATATAGGCAATGAAAATGTTTTATTAGTTTATGTTTTGCAAAACATACATTTGTCTCAAGTGTAGCATTTAGAAACTAAAGCACTGTCTGTTAAATATCTGGAATGGCACAACATAATTCAAACGATTTAATTCCAGAGACTGTAATGTAGACAATATTTCTATAGGTTTTAGCAGTTTAAAGGACTCATACATGGTGGTTAAATATCAGGCGTACGTTGTAGGCAACTGTTACCTTATGCCAGAGCAAGAGAGAAACAGTTAAAGCCATCAGAGAGCTGAAGCCAGAATAAGCTAGATAAAGTGCTGGCTAGAAGTGGATTACTTCACTGAATGTGATAAATCAAACTATTCTATAGACTAGATATATACTATTTCTTCTTTCTTTCACAATAGTAGACTGACACGTACAGAGATTTAATTTTCTCAAATCACACTACTCAGAATTTATATAATTAAAATTTGAATCTGATGTACCATCTGACTTATAGGAACTTTGCTTCATTGTCTAGCATAGCTTACCTAGTTACCTATAACCGAGGAGACAGTATGGAGGCTACAATATTTGTGATAAATAAAGGATTTTAATAAAAATATAATTTGAAAATTTTGATTATTTTTTTATTATTTTTCTATCACATTTGTTTTTAATTTGCTTTTTGTGTGCACTGTCTCTTGCCTGAAATTTTCAAAATGATGTAATATTTTGAACTTTTTAAGTTTTATTCTCAATTCCATTAATGGAGAGTGTGATTAAGTAATATAATATTTTAGATAACAATTACTGATACATTATTTGACTGAAATAAATCTTCAAATGATATAAAAAGGAGATGGGGAAGAAAAGTGATCTAATTTTTTGTATTAAATACAACACTATCTCAAATCTTTCTTACTTGCAAGCATAGAAATGAGCATAATAGTCTAACTTGCTGTTTTTCAATTGCAAATTTCTCATTTGTAAAAAGACAGTGTCTAGGGCAGTATACCCAGAGCGTGTAACTGTAAAACAGTAAGTAAAAAAACCAACTTTTCATCTTCTGAGATGTTAAAATGTTCTAAATTCCTTTGTTATTTATTGTAAAGCTTTCTCCTGTCTCTTTTAACTTACTTTGTCAAGTGATTTCAGCAAATTTAGAAAATTGTGACTTACTGATTCCATAGGCAGTTTCAGTATAGGCTGTTACTAGAAAGCAGGTGAAAAAATACAGGCGGTTATTAACTCCTTTTATACAACCTGTAGAGTTGTATAAAATATTACCAGAATTATTTACTAACCCTCAAACAATGGAGTATTTTATAGTTCTAAGTATAAAATAAATACATATATCTTCATCCAGAGCAGGTGATATATAAAAATATCACATATTATATATGTATATATGTGATAGTAGTTCGTTTTCACACTGCTGTAAAGATATTACACAAGACTGGGTAATTTATAAACAAAGGAGATTTAATAGACTCACAGTTCCACATGGCTGGGGAGGCCTCAGGCAGCTTATAATCATGGCAGAAGGGGAAGAAGGCACTTCTTACATGGCGGCAGGTGAGAGAGTGAGCAACTGATGGAGAAACTTGCCAAACACTTATAAAAGCATTATCTTGTGAGAACTCACTATCACATGAACTGCATGGGGGAAACTGCTCCCATGATGCAATCACCTCCTACCAGGTTCCTCCCTCAACACTGGGGGATTACGATTTGATATGAAATTTGGGTGGGGACACACAGCCAAACCATACCATACATATACATATGCACATACATATACATATACACATACACATACACATACATATACATTGTTATACATATGCTCTATGCATATGTTGATATATGCTTAAGATTATATACATATATGCATATATACAGATACATAAATCAGATGAACATAATTCATCATTCATTAATAAACATTGACATTTTACACTGTATTCTAAATGGAATTACTTTTGGGAATTCTCAGTTATATGGAAGGATCCCTGAAACACGTGTTTCTATTGAAAGTAAGTTTATAAAGATTGGGAATTCCTGGAGCTTGCTTTGTATTTTAAATCCCTATAATATTCCTTATTTCTCCCATTAAACAGTAGATTCAAAACTAGCCATGATATTATAGTCATTGTAATGAAACAAACCTTTAGTTATTTCAGTTCTTTTATTCTGTAAGTCTATTTGGAGATTTTATTTGCTTTCAAAATTGGAAACTGTGAGACAGAGTGTGGCTATCAATGAGTAATTTTTTTTTGTCTAGTAAGTTGTAAATTTTAGTTCATATATGAAATATTTTACTGAAATTGGATTTTGTATTTGAAACTTATTTTCTCTTTAATGTTGTTTGAAAACTAAAGAATAAATTATGAAATTCCGGTTATTATTCCTGATAACATGAATATTACTGAAAATAATTTTACATAGAGCTGGAGAGGGTTAAAAACTTCTATACTCTTGTTGTTACATACCCAAGGTATAGCCCTGAATAATACATTAATTGACAATCTGTGTGTCTCAATATCTGTTGTGTGTGATTTTTTTTACATCACACTGAACAAGTTTTATAGATGAAATTTCTTAGCCCATATATCACATAATGACTAAGCCTGATAATTCAGGCTTATCTATCAAATCCATCTGCATTTTTTCATACTCACTGCCACTTCCAGAAGTTAAGCCACCATGATCTCTTTTCTAAATTACCAAACTGACCCTCTTAAAATTGCCTTTTCATCTCTTATGTCTTAGTTGGCTACTCTTTATATATTCTACTGTCAGAATAATTGTTCTAAAATTTAAAAATTATTACACTTTTCATTTCCTTAAGGTAAAGCTTTTTAAAATTTCACATAGCATTCAAACTCCTGAGTAATTTGGCTCTAGATTTTCACTTCTATACTTCTCAGTTCTATAGACTCAAGACACAAACAGTCATGCTTAGCTATTGTGAATTTTTAATAATTTAATTATGCTTCTTTTTATTAAACTTTAAGTTCTGGGATACATGTGCAGAACGTGCAGGTTTGTTGCATAGGTATACACATGCCATGGTGGTTTGCTGCACATATCAACCGATCATCTACATTAGGTATTTCTCCTAATTCTATCCCTCCCCTAACCCCTAATCCCCCGACAGGCCCTGGTTTATGATGTTCCCCTCCCTGTGTCCATGTGTTCTCATTGTTCAACTCCCACTTATGAGTGAGATGATGTGGTGTTTGGGTTTCTGTTCCTGTGTTATTTTGCTGAGAATGATGGTTTCAAGCTTCATTCTTGTCCCTGCAAAAGACATGAACTCATACTTTTTTATGACTACATAGTGTTCCATGGTGTATATGTGCCACATTTTCTTTATCCAGTCTATCATTGATGGGCATTTGGGTTGGTTCCAAGTCTTTGCTATTGTGAATAGTGCTTCAATAAACATAGGTGTGCATATGTCTTTATAGTAGAATGATTTATAATCCTTTCAGTATTTACCCAGTAGTGGGATTGCTGGGTTAAATGGCATTTCTGGTTCTAGATGCTTGAAGAATCGCCACACTGTCTTCCACAATGGTTTAACTAATTTACACTCCCACCAACAATGTAAAAGTGTTCTTATTTCTTCACATCCTCTCCAGCATCTGTTGTTTCCTGACTTTTTAATGATTGCCATTCTAACTGGCATGAGATGATATCTCATTGTGGTTTTGATTTGCATTTCTCTAATGACCAGTGATGATGAGCTTTCTTTCATAAGTTTGTTGGCCGCATAAATGTCTTCTTTTGAGAAGTGTCTGTTCATATCCTTCGCCCATTTTTGATGTTTTTTTTTCTTGTAAATTTGTTTAACTTACTTGTAGATTCTGGATATTAGCCTTTTGTCAGATGGATAGATTGCAAAAATTTTCTCCCATTCTGTAGGTTGCCTGTTCACTCTGATGATAGTTTTTTGTTTGTTTGTTTGTTTTTTATGTGAAGAAGTTCTTTAGTTTAATTAGATCCGATTTGTCAATTTTGGTTTTTGTTGCCATTGCTTTTGGTGTTTTAGTCATGAAGTCTTTGCCCATGCCTATGTCCTGAATGGTATTGCCTAGGATTTCTCCTAGGGTTTTTATGGATTTAGGTCTTACATTTAAGTCTTTAATCCATCTTGAGTTAATTTTTGTTTAAGGTGTAAGGAAGGGGTCCAGTTTCAGTTTTCTGCATATGGCTAGCCAGTTTTCCCAACACCATTTATTAAATAGGGAATCCTTTCCCCATTGCTTGTTTTTGTTAGGTTTGTCAAACTTCAGATGGTTGTAGATGTACGGCATTTTTTCTGAAGACTGTGTTTTGTTTCATTGGTCTATATATCTGTTTTACTACCAGTACCATTCTGTTTTGCTTACTGTAGCCTTGTAGTATAGTTTGAAGTCAGGTAGTGTGATGCCTCCAGCTTTGTTCTTTTTGCTTAGAATTGCCTTGGCTATACAGGCTCTTTTTTTGGTTCCATATGAAATTTGAAGTAGTTTTTTCTAATTATGTGAAGAAAGTCAGTGGTAGCTTGATGGGGGTAGCATTGAATCTATAAATTACTTTAGGCAGTACGGCCATTTTCACGATATTGATTCTTCCTATCCATGAGCATGGAATGTCCTTCCATTTGTTTGTGTCCTCTCTTATTTCCTTGAGCTGTGGTTTGTAGTTCTCCTTGAAGAGGTCCTTCATATACCTTGTAAGTTGTATTCCTAGGTATTTTATTCTCTTTGTAGCAATGGTGAGTGGGAGTTCACTCAGGATTTGGCTCTAATTATGCCTTTTTAAAAAACATTGTCTACCATCTTTTCTTTTATCTGGGTAACATCTATTTATTTGTCAAGTTTCACCTTATATATCACCTCTTTTAAAAAACTTTTCTGAACTTCCAATGCCCATTATGTTATATTACTCTAGTCACTTTTTTTTAGCACCGTCCACTTCCCTTCTTACATTTATAATATTTATAGGCTTTATCATGGAGGGATCTTTTCTTCTGTTAAGCTCTGAACCCATATTGCTTTAGAAAATAACTTTCCATTTTTAAGAAAATGCTATATAATACTTGACATGATTACTTAAGATGAGTGGGAATGTGTTAGATAGCAATGGAGGTAAAAATGGTAGTTGGTTTCGCAGTGCATGCCATTATTTCCAAGACACAAGCCATTATTCAAGAAGAATTACATTTAATTAATCGATTAAATAATTCTCACAGGCAATGGTTATAATTATGATAAACACAACCTACAGTAAAATATCTCGATTAGAAATGAAATAACCAGGAATTTAACTAAGAATTTGTTAATTATTTAATTACATTCTTTTTTAGCTGGATCCCTTCTCATTTTGTATGTTTGACTATATCATATATGTACGTTGTAGAAAATTGGAATATTGACTACTAAATATTTATGATAACAATATGTATAATTTTTGACATAGTATTATTTATCTCTCAAAGAGGAGCGTTTTCTGTTCAGGTGGTGTTTCTTCTATTTCACTGTTAAAACATTTTTGTTCAGTACTTTTTTATGTTGTCTGATTTTTACAGAAGGAGATATATAAGTATTAATTTTTAAGATTCATGTAGGATTCTAACAGAAATTTTATATGTCTTTCAAGAACCTCATTAAAATTTCAAGGTCCATTAGAGAGAAAAAGCATACATTCAGATTTTATATATTAATATTTTGATTGAATATTCTCTTTTATGAAATAATTGGTATACAATTAGTGTAGGTAACTTCATCACATTCTATAAGTATTATTGGCTGTATATAAGTATTATATATTGGGGCTACTTAAAGCATTACTGAAATAGTGACTGTTTCTCTTATTACCTATTTTCACTTAGTATCCTGTCTCAAAAGTGTTCACTATTTGACTTAGCATACTCTGTGAGTTGATGTGGTTTCCTGCTCTGTTACTACCTATTTGTGTGGAACTTAAGATTTATCCTTTGCAGCAGTTTGCATTCTAATATTTATTCAATTAGTTACTGATAATTAACTATGTGCAATCACTTTGCTTATACACTCTATGCAATCAATAATGACAAATGCTGTTTCCATATTGGTAATGACTTCATGTTCAATGCCAGACACTATTTTAGATATTTATTTAGTGATTGACTTTTGGCAAACATAATATTTTGGAGATATTTATGTATTTTAGAACACATCACTTCTCAAAAATCTCTAAAGCCCACCATATAACCCATACTTTACCCACTTGAGCCTAGGCATTATGCGGAATTCCACTGCAGGTACAATCCAGTTACTCAGATGTGGGTTTTCTTTTTCTCATTAGAAAATTGCTAGAAAGCTTTGCCTTTCTTCCTTACTCATGTATATTTATTATAAGTTTTTGCTTCCAAATTGCCCTGAAATCAGGGAAGTTGCAGAATGCAAGTTTATTTTTAAAAAACTTGTCTATCAAATTCAATCTAAGAAGCCAAAACAAAATTAATTGCTTTTATGTTTTCCTTTCTTCTCAAATGGTGAGGAAACTCAATTCAAGTAATCTTTAGCCTTACAAACTTCAGACTGAGGTATGCCCATACCTTGAGGCCAGAACCCTGGGAATGTCCTTTACCAGAATTCTTTTATTAGATTTCTGGTTTAGATTCTGCTAATGAGAGGCAAAATATATTTTTAAATCAGAATATAAACAGTCGTATGTGCTTATTAGAGACTTGCAAAAGTCTTAAGAAAATAAAATATATGATATATATGATTATCCAGCTATAAAGAAGTGGTGAAGATATATGAACAACACTTGCAAAATTGTTTACCATCCACACAGACATATACTAACTCACATATTTTGCATTAGTTCCTGCGTATTTGGCAATGCATATGTGGCAAGCTGTGTCATAAACATTTCAATTACTATTAAGCATTCTTAATCAAATAATTTTTAGTAAATTGAAATTTCATCAATGGATGTACACACATTATTATAGCAATTCCTCAGTTCTGCAAATACTAGATTTTTTCAATACTCATGTTTATTAAACACAACTCAGAAAAGCTCCCAAGTATAATCAAAACTATTTTCTGCAAATTTTTGGTAATTCCTCTAGATAGAAATCCTAAATTTAAATTTCTGTGGGAATGTATTAATGCCCATAGATTATCTTTTCTTTCCCAAATTACCCTTAAAGATTTTGTACTGAGTATAACATAACAGGGCAGAGATATATATTTAAATACACATATAACTCAAATATTTGAAAGAGGGGTATATATATATATATATACACACACACACACATACATATACCTTCTGTGTATGTGTGTGTAACTTTGTGTGTGTGTATATATATGTACAATGATACACATATATACAAATATATCTTTGTATATACATATATACATCTTTGCATGTACACATATATACATCCTTATATATACATATATACATCTTTGTATATACACATATATACAAAGATATATATGTATCTTTGTGTATGAGGGACTACTGTATATGTGTGTGTATCTCTGTGTGTGTGTCTGTATCTTCATATACATATATCTTCACATAAGTATACATATATATATACACACACACCTAAATATACTCACACATATACAGAAGGCATATATATATGAAGATCTCTCTCTATACACACCCAAAGATATACATACCTATACAGTAGTCCCTTATTATCTGCAATTTTGCTTTCTGCAGTTTTACTGACCCATGTTCAACTAAGTTCTGAAAATAGGTGAGTACAGCACGATAAGACATTGTGTGTGTGAGTGAGAGACAGGAAGACCGCGTTCACATAACTTTGATTATTGTTATAATTGTTTTATTTTGTTATTACTTGTGAATTTCTTATTGTGCTTAATCTATAAATTTAACTTTAGATACGTATGTGTGTATAGAAAAAAACATAGAGTTGCATATTATCTGTGGTTTCAGGCATCCACTGGTGGTTCTGAAACATATCCCACAAATAAGGGGGGACTACTGTATATTTGGATTTACGTATAGTTGTTAAGTATTTATATTTTAAATGTTAGCTGAACATTATGGCCTAAATGTGTCCTCCAAAGTTAATATGTTGAGAGCTTAATTCCCAATGCAACACTGTTGAGTGGTGGAACCTAATAAGTGATTAATGTTGTTATATAGGAAGTGAGTTAGTTATTGCAAGAGTGAGTCTATTATAATAACCAGTTTGTTCTTCTCTTGCCTCTGGCTTTTCTGCTTCATTTCAACTTCCTGCATGAGATGATGCAGCAAGAAAGCCCTCACCAGATGCTTGCATCATGCTTTTAAATTTTCCAGCTTTCAGAACAATGACTCATATAAACTTCAATTGTTTATAAATTACCCAGTTTGTGGTAGTCTGTTATAGCAGCAGAAAATGGAATAAGACATCAATTTAATAGCTATTTAATGTTTTCAAATTTCCATATGTATAGAATACCTTTATATTTAACATAATTAATATTTTAATTTATCTGAGGTATTTAAAAAC
Source organism: Homo sapiens (assembly GCF_000001405.40). NCBI lineage: Eukaryota > Metazoa > Chordata > Mammalia > Primates > Hominidae > Homo > Homo sapiens. The sequence continues at coordinate 42,884,038 of NC_000014.9, read as the reverse complement.
ACCTCAATATTTTAATATTTATATATGATTGTAAGCATTTTTATTATAAAATGTTAACACAACATTTTAGTGCTCAATATTTTAATATTTATCATTGAAGTTTTTTTATTTGTCTCCTATAAATGTATTTTGAACATTTATGATTGTATTTTTTATTTCTTCATATAAATTATTATAATTAGTATATATTTCCCATATCTACTATAGGTTGTTTTCTTAAATCGCAGCTCAGGAATTGTGTTAAATTTTAAAAGAAAAGAAATATTCAAACATACTCAATTTTAAAATGCTCAAATCATGTTTACCTTCACACACACACACTTTTTTTTTATTTCAATAGTTTTTGTGGAACAGATGATGTTGGCCTCGATCTCCTGGCCTCGTGATCCACCCACCTCAGCCTCTCAAAGTGCTGGGATCACAGGCATGAGCCACTGCGCCAGGCCAGATTTGTTCTTTTTGCTTAGTCTTGCTTTGGCTGTGCAGGCTCTTTTTTGGTTCCATTTAGGACTGCATTTTCCTTGTTCTGTGAAGAATGATGATGGGATTTTGAAAAAAAATTATTAAATTTATATATTTATTTTGGCAGTATGGTCATTTTCAGGTCAGTTTTATATGGACCAACCCGAGTTACAATCTTCAGTTTTAGTGGCTGTAGAAATATAATCTTAGGATGAGATTCTGAACTTGATAATTAACCAACTGGTGAGATAGTGAAAGGAACCTAATTGCTTGCACTCTTTTTGGAGCAGTGTTTCTGTTTTCCATAAATATAGTCCATTAGTTTTTTATTTTCTGATAATTTTTTATTTTATTATTGTTATACTTTAAGTTTTAGGGTACATGTGCACAATGTGCAGGTTAGTTACATATGTGTACATGTGCCATGCTGGTGTGCTGAACCCATTAACTCATCATTTAGCATTAGGTATATCTCCGAAAGCTATCCCTCCCCCCTCCCCCCACCCCACAACAGTCCCCAGAGTGTGATGTTCCCCTTCCTGTGTCCATGTGTTCTCATTGTTCAATTCCCACCTATGAGTGAGAATATGCGGTGTTTGGTTTTTTATTCTTGCGATAGTTTACTGAGAATGATGATTTCCAATTTCATCCATGTCCCTACAAAGGACATGAACTCATCCTTTTTTATGGCTGCATAGTATTCCATGGTGTATATGTGCCACATTTTCTTAATCCAGTCTATCATTGTTGGACATCTGGGTTGGTTCCAAGTCTTTGCTATTGTGAATAGTGCCGCAATAAACATATGTGTGCATGTGTCTTTATAGCAGCATGATTTATAGTCCTTTGGGTATATACCCAGTAATGGGATGGCTGCGTCAAATGGTATTTCTAGTTCTAGATCCCTGAGGAATCGCCACAGTGACTTCCACAAGGGTTGAACTAGTTTACAGCCCCACCCTTCAAGAGGTTTGATGTACTGATTAAAAAATATTCTAAATTCTCTTTAACAGTACTTTAGAAAAAGTATTTACATAAATTTCTGGCATTTCGAGATATTTTAATAGTTCAGTTTACCATCCTCATGCAAATTCAAACCATTTTAGTTCAAATATTATATGATTGTATAATGGTAATACTTATAAATAACCATTTGAAGTTAGTTTCTGTAATTTATAATCTAACTTACTATGACTTATTAAAAATAGTTCATAGGTATTCCACTTTTCCATAAAACATATTAAAAGTTGTTGAACATTAACAGAACTTGTTCAATTTCTCCATCTATATGCAGTGATGTATTTTAGCTTAACATTTTTCCACCTAATAAAATATGATTGGGTTAATTTTTTTAATTTCAATTTTCTCAAAAAACCATTATCTATATGAGTGATTTGATGTTACAGGTTATCTCCATTAATAATTTTCTATGGTTGTATTTCAACTACTTAGTTAATATTGCTGGAAATTCTACTGGAAGTGTAGTAATTTAAGTTCATTTCCGTGTGAACACAAACCTGCAGTAATGGAATTTTAGTAAGCACACATATATAAGATTCTAATTTCAAACACAACTTTTGTAATGTGCATCGAACCCTGTGCTGTGCAGACCTGTAACAAATCAGAACTACCATGTGGATAAGTTAACAACAATAGAGTCATGGATATCTATAAAAATACAGCCTTAGTTTCTGATTAATGTCTTAAATATTAAATTACTTGGGTTTTGATTAATTTAAAAGTGTCACTAAGATATGCCTAAACTCCTTATTAAATCTAATCAAGACTGATTTAGATAGATTGAGAAAGTACACATAATCAAAATCAGTATACCACCAGGAATATCAATTCTAAAATATTTGGAACAGTTAGGTTATATTTTAATATGATTAGTCAACTTGTCTACTACTTTTCCTATTGCATAATTAGAAAATATACCTCTGATAATCTTTTAAAATGCCTTATTTTAATTTAAGGAAATTCTACAGACTCTACATTAATTTAGCCTTCTGATATCTTTGCTCATGAAAACTTAAAAGAACAAATTCCACTCTTAAAATATTTTCAGTATAAATAGCTATAAAACAGTAAATGAAGAACATGCAGTATTTGATAAAACTTACAATAATAATAATACATTTCATTTAAACTTTTTCCCTTTTATCTTAATCTCTCAGTTTACCTAATGCTTTATCCTTATCCTGAATTTTATTCACGCATCCTAAATTATTTAATTAAAAATAAATATTTTCACAAAAGGGAAAGATCATATATTGTGAGACGTGAGAGTAACCTGATCTATATCTGGTTCTGTGAATACTCCTTTATTTCTAAAATACAGCAAGAATCAGCATAAAATTGAGAATTTGGTGAAGATGGATCTCTGTAATGAAAAATGCCCTAAGACATCAGCCTTCTTCAAATCTCAGGACAGATGGATATTTTAAGAGATAAATTTATATGTTCAACATCTGTTGTAGTATGTTATTTCATTACATTTTTTTTCTACACTTAGAAAAATGAATATTATTATTACACACTACTAAGCTGTTAGATATATATGCAAAATAAAGACTTTATAGGCTAGAAGCCCTTAATCAAAATATAGGTCTTCAGAGTTCTGAAGAAAAATGTCATCTACAACAGGAAATTTTACACAGTTTGTAAAATAGCTACTGTCATGCTAATGGAAAATTTATTGACAGACGGATAGTATTACACCAACCAAGTTGTGTACTTAGATATATCCAGTGGCATTCCATCACAAAATGGAATGGTATATTTGGAACTAAACACAAATGGCCATACTGCTAAAGCAAGCTGTATGAGAGTAGAAGGGTATTATCTCCAAAATGATGAAGTAGGAAGTTCGGTGGATATTTTTTTCCGTTGCAAAACAAAAATTTAATTAGTCAAAACTATTTTTAAAAAACAATGACAATATATCTCTGGGGACCGTCCAAGAGGCATATAGCAAATGAAGAAACAATCACTCAAGATAATCTACTAAATCTCATAAAGCACCTGAGGCATTTGAGCCATGACATACTCCCTTACATCCTCTTTCTCCAGCTCCAAATTATGGCAGCTACAGGAGTATGTATAGCCAAGGAGACAAGACTACTTCTTCCATAAGCTCACAGTCTGGAGCTAAGGTTGCACTCACAAAGATGTAGGTACGTAGGCCATACCCCATACCCTCATCTCTATGTTACACAAGGTTTAAGCCAGAGATTCATTCCTGAAAGCACAGAGACTCTCTTAACCCACCCAGACTTCCTCCTACGGTGGAAACACCAGATTTGATAGTCTGAGAATACTGGAGTTCCAATCACTACTATCCCAGCTCACTCATAGGATTGTGGTTCTATGCAATTAGGGACAAGCTGAAAAGATCAGGTACTGCCACTCACCCTACTGCACACTTGTAGAAATTGAGTATCATTCTGGGGACACAAGGTTCCCTGCCGCTGAATCGAGTGCAGTGTTGTGAGGCTTCTGCCCAAAGGGAAAGGCAAGATGTTAGCAAGAAGAGCTCTGTGTGGAACTTGCTGAGAAAACTGATTTTACTTAGAGCTTCATACCTTAAGGGTGTTGTTGAGAACAGAGGGGATCTTTATTGGAAAGCAATAAAGAAAAGGCTGGTAGCTCTGATAAAAGCAAAACAGCAGAGCAACCAGAAAAAGTCAGGGGAAAAGTTATCCAAAAACACTTTCCCTGGGTTCAGAGTCAAATTTGGGTGTCAAGAAAACTGTGTGCATATGCTAAGCAGGGCCCACTTTAGAGGCAATCAGAACAAGAATCTGGGTAGACTTGAAAGCATTCTCCAGCACATGTACAGATTCATCAGTGCAAAAAGGAAACCAAGACCTCACTAGTCAAGTAAGATTAACAAAACCTTCGACTGAACACTGACTGAAGAGTAAGCTATTCTCATCTAGGAGCAACTCTTAAGAGGCTGATCTTTAAAATACTGTTGTAGTCATCACTGGTAGCCTGGAAAACTATGGTCTGCACATGTTCACTTTCTATGGATGCTACAACAAATTACAACAAACCAAGTAGCTTAAAATAATACAAATTTATTACATTACAGTTTTTAGTAAAAATAATCTACAATTGGTCTCAGTAGACTAAAAAATCAAGATGTCAGCAGGGCTGCATTACGTTTTACAGATCAAGAGGATAATTGGTTTTCTTGAGTTTTAGGGTTTTTTTCTCCCAACTTTTAGAGGCTGCCTGGATTTCTCTGCTCATGGCCTCCTTCCTCATCTTCACATTCAGTAATATCAGAGTTCTTTTTATTCTGCCATCTCACTAGCTCTCTTTTGCATCCCTTTTCTTTTTTAAGACCCTTGTCATTACATTTGGACTACTTGGATAAACAGGGATTATGTGTCTATTTTAAAGGCAGAATATTAGCAATCTTTACTCCATCCACAAATTTAATTTTCCTTTTCTCTAATATCTGTAAAATTCAACACGAGATCCAGACATTAAGTTGTGGCCATCTTGTAGGGAGGCATTATTCTAACTACCACCATGCTTAAACATGAGCCCTCTCAAAAGTGAACTGAAAGAGAACCTCCAAGCTACTAGTTCTTAGCTGAATCTGGAATAACAACAAAAAAGTAAACTCTCTAAACTGTAAGAGCAACCTCCAAGCCACGCACACATCTAGTGGTAAATGGTAGAAAATTAACTGGCTAATTTTACTTCAGGATCTCAAGAATACATTTGAACTGGCAGAAGAGAGAACAAGTGAACTTGAAAATGGATTGACAGATATTGTGTGATGTGAAGAACACAGAGAAAAATCAGTTTTAAAATTTCTAAAAAAAATTATAAAGAGTGATAAAAACACTCTAAATCAAATAAGGACATCTATGAAATACCAACACCTAACACTACATTTATTGATAGAAGGCTGAGTCCATTTTGCCAGTAAGATCAGGAACAACACAATTATGTTTATTCTTGCCAGTTCTACTCATCATTGTGCTGGAGGTTCTATTCAGGGCAGGTAGGCAAGAAAGAAAAAGAGAAGACATATAGATTGGAAAGGAAGGGGTATAATTATCTCTATTTGAGATAACATAATCTCACATATAGAAAATCTTGAGGAATCACTACAAAAATATAAGAAAAAATAAGTAAATGCAGTAAGGCTGCAAGATACAATATAAATATTCAAAAACCAATTTTATTTCTATATACTAGCAGTGAATATTTAAAAATTGGAATTAAGGGAACAATTTGATTTATAGTAATCTAAAAAAGAAGAGAATACCTAAATTTTTTTGTTAAAAAACAGAAAATTTGTACTCTAATAACTATAAAACATTTTTAAAATAAATTTTAAGAGATCCAAATAAATTGCAAGTCATCCCATCTTTGTGGATAAGACAATTAACGTTGTTATGATTGCAGTAATCACCAAACTATCTATAGATATTGATAGAAACTGTTCTTTTATGTTTTACTGTGACAAAATCAGATAACATGAGATCTACCCTACTAACAAGTTTTGCGTACAGTATAGTGTTAACTGCAAGCACAATGCTGTAAAGTAGAACTGTAGAACATATTTATCTTATGTTACTGTAACTTTACAACTACTGAACAGCAAATCCCTGTTCCTCATTTTCCTTATCCCCTGGAAACCACCATTCTGCTTCCCATTTCTGAGTCTGATTATTGTAAATGCCACATAAATGGAATCATACAGTATATTTTCTTCTTTGATGGTCTTATTCTACTTGCCATAATGTCCTCAAGGTTCATCCATGTTGTCTCCTATGACAAAATTTTCTTCTTTTTAAAAAGTGAATAATATTTTATTGTATATATATTCCACATCTTAGCTTCTGTGAATAATGCCACAATGAATATAAATGGACACCTATCACTTTGAGATACTGATTTTAATTCTTTTGAGTAAATACTCAGAAGTAGGACTGTTGGAGAATAGAGTAGTTCTTTTTTTTTTCTTTTGAGAAACTTTCATACTGTTTTCCATAACAGTGGCACCATTTTACATTTCTACCAGCAGTGTACAGGTTTCTGTTTCTCCACATACTTACTGACCCTGAGTATCATTATTATAATTAATATTATTATCATTATTTGTTAATGGCCAACATACTCAGTGTGAGATTATAAGTCCTTGAAGTTTTAATGTGCATTTCCCTGATGATTAGGTTGTTTAGCATCATTTCAAATACCTATTCATCATTTGTAGGTCTTTTTGGATAAATGTCCATGTACCACCACTTTGATGAAATAAGTTATGCTAACATTAGAATTTAGGGTGATATTACGTATTTGTATTACTGAGGCCTTAGGCCATGTAGTAGCATCAGTTTGATCAGATAGTTTATGCTAATGTAGTTTATAGTGAAATACCTATTTTTTCTCTAGGAGATGGAATCTGAGTAGCTGTCAATTATACAGTTGCTGCTTAGCAGCATGTTTGACCCTCAATAAAAACCATGAATATTAGACATTGGGAGAGCCTTCCTGGTTGGCAAAAAATCACCAATATTGTCACACATGGCTGGGAGAAATAAGTATACCCATGTTATTCCAATGGAAAGAGGACACCTGCCAGCTTGTGCCTAGTTACTCTTGGACTTTGCTCCATGTACTTTTTTCCTTTGCTGATTTAAATCTATATTCTTTCACTGTAATAAATGGCCACAGGGAGTATATCAGTTTTTCTGAGTTCTATGACCTCTTCTAGTGAATTATTGATCTTGAAGCTGGTCTGGTGGACAAAGGATTTACAGCTCATCCCCGATAGCCTCTGATTAATAGCAGAACAATGTCAAGACCCTCATATTAACAAATCAGAGTTAAATAAATTTATTTCATCATTTTTTGGACTTTGTAGAATATAGTAACAAAGCTAGAATTCTCATGAATCTTATCTCCAAACAAAATGCTAAAAAGCAAAGCATTTTTTCTCTCTAAGATTTCCATGAATCTTCTATCTGAAGAAAATGCTGAAAAGCAAAGCAATTTTTCTTTAGATTTTTGCTGGAAAATCTTGTTTTTATTTTTAGAGTTTTCTTTGGAATGATTTTCATTCATTCATTTATTCGAATAGATATTGTCTACCACATTTCAGAATATGTGTTAGTTTTTGGTGTCTTTTGTTTTTGTTTTTTGAGACAGTGTCTCAGTCTGTCGCCCAGGCTGAACTGCAGTGTTGTGATCTCGGCTCACTGAAATCTCCACCTCTCAGGTTCAAGTAGTTATCGTGTCTCAGCCTTCCGAGTAGCATGTGCCACCACACTCGGCTAATTTTGTATTTTTAGTGGCACAGAGTTTCATCATATTAGCCAAGCTGGTCTCAAACTCCTGGCCTCAAGCGATCTGCGCACCTTGGCCTCCCAAAGTGCTAGCATTATAGGCGTGAACCACCGCGACAGGCCGTGATAGCTTTTAAAAATAAAACGTAAAAATGTATAAACCAGGTATTATTAGCCCTAGTACTGTCATCATTTTTTTTTACAGATAAGAAAACCACTGAGAAATTTTACCTGGAGAGTATCATCCAGATCAACACTAAGGTCAGGCTGCAAACATAAATGAAGACCAATATTTCTTATTTTTCCCCTTTGAAAATTTTTAAATTTAAAATTTTTAAATTTATTGGGCACATAGTTGTATATATTTATGGGGTATATGAGATATTTTGATACAGGCAGATAATGTGTAATAATCACATCAGGGTAAATGAGGTATCCATCACCTCAAGCATTTATCCTTTCTTTGTTTTATAAACAATCCAATTATACTATTATAATTATTTTAAAACACACAATTAAATTATTATTGACTATAGTCACCTTGTTCATAAAGCTCTGGAAAAAGGAAAAGTATCTTTTCTTCAAGAAATGTATATTATGGCTATGCCATATCATGCTTGACAGTTAATATAAATTCATGGAGGAAGACAACCCAAGGAGCTTCAGCTATTTCTAATGGTTCCACTTTCCTTTTCCAGGGAACTAATGACCAACTATATATTCAGGCAACTGATATCCTATTACCATACTGAATCTATGGAAGAAAGGTGAAGAATATCACAGAGGAAGAGAGAGAGGTAGAGAATAGCATCACATTCAGCTGTGAGGTCGGAGTTCTAGATCTTACGATCAAATTAGTTCACAATTTTATAATTTCTAGTCATATAATTAAAATAGAGCTGTCTCAATTTACAAGATACATACAGAATGATATTTCCTTCTGTTAAACTAATTATAACTGCTATTTAAGGATTTTTCAAATACATAACTCCAGATAATTACTTCAAGACACTGCCAAATTCAGAGCATAACTGAAATTTGGCTTTCTTAAATGGTGTAACGATAGCTTTATGATTTGCTTCTTACTTTTATATTCACAGGATGAAATTAAGGTCTTCATAATTATGTTATTCATGGAAATAATGGTTTTCTGACTTAGAGTCTTCTATGGATAAAGTATGTTTTTTCTACTCTCACTTGGCAATACTCATCCTGAAGAATTATATGACACAATTGAACCAGGCTCATTGTAGAATGTGACAAAATATTCTTGTATTTTAACCAATCTGTCTGTGTAATTCTTTGAATCCTTTTCATTTTTCCATTATTAGAGATAAGTGCTTTTGTAACTGTGTTCTCAGAAAAGGTAATGAACACCTGTGTCTGCTCTGAATTATGAACAGTATGTTAATTTTCTTATGAAAAAATATAAAAAGCACAGTGGAATCCTGTTACAATAATCAGTCTGAGCAGTTTAGATGAATCATTGCTTTTGAATGATCAGCAAATGCCAATATTCCCCCAAATGGTAATTTTTACTGATTCAGACATTTCTGAAAAAAGAAAATTGCTATCTTGCAAGAATATCTTATATTTTAGAATCTGCACTCTCTAGAAAAAATATTATTAACTCTAATTAGGAGACTCAGCACCTGTAACAACCAAGTAGCTCTTGAAAGCTGTAACATTCTTTATGATGTTCTAAAAATATTTCAGTGTTATTCATATTTTTAATTTCAAAGTAGCTAGCTAGCGGTCATTCTCTTGTCTAAGGCAACCACATTTGAGAACAGAGTCCAGAGTCCGGCAGTGGAATCATTCAGTCACTAGCAATATACTTATTTTAAAATATGTGCCATTCTTTGCAAGGTTATTATCTACTCTAGTATGTAAAAATCATGAGCAGTCTTGTTTTTAAAAAACAAGTTAAAAAGAGAAAAAATAGAGATATATTTCTAATATAATTATTACAGACTAATAAATGTAAAGTTTCTTCAATTAAATTAGTCATCCTCTCAAGAGGGAGAACTAAGAAGAATGGAGGGACAGCAGACCTTCCACAGAATTTGCTCACTGGGGGAGCAAGGTGGATATTTCTTCCTTTATAATGCAATCAGGAACCATGGAAGAAGGAGAACGACTATTACCCCAATAATGAGATGGAAAAATAGATGATTAAGATTATATAGTAAGTAAATAGAAGAGCTAGAAACAAATTGTCCTTCATCAAATTAAATGCTTTCCATACTCTACCATGATGGAAAAAAAAAAACCAGAATCTTATTGGTGAAAAATAAATAAGACAAAACACTAAAGGCATTTAGAACAGGTCAAAATAATGTATAGCTGGGTACAGAAACATTATGAATGTTAAGGACACTAATGTAGTTTGAGTGAAGATTTCAATCTCCAGTATACCCAGTTAGGGCTCAAACATTAGGAATGCAATAACTGTAGGTTGAATTTAATGAGACTTATGTTAGTTGTTCCAAAAGATTAAAGATAAATATAGTAATGCAAACTACTAGAGTAAGTGTTTTAATGTGGCAATATTAAGATCATTAGAAGATACTAGTCTTGTTGAATAAATGGAAATGATATGCTGCAATGTGTTTAAGGAATTATACACAGGATGGCATAGATGTAGCATCATAGCAATATACAATTGAACATTTTCATCATTATAAATATCTGGAAAGATATTTATAGAATAAAATAAGAAGAAATTTGGGTTCCTCCTTTCTTCTGTAAGTGGATATAATATAGACTAAAATTTGGTTATTCAGTTGTATAGACATGTTTTCATGGACATATGGTTTTATTTATATTTTGAAAAGTGTAGGAATTGTATTGTGTATTGTTCTTCAGAGAAAAAGACCAGTAGGAAATGTATATATGTGTATATACATATATATATGCTTATATGTGTACATATATGTGAATATATATACATATGCACATATATACAAAGAGAGAGAGATGCATTATTGGAATTGGCTCAAATGATTAGGAAGGCATAGTAGTTTTATTACCTGCAAGCTGGAGAACCAGGAAAGCCGGTGGCCAGTGGTGTAATTCAGCTCAAGCTGAAAGAGAGGGAGACAGGATTGTGTAAGATCTGGAGTCCAAATGCCTAAAATTCAGGAGCTGTGATGTTCAAGGGCAGGAGAAGATAGACTTCTTGATTCAAGAAGACAGAGCGAGATATTACGTTTAACCTGGCTTTTTGTTCAGGCTCTCAAAAGGCTGTTCAGGCTCTCAAAAGATTGAATGATGCCTATTCACATTGGTGAGAACAGATCATTTTACTCAGTCAACTGATTCAAATGCTAATGTCTTCTGAAAACACACTTACAGACATGCCCATAAATGTTTTACTAGCTATCTGAACATCTCTTAGCCCAGGCAAGGTGACATATAAAATTAACCACCACAGGACTGGAATAGCCGAGTTGAATGCTTAGAACTTTTTAAGATAAGACATTATTAGTCTTATCTAAGACTATCTTAAGGTAAGACATTATTAGTCTTATCTAAGACTATCTTAAGATAAGACATTATTAGTCTTATCTAAGACTATCTTAAGACATTACACACACACACACACACATAAATACATGTATACACATATACACACACACATTGAAACTTTCTATATAAACTATCATGTTGTTTGTGGATAAAAATAATTTTATTTCTTCCTTTTTCATTTGATGCTTATTATTATTATCATCATTATTATTGTTATTAATGGGGGATGATTATTATTTTGGCTACAATCTCTACTACAATGTTGAACTAAGTTGGTTAGATTAGATATTTTTTCTTGTTCCTTGTCTTAGGGATAAAACATTTAGTTTTTCACAATTCAGTATGATACTAGCTAGGGATTTTTCACAGATATGTTCTCTATCAGGTAAAATTCTGCATTGTATTGCTAGTTTTTTTGAGACTTTTATTATGTATAGATATTGGATTTTACAAATGGTTCTTAAGATGGTAATTTAGTTAAGTCTGTAAACACATTGAAATACATTAGTTGTTTTTTATTGTGAAATCAATCATGTATTCCTGGGATGAATCTCATTTTGGTCATGGTATATACAACACACATGTTGTATGTGGAGGGCAAATCACATTTATATATACTGTGACCAAAATGAGATTCATCCCAGGTATATATTGTTGAATTTGAATGTCTATCATTTTGTTAGAGAATTCTGTGCATTTGTTTATGATAGATATTGGTCTGTGGTTTACTTTTCTTTTAATAGCCTTTTCTGTTTGGGTATCAAGTGATGCTGAGTTCATAGAATGAGTTTGTAACTTCAAATTTCTGAAAAAGTTTTTGGAGAAATGTCATTATGTCTCCCTTACATGTTTAGTAGAATGCACCAATGAAGCCACCTTCTCAAGGACAGGAGTACTTTTTGCAGGAAATCTTTATTAATTAAAGTGTTGAGGTTTTTTTTTTATTATTATTATTATACTTTAAGTTTTAGGGTACATGTGCACAATGTGCAGGTTTGTTACATATGTATACATGTGCCATGCTGGTGTGCTGCACCCATTAACTCATCATTTAGCATTAGGTATATCTCCTAATGCTATCCCTCCCCCCTCTCCCCACCCCACAACAGTCCCCCGAGTGTGATGTTCCCCTTCTTGTGTCCATGTGTACTCATTGTTCAATTCCCATCTCATTGTTCAATTACCAAAAAACCAACATGCGGTGTTTGGTTTTTTGTCCTTTAAAAAATGAAATAAATTAAGTGGTTTTTTTTTTTAGTTAGCTTAAGTAATCTTCCTTTTTTAAGAACTTTATTCATGTATTCTAACTTCTCAGATCACTGGCAACGTACTTTATAATATTGTATTTCCTTTTTTTTTTATTGTTTACAGAATGTGTAGTGATGTCACTTTGCTCATTCTAAATACTGGTCATGTGTTTTCTCTCTTTTCTATAATGTCTACCTATAGATTTATTACTTTCATTTAATATTTACATTAATATATTTATAATGTTATATAAATGTATTTTATTTATATTAATATTATATTTGGATATTTTCAAATTATGTACTTCAGGTTTTATTTTTCTTCCCTTTAATGCTCATCTATTTTCTTTTTTCATTACTTTCAACTCTGGTACTCTTCCTACTCTTCTGCCTTATTTGGGTTTAATTTGTTCTTCTTTTATTTCTATAATTTCTTATAATGGAGGCTTAGTTCATTTTATTTCTTCCATGCTTTACATTTTCCTCAAATCACCGTTTTCTTTCAGCTTCAGCCCACAAGTTTTGTGTATGTTATGTTTTCACTCTCATTGATTAAGAATATTTTCTAATTTTCCTTTGGAATTTTTCTCTGGTCCATAGGCTCATTAGATGTCCATTATTATTAGTTTATATATTTTTCCCCCAGATAGATTTATCAGTTCTAGCCTTGGACAATCTCAAGGTCTGAGATTATTCAATATGCAATTAGTTATTTGGGCCCTTAACTTTATGCTAGTAACAAGTAGGCTGAGAAATTTGCACAAAAACATATTTTCTGATGCCTTTTCAGAAGCAACTAAGGAAGGTAATGGAGGAAGGAAGAACATCTCAAAGGACAGATGTCAATATACTTGAAAGAAATGCTGACAGAGAAGAACCAGGCTCAATCAACAAACATTATCACCTCCAGAGGGACCTACCTGGTAAAACTCAGTGGGATTTCAGAATTCCTATTGGCCACCCACTGCTCTTTGCCTCACATTTCTTACTTTTCTGAATGTGTGTACATTGTGTTTATCCGCTCCTATTTCAGCATTTTACACGTTGTGTGTGGAGGGCAAATCACATTTGTATTTAGCTCATAGACCACCAGATGAAGAGAAGCATCATGTGCAATCTTATATAAATCATTGGATCCTGAATTTCAATCCTGATTGTCATTAAATGTCTTTTGGATATCCTAGTATCTCTGTTACATTATTTCCCACACAAAGGTATATAAATTAATGCATCCAAGAGGGCAGACTGTGGTTAATTGCCCTGTTGATTTCAGCATATCACCCTTCCCTTTATCCACACCCCATGTCATGTTATTGGCTGTTCTTTCTAGTAAGAGGTTGAGTCTGTTTTCTCATCTGTGGAATTCGGGAGTACCATTTGATTTGTTTAGGATAATCAATTAAGCAGAGTGATGATGTGTCTATTCCAGTACTGGGGCTTAAGATGTCTTGTGAGTTATTATTTGCCCTCCTGCACTTTTGCCACTGCCTGAGAAGGACATTTATGAACTAGCCTGCTGGACTCAGGAAAAGGATGAAACATGAACAAGAAGGAGGTACAAAGCTGAATCATCCCAAGGCTAGATGTAACCAAATTCCGCATTCTATCCACCCACAGATGCTAAAGTGATTCAGCCATGCATATTAGAGCTGCACCATGGAGCACAGCTAGAACAGCTGAATGGTTTTGTATGTCACCCAGTCTAGGATTATTGTTATGTGGCAAGTGCTAACTGGTGCAAGCAATTGGTATCCCAATAAATTAAAATCCAAGTGGCTAATTAAACATATTAAGTGATATTAAATATCCTTAAAAGTTAAAATTAAAATCTCATCAAATATGCTATTTTCCCCATTGATTTAGCAAAACGTTTAAAAAGCCATAATGCCAGAAAAGTTATATTGATTGGTATTAGGTATCTAGGTATTTGTTGTTGTTGATATGTAAGCAATCAACTTCTAGGACTTTTTTTTAAAATAAAATAACTGCCTCTCTGAGGTACAGAGGTGTTTGTTGCAGTAAATTTTAGACTATTTATCCCTTTCTTTTGGTAGTATGTTAAGTTTATCAACGTATAGTATTTGTATAATTGGGGAGAAAAGGATTTTCTTTAAGATGAGGGAAAATAAAAAATGAGATACAACTGAAGGATCAAACATAAAATCTTAGGAAAATGAAAGAATAAATGAAGAACAACTCTGTCATGGTTAATTTTATGGGTCATCTTGACTTGGCACAACATGCCCAAATTAAACATTACTTCTGTGTTAATTTTTTTCATGAGATTAGCATTCATTTGACGGAATGAGTAAAGCAGATTGTCTTCTCCAGTGTGGGTGGGCACGATCCAATCTGTTGAGGGCCCGAATAGAGCAAAAGGAGAAATTAGCACCTTTTTTTCCTGCCTTCCTGATTGAGCTGGGACAGCTCATCTCTTCTTCTCTTGGCCTCAGACTGGGATTTACATCATTGACTATGCTGTTTATCGTGCCTTTTGACATGAACTGAATTTTTAGCATCAGCTTCCCTGGATCTCCATCTTATAAATGGCAAATCATGGGACTTCTCAGCCTCCATAATTTCATAAGCTAATTTCTCATTAAAAATCTCTCCTCTGTGTGTGTGTGTGTGTGTGTGAGGGGTGTGTGTGTGTGTGTGTGGGAGGGGTGTGTGTGTGTGTGTGTGTGTGTGTGTGTGTGTGTATCTCCTGTTGGTTCTGTTTCTCTGGAAAGCCCTGACTAATAAAAACTCATATCCATATTAGTTGTCCTGAAAATATCACAACTTAGAATAAAGCAAAAACTTGTTTCTCTACCAAAATGAGAACGCTCACAGTTTCTGGAGTTTACGTTAGAAATACTGTGTAATTATATTTAGTTTATCAATGACTTAGAAGTTTCTAGATAAAATACACTGGACTAGTATTTTTATCACATGATCTAAAGACATGCAAAGAAATCAGCTGGAACCCCAACTTTCCAAAACAGTAAGACAAAGTTATGCTACATAAAGACTTTAACATCATAATGAAAGAATGACTCTTCTCAGTTCACATACTATCTCCCAGTCTCTGGTGTTACATTGAATTGAAGCACTTGGATTATATATTAGGTCTTGAACTAAGAAGTGGGAGCTTACTAAATTGGCCAAGAGAGGTAATTTGTTGTCTTAGTACAACCTGTTATAACAAATTACCATAGATGAGGTGGCTTATGAAAAAGAGAAATTTCGTTTCTTACAATTCTGGAGGCTGGAAATATGAAATCAGAGTGTCAACAAGGTTGAGTTCTGTTGAGGGCCCTCTTCTGTGTTGCAAACTGCTGGCTTGCCATTGTATCTTCACATGGTGAAGAACTGCAAGAATCAAATCACTCTCTGGGGACTCTTAGAACAGTACTTATCTCCACATAACTTCAACTAATATTAATTATCTCCCAAAGCTCCACCTTCTAATATTACCACATTAGAGATTGGAGTTTTGATATTTGAATTTGTGGGAGGACACATTCAGCCCATAACATTTTTCCTTTGGCTCCTCATAATTCATGTCCTTCTCACATGTTAACATACATTTTTTCCACCCCAACAGATCACCAAATCTTAACTCATTACGACATCAACTCTAAAGTCTAAAGTCCAAAGCCTCATCTAAATATTATCTTAATCAGATGTGGGTGAGACTCAAGGTATGATTTCTCTGAAAACTAAAGTTCTCCTTATTGGTGAATCTATAAACCAAATGAGTTATGTGTTTTCAAAATCCAGTGGTAGGACAGGCATAGGTAGGATAGATATTTCTATTCCAAAAGGTAGGAATAAGAAAGAAGGAAAAGATAATAGATCCCAAGGAAGGCTAAGCTACTCCATGAGATCTTCAGGTTTCAGAATAATTCTTTCTGGAGGATAAGTGGTAGTGTCTTTAAGGGTTAATGAAATGTAGATTTGGAAATTATATCAATACAATTTTTGTACTCTATATTTGTGAAGGAATGGGGATAATAAAGGAAAATTGCATCGTAGCCTTATTAGTAAAATATTTTTGACTTTATAGGCTCCCTGAAAATATCCTGAGGATCTCTAAGTATTTAACATCAAAATACTGAAAATTGCCATTTTTCACCATTAATTGTAATTCAAATGGCATTTGATTAATGGATGTTCACCTTTTTCTAAAAATTAAAAAATAAGATTGTGTGTTTTTGGCATCACTTTTAAATTTTCCCAAGTTTAGCATTTTTTTTAAAGTCTTTCACTCCTCAGGTTGCAGTGAGCCAAGATCGTGCCACTGCACTCCAGCCTGGGCGACAGAGCGAGACTCTGTCTTGGAAAAAACAAACAAAAAAAGCATTTCACTCCTCATATTTATTAAGGAAGGCATAGTCTATCCAATGTTAGAAATAGACATTTGAATCTTAAGCATGTACGGTACTGCTTGTGAAATTTGTTATAACTCTTTCTATTGAACTTTACTCAAGTAATAGGCTAATGTAATATTTCCACATTCATAGATTCTAAAATTTAAAATGTTTAATATGTATAAAAATTATAGAAACACTGTATGACAGGCTTAAAATGGAATTATCATTTTAAAGTAAGTGATGATATTCCTAGCAATCTACTGAGACAACGTCAAGAGTGATGCTTTTAGGAAAATAAAAATATATTAAATAATAAGTTACTTTATTGTCATTTTCTGATTATATTGCTTTATATAAAATAAATGTATACATACTATATCACATATATATGTTTAGATATATAGATATAGATAGAGAAGTATAGACACAGATACTGATAAACACACATGTATAGATACATAATATATACTCACCATGTTTCTGAGCTATTTTTCAGAAACCTAAATCATTTATTACAACTGAATGTTGATGAAGCTACAGAATGAATAGTCCAGCTTGAATTACATTTAACATTTATGCTTCCATTGTATCTATGAGAATTTTGTATTTTCAAAGGTTAAGACTAACACTTAGTTTTAAAATTAAAATTAAAATGATAATAAAATATCTTCTATTTACCATCCTCCACACACACACATCTGCTTCCCATTAACTAAAAATAAAAAACAATTAATCCAGATCTTCAGTACTGATATTTATTTAATGTTATTTAAAAATATACCTCATTTCTCAGTTCAGTGATTTATTAATTTAATAAATTTTATTCATGCTCACTTTTTATCATGCACAGCGAAAGATGATGAGCATCCAATGTGAAATATAAATTTGTCCATATCACAGCTTTTGTGGAACTTTTGGTGCGGAGTTTCTTATGCAGCTTTACAAAGAACTAGAAGGTTAATATATCTTTAACTTTTAAACAGGTATCTAGTTCTTTTTCATAAGTATTAAAATAATGATTTTATATATATTATATATTATAATATGATTCAAGCAATAGGGCAAGATGATAAAATTTGAAAGGCCAAATAATTTGAGGAAATATTTTTTTTCTTACTTTCAGTTATATATGAAATCTCAGTGTTACTACATCTTCCCTACTCTAACGCAGACGTCTTCACAACTCTGCATTGGAGGGCACCAGGTAATTTCAAATCAATTTAACCTTTGACATCAAAACTGAGCCCACAGAATGACTGTCTCCTTTGCCAAAGGTGAAAAGTGTTCAACAAAACACGTCATGCACAAAGTAACAACTATGTTGAGGCATGGCTAACCTGACTTCAAACAGTCCTAATTTCTCACGTGTCCTATGTTGGCTGAGTTTCTCTCTCTGATCTCTAAAATGAAAAGCATCTAGGACAATTGCCTGTGCACTCAGCCTTGTGCTTTGTTTTTATGCCTGCTGACAGCCAAGGAAAAAATGGAGATTTATAATTATGAAAGCGTGCTGAAAATTGTGGATCCAGAACATTCAGTAATTTCTAGAAAGTTTAGCTTACAGCATAATGGGACATTAAAAGTTTGAATTAGCCTTTTTTATTCCATAACAGTTAGAGCCCAGGTGCAACACATTCTCAAGGGTAATTCTGGTCTCTGCTGGGAAAGAGAGGTTTGAAGCACTGTCCTCCCCACCATCCCCACACATACATGCTAAAACAAGCAAGGTATATTTTATTTAAAACAAAACTATTTGATATATCCATATAATATGAGAGAAAATGATTTTACAGTTAACAGTTTTAGGGATAAAGAAGACTATTATAAAATAATAAAATTGTAATTCAACTGTATGTCATATGTAGTTTAAATGTGTTGTACTTAAAACATAGCTTGGATATATAGAATTACTCATTAGAACCGCAGAGGTAATTGGAGAAATCTATCACTATAGTGGGAGATTTAAAAATATTTCTAGGCAGGGCGTGGTGGCTCATGCCAGTATTCCCAGCACTTTGGGCAGCTGAGCCAGGAGTATTGTTTGAAGCCAGAAGTTCAAGGCTAGCCTGGGCACAAGGTGAAACCATTTCTACAAAACAAACAAACAAACAAACAAAAAATAGCCAGGCATAGTGGTGCATACCTGTAGTCCTAGCTGCTTGGGAGACTGAGGCAAGAAGATGGCTTGATCCTAGGAGTTCAAGATAACAGTGAGCTATGATTGCAACACTACACTCCAGTCTGGGCAATAGGTGAGACTCTTATCTGTAAGGAAAATAAATAAATAAACTTCTCATTAATTGACAGATAAAACAATGATCAGCAAAACAGTGTTGCACAAAATTTACAATTTGATATTGTCATCATGTAAGTAATCCTGCTTTCAATGATTACAAGTTCACATTATATGCAAACATGGAACACAGACATGTGTTTGTTTTAATATAAATGTTAGTGAATCTCATAGGCAATTTTACATACTATATTCTCTGACTACAATGCAATTTATGTGGAAGTTAATTTCTGAATGGTAAAACATAAATCAAAATATATTTGCAAATAAAAATAAATGCAATTTATTGAATCATGTAACAATAAATCATGTGTCAGAAATGAATTATAATTTACATTAAAATATTTTAAATCAAAGATATTTTAAAAATTACATATCAAAATCTGTTATATGTCATGAGAGTGTCAGTCTTAAATAGTGAGCTTTAGAAAATGTAATTATTGCATTTACCTGAGGATAAAATTTGAGGATGGCCACCCAAAAACCACTTACTCCAAAAAAATAGGGTCAGTGCTCCAAAGTAGAGAAATTAAGGTTTCACTTATATAGTCAGAAATAGAGAAGTGTAACAGGGTCACATTATTTTCCATAGAAGGACAGTACATACATCACAGTGATTTGATTGAATACAGCTCACTACATTCCAAAGAAGATTGTTTCAACATTTAGCGAAGAGGGTAATGATTTCAAAAAAGTCTTATCTCTGGAGCTACTTGATCTTTTCATATCATTCACAAGGAAAAGCAGAAGTTGCAGCTGCATGCTATATGATTCAGGCCACATAGCCATATTCCTCTCAAGGCTCAAAATAATATAAAGTTCCAACAGCTTTTAGCTTAAATTATTTAATTCTATAGAAGTGAAGTTTCACAGAACATTTATAACAATAAATGGTATTTTATTTTTAATTAAAGAAGGAAATTTATTCTTAATTTGGCAGGCAACGTTTTTAGCATAAAAATGTTAGATAAATGACTGAAGATTAAACTCAAGGTAAGTTGAAGCAAATCTTTAGAAAATGTAAAGCAGAAATCAATGAAATAGAAAAATAGGAAATAGAAGAGATAATGAATTACACTAAAGATTTGTTCTTTGGAAATCATTAAAATAGTCTTCATCTATGGTTTAGTAATTACACTATTATTATAAAGCCAGAAGGCAAATGAACAAAAAAGCTTTGGTTAATTATGCGTGAAGGGAACTCCTGTATCTCTTCAGCCATGTTAATTTATATGACCAGGAAAGCATTCCATTTAAAATCAGTAAGATGATAATATGATCTTTATCAGTGAGTTTGTTTAACATTGCTCTGAAGATCTTAGCCAGTATTTTGTGGATTATATGTTTATCTAGGTAGAAATGCAAAAATGTTTACAAATTTCTAAAATTAATCAATGTGCTTAACAATGTGTCTTAATAAATGGAGTTAGAAATGGAGCATTTCTACCCAAGGTAATAATTAGCCCGCATGCAATTAGATTTCATAGCTTAAAGAATAGCTCATTGACCTTCAAATAATTATATTACATGGTTTTATTCATTCTTCATAACAGAAAAAAATATCTATATGGTATATAAAATGAATGACAAGAAAATTTAAGAACTGTATATAAAATTATAAAATTATACTGTAAGGCTTTAAAAAGTTCTGATCAAGTTGAGGAATATTCTGTGTTCACTGATAAGAAGAACACATACTATAAAAAATTAAAATTTTCTTAAATTGTGATATAGATTTAAAGAAATTCTACTTTAATCTCATCAATATTCTTTGTACAATTTCACATGTTGATTCAAATATATAAGTTATAAAGTAAAGGAAAATGAATAATCAATACTCTGTACTTATCACTATAGGCAATCATAAGGAAACAGTATATTTTGTACCAAATATAAAGGCATAATAACTGAAATAATTTAGAATTCAACAGTGTTAAGCAATTTAAAATAAAATGAAAGAGAGACCTCAAAGTCAGTTTCACTCTTATATTGAACTTTGATATGAATTAAAGGTAGAATTGTAGGTCATAGGGGAAAGAGGAGACCCTTTAGTAAATTTAGCTAGTTTAACGAGTCAGCCATACAAAAATATAATAAAATATTTCAACATATATAAAATCAACTATAGATTTGTTAAGGTCTTACATATAAGCTCTTACAACAGCAAAATTTTTGACTTCTGTAGGGAAAATATAGGTGCACATTCTCCTGACCTCGTGATAGGTAAGGATTTCTTTAAACACTATGCATAAAGTAAAACACTGAAATGTGATGGCACTGCTGTTAGGAACTTTAGTTAATCAAAAGAGATTTTAAAAATATAAAGAACTTGTGATGGTTAACACTGAGTGTCAACTTGATTGGATTGAAGGATGCAAGGTATCGTTCCTGGGTGTATCTGTGAGGGTGTTGCCAAGGGAGATTAACATTTGAGTCAGTGGACTGAGAGAGGCAGACCCAACCTCATTCTGAGTGGGCACAATTTACTCAGCTGCCACCATGACTAGGATAAAAACAGGCAGAGGAATGTGGAAAGACTAGACTGACTGAGTCTTCTGGCTTCTATCTTTCTCCCGTGCTGGATGCCTCCTGTTCTCAAACATCGGACTCCAACTTGTTCAGCTTTGGACTCTTGGACTTAACACCAGTGGTTTGCTAGGGGTTCTTGGGCCTTTGGCCACAGACTGAAGGCTGCACTGTCAGATTCACTACTTTTGATGTTTTCAGACTTCGACTGGCTCCCTTGCTCCTCAGCTTGGAGGCGACCTGTTGTGCGACTTTGCCTTGTGAGTCAATACTCCTTAATAAACTCCCTTTCATATATACATCTATCCTATTAGTTCTGTCCTTCCAGGGAACCCTGGCTAATACAGACCTACAAATGGATATAAATTTAAAACAAATGTAAAAAAATACAAATAATTTATTTTTTGATATATAAAAAATCTCTTAAATTAAATTAACACAAGTGTAAGGGCAAACACAAATTAAATACAAGAGGCTTAATTCACCCTATTAAAAACAAGGAGAAAGATCTTCCTTTCTTTTCTTAGAGAATTTGCTTTACACATTTTGTAATTGTAACTTTTTTCTCTACCTATTTGAAATGTAAGTAAATCTCAAGGATCTGAAAACGATCTCTTTGAAATGTAATGATCAAGGAAAGTGACCCTATTTACCTGTTTCTGTAGAAGGGTAGGATCCTGCTATAGACTGAATGTTTTTGTTTCTGCCAGATTCAAATGTTGAAGCCTAATTATCAATGTGATGGCATTTAAGGGTTGTACTTCTGGGACCTAATTAGGTCATGAGGGTGGAGCCCTCATAAATGGGATTAATGTCCTTATAAGAAGAAAGATACTAGATTTTTTTTCCCTCTCTCTCTCTCTCTCTCTCTCTGTCTCTCTCTGTGGGTGTGTGTCTGTCTGTCTTTCTGTTGATCATGTAAGGAAACAGAAAATGCCCTCTGTGAACAGGGAAATGTGACCTCACAAGATCTGCCAGTGCTTCAATTTTAGACTTCTCAGCCTCTAGAGCTGTCAAAAATAAGTACTTGTTGTTTAAGCCACACAGTCTATGGCGTTCTGTTATGGCAACCTGAAATAAGACGAAGACTAATTTCTAATCTCATTTAGCCTCAAGCTGCAAAAACTATCTTCTGTAATAGAGTTATGAGAAGCTTGTTTTTCCTTTGGATAAAGCCAATTAGTTAGCACAGATGGTCAGGTCAATTTTCATGTGAATTTAGGATGAACTATGTCTGACACATGGTGTGGTCGAGTCCTCTGACTTGAGGACTAGTTATTACTTATTTGAGAATGTGAATATAATCTGTTTTATCTGTTTGGCTACATAACATTGTGAGGTTTTTTTTTTTGTCTTTGCAATCTCTTTAGTGAATTTTCTATGATGCCCTTCACATTTTGGCTTAATGTTTATTCATTAATAAAATTGTTTTCTTTCCCTTCTACCTTTGTGGGGAGGTTGCCTGGGTTGGAAAGAAAGTGTTTATAATTATATTCCTTCATCAATTCTGGTGATGCGGACGGGATGTGTGGCAGCTCCTAAATTGAGCTGACCATCTAAATGTCTGTGGCTTTCCTAGTATCAAGTAAGAGACCACAAATTTTACGTCTCTCCCTTCTAGGTCTCAGCTTTTTTTTTTTTTTTTTGAAAACTAGCTAGATGAACCACCCTTTCCAAATAGAATACTTTAATATTGAATAAGCATGGGCAATGCAGGCTCTACAATCCCATCAGGATTGCCATATGGTTGAAAAATATGGAAAGTCAGGAATGTTGCCTGCAGGCATTTCTCTTTGAAAGCTAAAATCTTACTGTCATATTTGGAATGAATACATAAAAATCCAGTTTTGTAATAGCCTAAAGATGGTTCTTTTGATTTGGATAAATTAATGCTTTTACTTCTTGGAGAGTCCTCATCCCAAGCAAATGAATTACTGGTGTTTATGAAATAAATATCATTTTAAAATTAATTTGGGTAGCTAGTGAAAAGACTGAAAAAAATGGAAGAGTGAATGCAATACTTAGAAGCACTATCCCTTTCACAGAACCCTCCCTCTCCTTTCTCTGCTGCCCCTCTTCCCTCTGCATCCTCTGCATTTATTTATCTCTCCTTGCCTCAATCTGACTCCAGGGAAGGTGGAGGTGATGCTATCTTAGAGTCGTTCCCTTCACTTATGAATTTTCCTGTAAAGAAGGACAAAGGCACAACTTCTTTACCTGATAAGGAATCACCTGCTCTGTTTGAGGGCACAGATTTGTGTGTCTTTTGGCCTAGCCCTAAGCTCTAGCTTAGCCTAGATTCCACATACAAGATTACCTTATCCATACACCATGGAGGTAGGAACACAGACATGATTGAGACACATGATCAAGGTAAAAAAGGAGAACTTGGATAAAACACTGTGACCCATATAAAGGCAACAAGTCACATGGGAAAAGGCAATAAAACAAGGTGTTGATGTGATGAAGGTAAACAGAGAGGAGAGAACAAAGTGCTCTATAATATACATTTTTTTTCATCTCAACATGAGGAAAACCAGCCCTTCGTTAGGAAGGAAACCATCATCAGCAAAACAGATGCTACTGAGAAGCAATTGAGGACTCCAGGGTCATAACTGTGTCTTCCTTATCAGCTGATAGCACTCATTTAGGGACTTATATTCACTGTGCCTCAAAAGTCTGCAGTATTCTGAAGCATGCTAACAGTTTAAAGTCCCCTCCTCACCACACACAGGATGTGCACTGGATACCGTGTGAAATTCTGCAACTAGGACGCTTTGCTCTTTCAATGGTGCAAGCACACAAGGGTTCAGAAGACCACTCCATCAAAGGATAAGGTGGCTAAGGGAAGGCAACTAGTTCATGTCCCCTCCCTCAAAACTAAGGAAGATCTGAGGGCATTAGAAACCCATGGATCTTGGTTGCCAATGGAAGTACTTGAAGCCTTTTGACTAAAGTGATCTGAGATGAATTACTTTCCTGTAGTACTCAGAATACAGGTGAGTCCTCCAATGATTTCCATTTGCACTTTATTGAGGTTTTCTCAAGATTCGACCTGGACCCTGGGACGGATCTAAATCGCTCTAGTCTTGGTGTGTCCTTTGTGGCTGCTCTTTTGAGTACTCTCCAACTCCAAAATAAAGAAAGGGTGGTAAGACGGCAAGTTTTACTCGCATTTTAACAGCAGCTACTCAGTTTGGGGATAATGTAGAGAACAACAAAGAATTTGCTTATTTTTTGACTCTCACCATCCACCCCCCATAGCTCTTTGATCTATGAGCAAAGAATATTTTCTGCCATATATTTCACAGTATTCACCACACAGCAGTCTCTAGATTATTAAAACCCTTAACAAATAGTTAGTGAATAAATGCCCAAAGAGAGAATCAAGTCTTATACGACTTAATAATAGCAATATTAAGACATTTCAAAATATATTGAATACTTTTTAAAAAATCAATCAAGAAAGATCAATTCCTTTCACCACTTTAATTGATAAATAACAATGAAAATAAGTAAATAAGTTTTTCATTATTAATATCAAAACAGAAAAATTGGAGAAAATCAACCAATACATGTAAGACAAAAATTAGTGAGTTAATGAGAAAAATAAGTAATATATCAAAAAATAATATTTTAATAAAACATTCATAAACGACTCCACTATTTTAATCAAGACATTTAAAAAAAATAAAGATGGCTAAAATATCATAAGTGCTGAGGACAATTTTAAAAAACAGAAAAAATAAATATGCAAAACTTTATACTAATCTTTGAAATTAAAAATAAAATTTATGTTTTCCAGGAAAAGTATGTTGTCTCAAAATTGTTACAAGAATTGTTTGTTTGATTAAAAAATGACTATGGAAAAATCACCATGGTGAGGTACTAGAAAATGATACCATGTATGTATAGATATGAGGTTGAATCAAGGCACCTCTACTTACTATCCATGTGAATTTAATTTAACTGAGTTTAATATGAAATATTGGAATAATAATTTCTGCTTCAGCATTGTTGAGAGTTGATGAGATAATGTGTGAAAATACCCTGGTATATTTTGGCACATAACAGACATCAGTTTTATGACAGATCTTATTAAGCTCATTATTATTATCATAATTTTCTAATGAATCACTTGTAATAAGAATATGAGACTCAACATTCAGTAGGTGAGCTGTGATAATTTTTCAAGGAACATATATATCACTGCCATAAACAATTAAGTTCCCTTTTATTGTGGAAATAGAATACTAATAAATCAAGTCTAATATCCAGATAAAATTAAAATGTATGACAAGGGTATTCCTTTTTAATTTTAAAGGTGTAAGTGGGGCAGAATAATGTGTTGAAATATTAATTTGTGTTTTATTCTCCCTATACTCACTTTCCTCCTTTCAAATAGGTAATAAGACTGTTGGTTTCCTGGCCCCAGGAGAGATTTGTCATTGTTAGGCTAAATACTTGTAGCATGTGTACAACTATGTTTCAGGTTTCTGATTTCTAAACATTTATGTTTCTGTGGTTATTTAGGTAATATAGAAGATAAATAGGTAAATGACTTTAAGTTGGCAAAATAGGGTGAAGAGACTCCCTAAGAGTCCAAATAGATGGCAATGCAAAAAAGTACACCCTTGAGACAAAGCGGGAAGGGAGTGAATAAACAGGGCAATACCTGAGTGTTTCCCTTAGGGAACAGGAACTTGAGTTACATGACTACTACTATCAGTAAAAATTTCCAGGCCCAAGTTTGGTTCATAAGCAGTGAAAGCAAAAACTTCAAGAGTCCTTATAATCTGGGACAATTAGAATATAGACAATTTTGATGAGCTGAAGAATGAAGGTACTTTCTGCTATTTCTTAGCATTGCTTAAGAGTCCTTGATTCTTGTGCAATTATTGGAGGGTGAAAAAACCTCAATAGTGACTGAAATCAATAGTCTTAACATGGTATCAGCACATAGGTTCCAAGCCATATTTAATATACTTTTAAAATATATGTATACATTATATATATATATATATACATTATATATATAATGTGTGTGTGTGTATATATATATATATGTGTATATATATATACAGTTGATGTTATATCTCTTAAGGCTGAGTTTAAGAAACTAAAGTCCACACACAAATACTTAAATCTTTTTAATATAATAATCTACTACCTAAAGATGTTAAAGTAAAAAAATAATACCAAATGTTGCAGGACACAAATGTGACAGTATTTAAAATTTCTTCTTGCTGCTCTTGACATTTCATTCATCTTTGTTGGAAAAATAAATCATAACACTTCATTTCAATCCCCTTGTTTTATGCAGACAAGAAAATGAGACGCCCAGCAGTTCAAGGGTCATTGACACTGCATGAGACGTAAATTATGCCAAGTTAGGGTAGAGACCACCTGGGCCAGTGATGGTAACTCTTCCTGGGCCAGTATCAGGGATATTATGAACTTTGGCCTTTGATGTCACTCCCTCCTTTTTCACAACATGTATAAAAATGCCTACACTTTAAAATGCTTAATTTAATTAAACACAATGACGGGAAAGGAAGAAAGAAAATAGGTGAAATATAAAATCCTCAAACTAACCTGAAATATATTGTACAGCAGAGATGTCATACTGAAGGGCTAGTTGATTAGTACAGACATTTTGAGTTCAGTGATCCAGCATCCCTGAGGTGTATAGTGAGAAAGCTGCCAATTCCAATTCAGATACTTTCCTCTACTTGGCATCGTGATGAGTAGAAGCCATTGCCAAGTCTCCAATTTCAATACATTCAATTTTTGTAGTTCTGCCCCTATAATTTGCATAAGGTGTGGCTCTCCTTGGTCTTCCCAGTACTCTTTGGTGCTCCATGAGGGAGGAACAACTGAAGTACCAGCTTTGACTTGGTTTAAACATTGAAAAAACCATGGGGTTCTCAACATAACTGCTTCTCAAAGCTGTTGATCTGTAGTATAAAAACTGATCCAAGTAGCTTGTTCTCCGTCTGTCCCATGGCTTGCTCTTGCTACTCCAATTAGATGGTGTTAGTTAGCTGCTGCCAGTGCCTGACTTCCTCTGCTGTTTTCTCAGTAAGTGGAATTGTGTGCTGAATATATTGCATCCAATCAGTCTGGCCCCTCTGTATTTAATTAGAAAAACAACAAAAACATTTTTCTGGTCTGTGCAATGTACTTATCCCTATTCTATTATATTTTATGCACAGGCAGGGTATTCATAATTATTTTAGTAATTTCAAAGCACATATGGATGCTATAGCTGGGGCCGAAGAGGAATGAATGAGTGATCTTTGCACAAAAGTATGTGTTATATTTATTCTTATCAACAAACATAATTGTTTAAAATAATATTTTGGCCAGGTGATCTCTGATCACCTTGTTCAAGTATATAGCATCCTTTAGCTAAGTAGTATGAGCTCCAGAACAGTTTATCAATAGTTTTTATTTCTACCTGTGTGTTCCAGTTTCATTAACACTTTATATACATTTAATGAATGTTGAATTGTTGAATGAATGCATAAATTCATCAATAAACTTATAAAATATAGAAATGTAAGAGATGTAAAATGAAAAATGGTATGAAAGTATTCTAAAGAAAGAAAACTATTAAATTTGATGTCACTTTAAGGGTTACTTAAGTGATAAAGAAAATAATAATACAAAAGCAAGTAACAAAGATTTCAGATAACTTTGAGGCATAGTTTTTCCCGTGTAAATGATTTTAACATGTTAAGTAGTTACACTTATATATCATTTATTTTATGTAAAATGAGGTGAAAAAATACATGCATGATGTTCATTATCAACAGTTTGCAACACTGTTTCTGAAAGTCCATGCTGGAAAGGATTAATTCTGATGTCTCTTAACAACTGCATTTCAAGAAAGAGTGGCTATTGTACTGCGGGTTGAAACCTGAGTCAGCAACTTCCAGTTCTGACTGATATTTTTTTTTCTCCTGTCTGTGTTTTTCTTCTCTCCTTGGGACAGCCAAGGGATACATACACTTCACATTAGCTGAAAAGGAGTAATGGATTTCTTAGTATCTGAGCTCAGCAACAAAGAAGTCTGCAATTACAGCAAAAAGAAAAAGGAGGAAGAAAAAAAAAGCTTGCCCCAGTTTCTGTTAGAAGCATGTTCCTTTTTTCATGAAAAGAGAAAAATGAAGTACAACCTCTATATGCAGTCTCTGGAGGGAGAAATATAAGTCTGGTGGATACAACGAACCAATAAGAAAGTCAGTGGGAGAAATTGGAATTATAAGAATTGTGTTGAAGACCTAAGTATTGACTAGTTGTTTATGTTGGACCACATTTTAATTTCACAGAATTTATTTTATAAAGAGAAAGTTATGACAGAATTGTATTTTATCTACTTTAATTTTTGCTCTTAACTATGCTATTTTTTTTCTACAGAATATTTGAGGCAGTGATACACAAAAACAAATAAAAGATACAAACACTGATACATATATCAGTCTTCTAATTATAATGGTTGGCTTATAAAATATGTGGCATAGTCATTCCCAGTAGATAAGATATTATGAAAACTTTATCAGTGGAGGTATGTTCAGTAAGCAGTAATAATTGTTAATTACTGTATAACATTATTTTTCTTAAATTTAGCAAGGTATTATAAAATATGAAAAATTCTATTTTATTTTAAAGTAAATTTTAAAAATAAAATTTAGCTTGAAGTTTTGTATTCAGTGAATACAATTCTGTCTGAGGTGCATTCTTATTACTTCCGTCCCACATAAGGTAATGTTGTACCATGGCTGTCCTGACGCCCCTGGAATGGTAGTTTGCTGCCAAGATGACACCCAGTAATTTCTGCTTCTTACAATTCACCCCTTATGAAGTACCTCCAAATCACCAGGATTGGACTGTGACTAGTAGAATACAACAAAAATGATGGCATTCCGGTTTCAAGATTAAGTTATAATAAACAGTATATCTTCTTGCTCACTCATGCTTATTTTCTTTGAAACCACTCACTCTGGGGAAAACCAAATATGAGCAGCAACCCCTGTGGAGAGGAATTGAAACTTCCAGCCAACAGCCATGTGAATAAGCTTGGAAGTGGACCCTGAGCCTCAGACAAGTCTTTAGAAACTGCAGCTCTTGCTGGCAGCTTGTCTTAACCAACTTCATGACGGACCCTGAATCAAGAGCCACATTGACATCAATGCATTATAATTTTCTGAGGCCCTAGGAACTTCTATTCCTTTTAATTTGGTCTTTGTGGGCCCTTTTTCTCTCTTTCTTTCTCTGTCACACATATACATACATATATGTGTGTGTGTATATATACACATACACACATGTATATACATATATATACACATATATACATATATACACATACACACACATATATATGTATGTATATGTGTATATACATATGTATGTGTATGTGTGTGTGTGTGTGTGTGTGTGTGTGTATGTGTACATATATCGCATATCTGAATGGGGCAGAAAAGGAACAGGTGAAAGAATGAGAAACCTCTCCAGAAAAGTAAGTATTACTCTTATGATATCAACCTACACAATTGGTAAAAATAACATTTTAGCTATATATAATTATTGTATTGTTATAAAATAATTATATTGATACTATAAATAAACATTTGACCTAAATATTTGTTCTTTTGATTTTAAGAGAAATTCAAACATTTTATGTGTCCTAAAAGTGTTATTGTGATCCCTAAACCCACTGCATATTAGTAAATAAATCTATGCTACCTAATCCAGAACGACCACCTAAGCTGCTTCCTGACTCTGGACCCTTGGACTACATGAGAAAACAAAAGGATGTGGATTATTTGAGATCATTGTTTTTATACAGCAACCAGTAGAACTGGGCTTTGTTTTTTTCATTTTACATTTAAATAACAACAATTGCATTTTCTGATCAATTCTAAAATAGGAGGAAGATTTAGATTGAAAACAAGACCATGAATTCATTATGCAGATTTCTATTTTAGGATTTTTTTTTTTTTTTTTTTTTTTTTTGAGACAGAGTCTCGCTCTGTTGCTCAGGTTGGAGTGCAGTGGTGTGATCTCGGCTCACTGCAACCTCCACCTCCCAGGTTCAAGCAATTGTCCTGCCTCAGCCTCCTGAGTAGCTGGGACTATAGGTGTCCGCCACCACACCCAGCTAATTTTTGTATTTTTAGTAGAAATCGGGTTTCACTATGTTGGCCAGGATGGTCTTGATCTCTTGATCTTGTGATCTGCCTGCCTTTTCCTTTCAAAGTGCTGGGATTACAGGCATGAGCTGCCGTACCCAGCCAGGATATATATATTGTTTTTTCCTATAGAATCACTACTTAAAAAGCTTAATTTGTAAACTCCATAAACCTTTGGTGGGAGGTTTTTGAAACCATGTCATTTGCTAAATTTTACTACTACAATGTCAAGTTTCGGAGCTCTTCTATAAAAAAAATTTGTCAATCTCAATTGTGTCAACTTTCAAGAAAATTCAGTCTGAAGAGGAGTCATATCTATAGCTTTGGAGCCAAATCTGGACTGCTGCCAGTTTTTGTAAATAACACTTATTGCAAAACAACATACCCATTCACTTTGGTCTTATATATGGCTATTTTAACCATATAACAAAGGCAGTGAGTAATTGGGACAGGCACTTTAATGACCTACAGAGTCTAAATGCAGGCATACGTCATTTTATTACTTTTGGTTTATTGTACTTTGCAGATACTGCGTTTTTTCACAAATTCAATGTTTGTGGGAACCCTGCATTAAGCAAACCTTTGGGCACCATTTTTCCTATAGCATTGCTCACTTCACTTCTCTGTGCCACATTTTGATCATTCTCACAATATTTCAGACTTCTTAAAATTATATCTGCTATGGTGATCTATGATCAGGGATCTTTGATGTTACTATTGCAATTGTTTTGTGGTGCACAAAACATGCCCATATAAACAGTGAACTTACACAATAAAGATGTATTTTCAGACTGCCCTGCCAACCAGCTTTCCCTCCTTATTTTGGGGATACAATAATACTGTAATCGAGCCCATTAAAAACCCTGCAATGGCCTCTAAGTAAAATGAAGAGTTGCATACCTCTCACATTAAATCAAAAGCTAAAAGCGATTTTGCTTAAAGAGAAAGCCATCTAGAAAGTCGAGATAGGTTAAAAAAATAGGCCTCTTATGCCAAATAATTAGCCAAGTTAGGAATGTAAAGAGAAAGTTCTTGAAGGAAATTAAAAGTGCTACTCCAGTGAACACACAAACGATAAGAAACTGAAACTGCCTTACTGCTGATACATAGAAAGTTTTAGTAGTCTGGATAGAAAATCAAACCAGCCACAACATTCCCTTAAGTCAAAGACTAATCCAGATTAAAGCCCTTAGTGGCTTCAATTTTACAACAGCTGAGAGAGGTGAGGAAGCTGTAGAAGAAAAGTCTGAAGCTAGCAGAGGTTATGACATTTAAGTAAGGAAGTTGTCTCTATAACATAAAAGTGCAAGGTTAAGCAGCAGGTACTGATGTGGAAGCTGCAGCAAGTTATCAAGAAGACCTAGCTAAGATCATTGTTAAAGGTGGCTACACTAATTGACAGATTTTCCATGTACATGAATCAGCCTTCTATTGGAAGAAAATGCCATCTAGGACTTTCAAAGCTAAAGAAGAGAAGTCAATGCCTGGATTCAAAAATTCAAAGAACAGATTGACTCTCTTACTAGAGGCTAATGCAGCTGGTGACTTCAAGTTGAAGCCAATGTTCATTTACGTTTCCAAAAATCATAGGGCCCTTAAGAGTTAGGCTAAATCTACTCTGCCTGTGCTCTATAAATGAAAGAACAAAGCCTGGATGATAGTGTATCTGTTTACAGGATGGGTTACTGAGTATTTTAAGCCCACTGTTGAGACCCAGTGCTCAGAGAAAAAAAATTATTTTCAAAATATTATGGCTCATTGACAATACATCTTTTCACCTAAGAGTTCTAATGGAGATGAACAAAGAGATTAATGTTGTTTTCATGCCTACTAACCAAACATCCATTCTACAGCCCATGGATCAAGGAGTAATTTCCACTTTGAAGCCTTACTATGTAAAAAATACAGTTTATGACTATAGGTACCATAGATAGTAATTATTCTGATGGATCTGGGGAAAATAAACTGAAAAGCTTTGGAAAAGATTCACTGTTTAAGACGCCACAGAAAAGCATTCATGGCCCGGGTGCAGTGGCTCACATCCATAATCAAAATACTTTGGGAGGTTGAGATAGATAGATTGCTTGAGACCAGGGGTTTAAGACCAGCCTGAACAACACAGTGAGACTTCATTTGCACAAAAAATTAAAACATTAATTGGGCATAGTAATGTGTGCCTGTAGTCCCAGCAACTTCGGAGGTTGAGGCAGGAGGATTTTTTGAGCCCAGGAGATTGAGGCTGCAGTGAGCCATGAAACCATGTTTAAAAAAAAAAATGTGATTCCTGGGAGGTCAAAATATTGGCATTAACAAGATTTTCAAAAAAACTTGATTCCAAACCTCCTGGATAACTTTGAGGTGCTCAAGACTTCAGTGGAGAATGTAAATCAGGTGTGATAAAAACAGAGAATTAGAAGTGAAGCCAGAAGATGTGATTAAATTGCTGCAATCTCATGATACTCATGATACAATTTTAATGGATGAGTCATTGGTTCTTAAGGATGAGCAAAGAAAGGATTTTTTGAGATGGAATCTGCTCCTAGTGAAAATGCTGTGAACATTGTTGAAATGTCAAAAATTTTAGAGTATTACATAAACTTATTTGATAAAGCAGTGGCAGGATTTGAAAGAATTGACTCCAATTTTGGAAGAAGTTCTACTATAGAAAAATGCTATACAAGAGCATTTCATGGTTAAAAAAATCTTCAGTGAAAAAGAATCAATTGATGCAGAAAATTTCATTTTTGTCTTATTTTGAGAGTTGCCACAGCCACCCCAGCCCTCAGCAACCACCATCCTAATCAATCAGCAGCCATCAACATGAAGGCCAGACCCTCTGCCAGGTAAAGGATTACAACTCATTGAAGCCTCTAAAAATTGCTAGCATTTATTTAAGCAATAAAGTACTTTATTTTTATTTATTTATTTATTTATTTATTTATTTATTTATTTATTTATTTTTTTGAGACAGTGTCTCACTCTGTCACCCAGGTTGGAGTACGGTGGCCCGATCTCGGCTCACTCCACGCTCCACCACCCGGGTTCACCCAATTCTCCTGCCTCTGTCTCCTGAGTAGCAGGGACTACAAGCGCCCACCACCACGCCGGCTGATTTTTTGTATTTTTCTTTTTTTAGTAGAGACGAGGTTTCACCGTGTTAGCCAGGATGGTCTCAATCTCCTGACCTCATGATCCGCCCGCCTCGGCCTCCCAAAGTGCTGGGATTACAGGCATGAGCTGCACCCAGCCGCAATAAAGTATTTTTAATTAAGTTTGTATGTTATTTTTTAGGGATGATGCTATTTCACATTTTATAAGCTACAATGTAGTTTAAATATAATTTTGTATATACTGTGAAACCAAAAATATTGTGTGATTAGCTTTATTGTGATCTTTCCATTATTGCCTTGGTCTAGAACTGAGCCTGCAAAATCTCTGAGGTATGCTTGTAGTTATTATCTGGCCCTTCTCAAAAAAATAGTTTATAGGCCCTTAGAGTAAGCAATGTCTAATAATTCTGTAGTAAATTTAATGTATTCGTGTTAAAATCATACAAATAAGACAATGCATGAGGAATTCCACGGAGTCTCATTTTAATAAAATTAATGTGGTACATTCTATCTTTCTGTCATCCAGAACCAATAACTAATCATTTCAAAGAGTAATGACGTTCATCTGTGCCTTTAATAATTCCAAGGTACTGCTGTATTATAACTTTTGTAACGTTTTCATCTTATTCTTGTTCTTTTGTTTGGTTGTTTCATTTTGAAATACGTGAAGGCCTAAGTTATAATAGAACTTTCAACATCATTGTGAAAGCCCTCAAAAGGCATTATTTAAGCTTAATTATTTTCAATTTGAAGAGTTATTTCTCCAAATGTTTAAATGTTGGCCTTCATAGGTAACTACACTAGAGTTTGTTGAAATGTTTGATATGTAGCATAAAAAATATTTAACTTTTCCTTAGCAAAAAGTAAGGTTTTGAAACGTTGATAACATCCTTGTAAAGCAAACTGGCATGCAACTATTTATTCTACGAAATTTAAACTCACATTTCCTACAACTATGGAACAGTTTGGCTGAAAGTATTTAAAAAATGAGGTTTCTTTCTCCAGTATGATATGAATTAATTGGAAAGTAATTTAATGTTACAAATGTTTATAGCTGCAATAGAAAACCCTGCAAATTCTGGCATAAAATATGACAGCACTTATTGTTTATTTAAGAGGTAGAGAGACATGCAATTCAGAACTATAAAACAGCTCAAATACGTCATCAGGGACTCAAGCTGTTTTCAACTTTCTGCTCTTCTCATCTCAGTGTATTGCCTTTAGTCTTTATACCAGTTGCAAATGGCTACCACAGCTCAAGACATAATCTATTATCATTAGCATCCTAAACATAAAGAAGCAGGGGACAATCTTTCTATTGCTGTGGTTGTTGTTGTAGTGTTTCTGTATTTTTTAAATAATGAAACTCTCCCAGAAGGCTTTTGGCATTCTTTTCTTTCTTTTCATTTCTTATTTTAATTATTTATTTTTTAAATTTTAGATTCTAGGGTACAAGTACATGTTTGTTACATGGCTATATTGGGTAATGGTGGGGATTGGGCTTCTGGGGAATTCATCACACTACTGTTGAACATTGTACCCAACAAATAATTGTTCAACCCTCCCCCCCTCCTCTCACTTTCCCTTTTGGAATCTGCATTGTCAATTACCTCCATCTTTATATCCATGTGTACCCATTAGTTCGCTCCCACTTATAAGTAAGAACCTATGGTATTTGATTTTCTTTTTCTGAGTTTGTTCATTTAGGAAACTGGCCTCCAGCTCCATCCATGTTTCTGTAAAGACTTGATTTCATCTTTTTTATGGTTGTATAATATTCCATTCTGTATAAATACCACACTTTGTGTATTCAATCAACCACTGATGGACACCTAGATTGGTTTCACTAGATTTGAGTAACATGGCAGCCTCTACTTTACAAAGGCTGGTCAAAGACACATCTTGTAAAAGGGAATACAATTAACATGCCTGGCTTTAAGTGATAATGGTTATCTTTGGGATTTTGGTAATTTGTTGACCTAAATAGATTTGGGTTATACCTGTAAGAAAGATGAGGGGGTGGAAGCAGAGGTGTAGATAGCTACAGGCTAGTCAGTATACTGTGTCTGTAACACAAATAGAATAAAAATACATACCATTTGTACTAGCTTTGGAGCTTTTTACTGAATATTATAATCTTTAGTGATATCTAGGATTACAAAACGTAGGCAGACTTTTGCAGCAATTGAGCATTCTCTGATACTACATTTTTAAATACTTCACACAATTTTCTTTCAAGATCCTTAATGGACTATAAAATTAATACATAGAGTACACATTATTTCTCAGTTGTGATTTTAAAAAGCAAATAAATTCTTAAACTAATAATTTTTCAAATACTTTGACTAAATGGAAAAAGCTGACATTTAAAAATAAGTATTAACTATGATTTTCTATACTAAATATGAATTTTGAAGTCAAAGGAGAGAGGATAAGTCCTGGGGTTTTTTAGAATTTTTTTTTTCTGTTGCTAAATAAATTTAGTCAGCAATACTCACTGTGCTAGCAGATAAAGTAATTAATATTTCATCCAAATATAAAGTTGACATTTTATCAGATTTCAAATAGCATCACATTCTGGCTTAAAGCCCAGATGTTTCTTAAGATTTTTAGTCAATAAAATCAGTTTAAAATTGTGATGAAGGGTGGAGGGTAAACGTGTAATCAAAATGCTTTGATATTATAACTTTGTAAATCGGTTGATAAATATATTATCTATGCTTATTTGTAGTACTATGATGAATTTGAAATTGCTTAATCATGACTATTAATAATTCAAAAACATAACTTCTATGGAAAAAATGTTTAAACCCAGTTGAAATGAAGCAGTGAGGAAAATAATTAGCAAACTCTTGGGCAAGTTATTTATCTCAGTGCCTCAGTGAACTTTGAGATAATGTGTTCCTTTTTCTCAGAATAATAGGGTACCATCAGAGTTAATATTACAGAATTTATTTTCTATTTGGGTTAATTTTTCTGTAATAATCCAGAGTCTCTCTTGAGACTAAAAGCATATGCTTAACACACAGCAGATAAAGCTCAGAAACAGAAATTATAACTGTAGAGCAGGGCACAGCTAAATGTCTTAATAGTGATAGAACTCCTAAGTTTTCTAACTTTGCACTGCACAGATAAGCTCTGAAGCTTCTACAAATGACCACATTATAAGATGTAACAGAAGCATTTCCTTTTGTATTTCCTGCACCTAAATCTTTCTTTAAGAGTGTTAAAAAGACACAATGTGATATAAATAAATCTTAGAATGTTGCCACAAAATACAAAATATCCAAGGACATGAAAGAAAGCATAAATGTTTAGTTGTCAGCTACTCACAAGGTGAATCAGAACTACAAATAATAGAATATTCCCTCCCAGTCCATCTATGTTACATTTCTCACTCTCTGCCTCTTTTCTATTTATCCTAAAAAACAGGAGCATCTTAATCTGAATTTACATAAAAAATTTAAGAATTTGTTAATGTTCATTGTTCTAATCTAATGAACAGCTTAGATACAGCTTAGATCACATCAGTCAAGTCCTTTCAAATAATGGAAGAGCCATCCCCTCCAAAATGGCTACAAATAAGCCCAGACAATGAATACTACAAATACCTAACCCTTCAGTGACTAGACGCTGAACATCTATTAGCATCAACAACATCCAGAAAAACATGTCCTCACAAAATGAATTAAATAAGGCACCAGGAACCAATTCTAGAAACACAGAGATATGTGACCTTTCAGAGAATTCAAAATAGCTGTGTTAAGAAAACTCAAAGAAATTCAAGGGGCTGGGCAAGGTGGCTCACGCCTGTAATCCCAGCACTTTGGGAGGCAGAGGCAGGCAGATCACTTGAGGTCGGGAGTTCAAGACCAGCCTGTCCAACATGGTGAAACCCCGTCTCTACTAAAAATACAAAAAATTAGCTGAGCTTGGTGGCAGGCGCCTGTAATCCCAGCTACTCAGGAGGCTGAGGCAGGATAATTGTTTGAACCTGGGAAGCAGAGGTTGCAGTGAGCTGAGATCACGCCATTGCACTCCAGCCTGGACAACAAGAGCAAAACTCCGTCTCAAAAAAAAAAAAAAAAAAAAAAAAAAAAAAAAAAAAAAGAAGTTCAAGATAACACAAAAAAGGAATTCAGAATTCTAACAGAAAAATATTTATCAAGGAGTTTAAAATAAATACAAATAATTAAGCAGAAATTCTGGAGCTGGAAAATGCAATTGGCATACTGAAGAATGCATCAGTCTTTTAATAGCAGAACTGATCAAGCAGAAGAAAGCATTAGTGAGCTTCACAACAGGCTAATTAAAAACACACGGTCAGAAAAGACAACAGAAAAAATAATAAAAACAGTAAAGCATGCCTAAGGAAGCTAGAAAATAGCCTCAAATGGGGAAATCTAAGTGTTATTGGGCTTAAGGATGAGGTAGAGAAAGAGATAGGGGTTTTATTCAAAGTGAAAATAGAAGAGAACTTTCCAAACCTAGAGAAAGATATCAATATCCAAGTACAAGACAGTTATAGAACAGTTATCATATTTAATGCAGAGAAAAAAATATCAAGGCATTTAATAAACAAAATCCCGAAAGTCAGAGGTAAGGAAAGGATTCTAAAATCAGCAAGTGAAAAGGAACAAATAACATACAATGGAATTTCAATACATCTGACAGCAGACTTTTTACTGGAAACCTTACAAGCCAGCAGAGAGTGGCATGACATATTTAAAATAGCGAAGGAAAAAAAAAAAATCTTTTACCCTAGAATAGTATATCCTGATAAAATATCCAAACATAAAGAAGACAAACATTCCAGCTACTTGGGAGGCTGAGGCAGGAGAATTGCTTGAACCTGGGAGGTGGAGGTTGCGGTGAGCTGAGATCGCGCCATTGCACTCCAGCCCGGGCAACAAAAGCAAAACTCCGTCTCAAAAAAAAAAAAAAAAGACAAAAGCTGAAGGATTTATTAATATCAGAGTTATCCAACAAGAAATGCTAAGGGAAGTACTCAGTCAGAAAAAAAGAACATTATTGAGCAATAAATGATCACCTAGAGGTACAACACTCACTAGTAACAGTAAGTACACAGAAAAACAGAGTATTATGACACAGTAACTGTGCTGTATAAACTACTCTTATCCTAAGTAGAAAGACTAAATGATTAACCAATAAAAAATAACAACTTTTCAAGACACAGTAAGTACAATAAGATTAACTAGCAACAACCAAAAGTTAAAAAGTAAAGAGAGATGAAGTTAAGACATATAGTTTTTATTAGTTTTCTTTTTGCTTGTTTGTTTATGCAAATGGTGTTCTGGTTATCAAGTTAAAATAACGGGTTATGAGAGAGTATTTGCAAACCTCATGGTAACTTCAAACTGAAACACATGCAATGGATACACAAAACATAAAAAGTAAGAAACTAAGTCATATCCCTAGAGAAAATCAACTTCACTAAGAAAAGACAGGAAGGAAAGAAAGAAGAAAGAGAAGACTACAAAACTACCAGAAAACAAATAACAAAATGAGAGGAGTAAGTCCTTACTTATCAGTAATAACATTGAATATAAATGAACTAAAGTCTCCAATCAAAAGACCTAGAGTGGCAGAATGGATTAAAAAAAAATCCATCAACCTGTTGCCTATAAGAAACATACTTCACCTATAAAGACACACATAGACTAAAAATAAAGGGATGGCAAAAGATATTTCATACCAATGGAAACAAAAAAGCAGAAGTGGCTGTACATATATCAGACAAAATTTATTTCAAGACAAAAATTATAAGAAGACACAAAGAAGGTCACTATGTAATGATAAAGTGGTCAGTTCAGCAAGAGGATATAAAATTTTTAAATATATATGCACTCAACACTGGAGCACCGAGATATATAAAGGAAATATTATCTGAACTAAAGAGAGAGATAGACTTCAGTACAATAATAGCTAGAAACTTCAACATCCCATTTTCCGCATTGGACAGATCTTCTAGACAGAAAATGAACAAATATCAGACTCAATCTGCACCAAATGGATCTAATAAATATTTACAGAAGAGTTTATCCAAAGGCTGCCAGATGCACATTCTTGTCCTCAGCACATAGATCATTCTCAAGGATAGAGCATACATTAGGTCACAAGTCTTAAAATATTTAAAGACATTGAAATAATATCAAGTATCATCACTGACCAAAATGAAATAAAACTAGAAATTAATAACAAGCGACATTTTGGAAATAACATGAATACAAGGAAAGTACACAATATGATCCTGAATGACCAGTAGGGCAGTAAAAAAATTAAAAAGAAATTTGAAAAATTTATCGAGACAAATGATAATGGAAGCACAACATATTAAAACCTATAGGATACTGCAAAAAAAAAATACTCAGAAGGAAGTTTACAAGTGCCTATATCAAAAAAGAGAAATAAAATCAAATAAAAAGTCTAACCATGCATCTTAAAGAACTATAAAAGCGAGAGCAAACCAAACCCAAAATCAGTAGAAAAAAAATAATAAAGAACAGGGTAAAAATAAATGAAATTGAAATGAAAAAAAAAATCAATAAGACCAATGAAACAAAAGTCGTTTTTTTGAAAAGTTAAACAAAATTGACAAACCCTTATCCAGACTAAGAAAAAAAAAGAGAAAACCCAAATAAAATCAGAAATGAAAAGGAGACATTACAACCGACACTGTAGAAATTGAAAGGATTATTAGTGGCTACGGTGAGCAAATAAATACCAGTAAATTGGAAAATCTAGAAGAAATGCAAAAATTCATAGAGCCATACAACCTACTAAAATTGAATCAGGAAGAAATCCAAAACCTGAACAGGCCAATAACACATAACAAGACCAAAATCATAATAAAAAGTCTCTCAGTAAAAAAAATGCTCAGGACCCAATGGCTTCTCTGCTGAATTTTACCAAACATTTAAAAAAGTACTAATACCATTGCTACTCAAATTATTGCAAAAAATAGAGGAGAAGGGAGTACTTCCAAACTCATTCTACAAGACCAATATTTCTGGGATACCAAAAAAAGACAAAATCACACAGAAAAAGGAAACTTCAGGCCAATATCTCTGATAAATATTGATGCAAAAATCCTGAAAAAAATACTAGCCAAACAAATTCAACAATACATTAGAAAGATCACTTATTATGCCCAAGTGGGATTTGTGTATGTTGAACCAACCTTGGTTCAACATACACAAATTAATTAAGTGGATATATCATATTGGCAGAACGAAGGATAAAAACTATATTATTATTTCAATTGATGTTGAAAATAAGTATTTCATAAAATTCAACATCTCTTCATGATCAAAACCCTCAAAAAACTGGGAATAGAAAAAAATATACCTCAACATAATAAAAGCCAATATATGACAGACCCACAGCTAGTTTCACACTGAATGGGGAAAAACATAAACATTCCCTTTAAGATCTGAAACACAAGAAGGATGCCCACTGTCACCACTGTTATATAGTATGATATTGAAAGACCTAGCTAGAGCAATCAGATAAGAGAAAGAAGTAAAGAGCATCCAAATTCAACAGTAAGAAGTCAAATTATCCTTGTTTGCTGATTATATAATCTTCTATTTGGAAAACCCTAAAGACTTCACAAGAAAACTATTATAACTGATAAACAAATTCAGTAATGTTTCAGAATACAAAATCAACATGCAAAAATCAGTAGCATATATTAGTATCAGTATATACCAAGAGTGAACAATGTGAAAAAATTAATAATCTCATTTACAATAGCCACAAATGAAGTTAAATACCCAGGCATTAACCAAAGAAGTAAAAGTCTTCCATAATGAAAACTATAAAACTCTGATGAAGAAAATTGAAGAGAACACCAAGAAATAGAAAAATATTCCATGTTCATGGATTGAAAGAGTCAATATTTTTAAATTGTTCATGCAACTCGCAGCAATCTATAGATTCCATGCAATACCTAAAAGAATACCAATAACACTCTTCACAGAAACAGAAAAAAAAATCCTAAAACTTACATAGAACCAGAG
The DNA here is from genome assembly GCF_000001405.40 of Homo sapiens. Lineage (NCBI taxonomy): Eukaryota > Metazoa > Chordata > Mammalia > Primates > Hominidae > Homo > Homo sapiens. The sequence continues at coordinate 42,841,959 of NC_000014.9, read as the reverse complement.
AAGATCGAGAATAGCCAAAGCTATGCTAAGCAAAAAGAACAAAACTGGAAGAATCACATTACCTGACTTCCAATTATACTAAAAAGCTATAATAATCAAAACAGCAAGGTACTGGCATAAAAACAGACACATAGACCAATGGAACAGAATAGAGAACCCAGAAAAAAATCTACACAACTATAGTGAACTCATTTTTGACAAAAGTGCCAAGAAATACATTGGAGAAAAGGCAGTCTCTTCAATAAATGGTGCTGGGAAAACAGGATATCCACATGCAAAAGAAACTAGACCCCTATCTCTTGCCATATACAAAAATAAAATAAAAATGAATTAAAGAATTAAATATAAAACCTCAAACTATGAAACTCTCACAAGAAAATATTAAGAAAAATTCCCAGGACCAGTCTTTAGAAAGACTTTTTGAGCAATACCCCACAAGCACAGACAACCAAAACCAACGTGGAAAAATGGGATCAAATCAAGTTAAAAAGCTTCTGCACAGCAAAGGATACAATCAACAAAATGAAGAGACAACCCAAAGAATAGGAGAAAACATTTACAAACTGTCTCTCTGACAAGAGATAAATAACCAGATTGTATAAGGAGCACAAACAAGGCTATAGGAAAAATCCTAACAATCTAATCAAAAATGGGCAAAAGATTTGTATAGACATTTCTCAAAAGAAGACATACAAATGGCAAACAGGCATATGAAAGGTGCTCTACATCACTGATCATCAGGGAAATGCAAAACAAAACTACAATGAGATGTCATCTCACCCTAGTTAAAATGGCTTATATCCTAAAGACAGGCAATAATGAATTCTGGCAAGGATGTGGAGAAAAGAGAAACCTTGTACACTGTTGATGGGAATGCAAGTTGGTGCAATCACTATGGAGAACAGTTTGGAGGTTCCTCAACAAACTACAAATAGAACTACTATGTGATCCCACAATCTCACTGTGGGTATATATCTCAAAGAAAGGAAATTAGTATATCAAAGAGGTATCTGCACTTCTATATTTGTTGCAGCACTGTTTACAACATAGCTAAGGTTTGGAAGCAATCTAAGTGCTATCAACAGATGAATGCATAAAGAAATGTGGTACATATACACAATGGAGTACTATTCAGCTATAAAAAGGAATGAGATCCATTCATTTGCAACAACACGTATAGAACTAGAGATCATTATGTTAAATGAAATAAGCCTGGGGCAGAAAGACAAACATCACATATCCTCACTTATTTGTGGGATCTAAAAATTAAAACAAGTGAACCTGTGCACAGACAGAGTAGTAGTAGAATGGAGACCAGAGGCTGGGAAGGATTGCAGGAGTGGTTGGGGTCAATTGGGGCAGAAGTGGAGATGGTTGAGCATACACACACACACAAAAATAGAATGAATAATACCTACTATCTAATAGCACAATAGGGTGACTATAGTCAATATTAACAAGTGTATATTTTAATATAACTTACAGAATGTAATTGGATTATCTATAACCAGAAGGATAAATGCTTGAGGCATGGATACCCCATTCTTCGTGGTGTATACCGCAGTTTTCAACATGAATACCCCATTATTTATTCTTTGTTATCCATTATCTCACATCACATGCCTGTATCAAAATATCTCATGTACCCCATAAATATATATGCTAAGTACCAACAGAAATTAAAAAAAAACTGAAAATAACAAATAGTTCAAAAATGAAATCATAAAAAAAGAAAATACGTTGTAGTGAATTAAAATGAAAATGCAACACTGTAAAACTGAAAAGCTTCAGCAAAGCAGTGCTTTGAAGAAATTTAAGATGAGACATATAAGAAAAGGAACATCTCAAATCAATAAGCTAATATTTTACTTAAGGAATTAGAAAAAAACTTAAAAACATTCAAACAATAATTCTACATCCAGTAAAACTGTATTTTAAAAATGAGACCCAGGCCAAGGCGGGAGGATCACGAGGTCAGGAGATCGAGACCATCCTGGCTAACACGGTGAAACGCCGTCTCTACTAAAAATACAAAAAATTAGCTGGGCATGGTGGCGGCTGCCTGTAGTCCCAGCTACTCGGGAGGCTGAGGCAGGAGAATGGCATGAACCCGGGAGGCAGAACTTGCTGTGAGCCGAGATCGTGCCACTGCACTCCAGCCTGGGCAATAGAGCAAGACTCTGCCTCAAAAAAAAAAAAAAAAATTAGACCCAAACACAAATATTCCAAATTAGTAAAGAATGAGATCATTTTATGGCAACAGACTTATTTTAAGATATATACTAGAGACTGCTTCAAGCTGAAAGGGTGTTGTTACTGGTGGAAGGTATTCCAGTTAACAGTTTTACACATGACCGCCTGGCTTTCTTACCTTTTCTGGTGGCGTGCCCCAGGAAGGTGAAACTCCACCATTTTTTCCCTTAATGCGCAAGCCCGGGCTCACTTACCCAGTACATGAGATTTTAGTGTAAGCCCCCTTTTGCTTCTTCCTGGCACCTGCATTCAATTAATGCTTTAATGTTAACAGCTGTGGACCATTAGGAGATTGTCTCTCCCTAGTGCCAGCTGCCAATTTATCACTTTTAGAGAGGCAAACTGACAATTGCCAAAACATCCATAGGAGTTTTCAGCAACCTTAATTCTTGCCTCCTCAGAAGAAAGAATTTGACTGAGGGGCATAAGGCAGAGAAAGAGATCGAGGTAAATTTGAGAGCAATTTTATTTTAAAAAAGCAGTTTATTTTAAAAAAGCTTCAGAGCAGGAAAGAAAGGAAAGTGCACTTGGAAGAGATCCAAGTGGGGAACTTGAAGAACAAGTGTCCCATTTAACTACGATCCTAGGACTTTATAGGCTGGCCCACCTCCAGCGTCTTGTGCACCCCTTTCTCATGATTCTTCCCTTAGGGTGGGCTGCCCACATGTGCAGTGCCCTCCTTATCCTTGCGAAGTGAGCATATGCTTATCCTTGTGAAGTGAGCATGCACAGTGTGTTTAGGAAGTTTTACACATGACCGCCTGGCTTTCTTACCTTTTCTGGTGGCGTGCCCCAGGAAGGTGAAACTCCACCATTTTTTCCCTTACTGCGCAAGCCCGGGCTCACTTACCCAGTACATGAGATTTTAGTGTAAGCCCCCTTTTGCTTCTTCCTGGCACCTGCATTCAATTAATGCTTTAATGTTAACAGCTGTGGACCATTAGGAGATTGTCTCTCCCTAGTGCCAGCTGCCAATTTATCACTTTTAGAGAGGCAAACTGACAATTGCCAAAACATCACCGACATTCCTAGAGGGTGGAGGAGAGCACCCTCCTGCCCTGCTTGTGCCTGTCTGACTACCTGTAACAATGAAATACCATATTAATATGAATCTGCTAAAGCATATCAGAAAATGTAATAATGTAGGCGATTTTAAGACTATATAAATTGTTTTCTTTTTTAAAACAAAGCATGATTAAGAAGTTATACAATGTATTGTTGTATTCATAACATATACATCTTTTATATAACATGTTATGTATGTGAATATATATATTATTAATCAGAGCAGAAAGGATGAGAAAGAAAATGGAGATATACGGAAACAAGAAAATTGCAACAGAAACTCAAATCCAACATAGTATTTTCTTTTCTATGGATTTGCAGCAATAAAAACCTTCAAAGAAACATGACAACAATGAAATTCAGCATATTTCTTAAACTATTGTGGCCCACAACAGAATGACAAGCTTACTTTGCAATATGGAATTGATTAGATGTAATTTTGTTGCTATAAAGTAAATGTGAATCTTAGGTAGCATTACACAAATGCTTATGAATTGTAAAGTGTAAAAAATATCATGCAAATTAAAATATACCTGAAAAGTACAATAAAAACAGAGCTGCAATTCGTTTTGCTCAAATCATGGAATTTCAGTGTGTTTATGTTGGGGCATGTCTGAATTAAAATCCTAGTCCTGAGACTGATTAAACCTATATTATTGCTCAAGTAGCAAATCTCCCTCTCTTTCCTCATCTATAAAATACAGATAGTAATATTCTCAATATAATAAAGATGTTGTAATAATAAGTTAATATATTTAGAACACAGAATATTTGACATTTGCTAAACACTGAAATAATTTATTTTCATTATTCTTTACAGTTGTATGGATGTTTTTGTTTGAGTTAAACAACTTTGTTTACTCAAATAACTTTAATATAATAAATCGTATTGTGTTAGATTTTATTTAAAAAGAAACTTCCAAGTATGCCTTTCAGCTTTACTTATTTATTTCAATTGGAATAATGAATAATGCAAAGCAAGACAAAGAAGGAAAACAAGATATTTTTAGTTAAAGCCCTGTCCTAAAAACCTGATGAAAGAATTATAAGGGCAGAGTAAGAAATGTAACTGACTTTGGACACAATGAATTAAAGAAAATAAAATTTTATAATACTTTATTAAATTATATTTTTAAGCATTGTTACAAAGAGTTATTTGCTCTGTATGGTAACTATATGGAAAAATACAACATCTATTAGAGAACATTAAGTGGAGACTATGAAAGGAAGATAGAACTTTCTCTAGTGTTAAAAAGAATATTCCATTTGGAAAAAAGAATGGAAAGGAAAAGTGGTCATTTTACAAGTTTAAGGTTTCTTTCTTCTATTAACGGCATCGCTTCCCCTTAGATTCCAAGCTTGAAAGCTGGGGTCTGTCTTTGATTCAGACTATTTCCTCATTCAATTCGTCTTTCATTAGATTAGTTTTTTTTGGCAACCTGTGCAATGTAATTTCCATTTCCATTGCTGAAACTGTACTGGACATTATAATATTATGGTGTGATTAGTAATTAATCAATAATTATTATTTAGTAATTACTTTATACATATGTTAATAATACGTTAGTTAATTTTCTAATTATTTCAAAGACCAGTTTTTTTTTTTTCCAGTTCTGGTTTGGCAAATTGGCACACATGTTTTCTGGCTACACAATAATGTGCTAAAGAATATTTAAGCACTTCTTCAGGAACATATGAATTCACATTCTTATGGTAAAACAAAATATGTGTGGAGTAAAATATAAATAAACATTAGCTGCAATAAAAAAAACACAAGGTGTAAAAGAAATTTTACCACACAGAATGTTGTCACTCACAAGAGAGAATCCTATTACATATAACTTTCATTAAAACAAGTTCAGCAACCATTAGGTAACATCGTACCTCTTTTACTTTAATTTATCCTAAACACACTCTGAAGTTAATCTTTCCAATTGCTATTTTAGTCATGTTACTAATTCACTAAATGACGTTTGATGACTTCCTATTGCTACCAAATAACATATTTATTCATTAAGTAGACATTAAAGTACATTGCTGCATCTTCCATTTCTGTAGTAACCTCCTTTTCTTAAACAGATCATCAGCATTTTATATAAAATATTTATCCATTCTAACTTATTGTTATTGTCAGGATGTTTAAGGCTTATGTTTGTAATACAGTTTTGTTTGAGGCAAACAGCATCTTTATCATATCTCAATTTTATAGCATGACATTCAACTCTTTTCTTTTAAAAAAAATTACTCTTCATATATCCAGACTTCCATAGATTCCAGAAGCCACATAAATTTAGACAAAGGTTTTCTTTGACTAAAAATAGCTTGATGAGCATTTGGTTAGAAGTCCTGAGTTCAAAATTCTAGTTGGTAATTTATTTTTAATAGGCTTTATTTTTTAGTGCAGTTTTAGGTTCAGAGCAAATTTGAATGGAAGTTACAGAGATTTCCCACATAAAACCTGCTCCCACCTGTTTATAGCCTCCCCCATTATCAACATTCCCCATCAGAGTGATAAATTTGTTACAATTAATGAAGCTGCATTTATGCATAATTATTACCCAGAGTCCATGGTTTACACTAGAGTTCTTTCATGGTGATATACATTTAATGGGTTTGAGCAAAATATATTGGCATGAATTCACTGTTCTAGTATCATATACAGTAGTTTCACTGCTCTAATAATTTTCTGTGCTCCACCTGCTTATCCTTCTCTCCCACTTCAATGAACTTTATGTATATTTTTAAAAATATTGACAATTTCATATTCAATTAAAATTAAAATTAAACATATTCAAATGTCACTTTATGGAATATTTTCTGATTACTGTGTTAGATTTTTTGTTCTTTTATACCTGTATAATTTAAAAATTACCATTATTTAGCGCCTTTTTTGTGAAACTTATGTTTTATGTGATTGTTAATGGTTTAAAAATAAAATAGACTCAGTTCCTCAGGTAATAGATCTACCTTACTCCAAAAAGATTACTTCATACTATGTAACCAGAGCAGACAGACAGTCTACCTGTCATTTTGTGTATTTATCATATCCACAATTTAAACATTTTTTCTTGTTAAAATTTTTCTTGCCAAATAAATATACCTAAATTATTCTTCAGATGCAGATCTATTACTCATTGTGGACACGAATAGCACCCATGTACAGAAATAATAAGCCCATTCTTATTTTCTTGTAGTAACTGTTACTTTATATCTTATATATTGCACCTTAATGTACTTATTAGTACACATACTCTGTTGTTTATCATGTAAAATATCTTGAGTGTAAGTTTCGGAGAACTGAATGAAATGTGATTCAATTACTTTCTCTGTCTTCTAGTAAAATAGTTGTCATATCTTTGCTTTTGCTAAAGACATGCAAATGCCTTTTGACTTAAAGTAATTAACTTTTCTAGTTATATATATTCAATAAAGAATTTTTAGTCTTAGACCACATCTCTTTTTATTGGTGTCACTGACAAGCTCTAACCTTAAACAGTTGTATTGATTAGGGGCCTAGAACAAGAAACACTCCTGTATTTGCTGTCCTTTATTTTCATTAGAAACTCCACCTCTGTCTACTCTTTTTAATTTACTTCTTGATTATCAAAATTAACCCCATCATCTTGTTGTGTATTATGCTAAGATGGAAAATGCCCAGAAAAAACTACATATGTTGGCATGAGTAAATTCCATCCTTCCTAAGATTTACTTTTCCTTGCCCACGTACCCTAGAACTGAAAGTATAATAAAAAAAAAAAAGGATTTATTGAACCTATATTGTGGGTAGCAGTCAGGTAACATCTCTTCCCAGCTGTCAGTTAATCTGTTCTGGAAAGAATCTTAAGTAGAAAAAATGCTGTTCTATTTCCTAGATTCCAAGATGTACCTGTTAACACGTTTGAGGACAGGAAATGTCTTATAATCGATGACATTTACAAGCACTCCCTAACAGGTGGCTAGAATCAATGTCTAGCTAGGCAGCTTCACTTTGGTCACGGATATTCATATAATTGCATTTTCATTTGACTTATGTATAGCTATTTGGATTCTACTATTAAATATATTAACTTTTCATAACTATTTAAATTGTCTTCAAAGAAATTAACATATCAAATTATGAGAAAACACCAGATACATTCAGATTAGTATATATTCTACTGGATACATAGTCAGTGCTCCTCAAGACTGCTAATGTCATGAAAACCAAAGTAAGATGAAGACAGTGCCTGAGACAAGAGGAGAATTATTTATTTGAAAAACAAATAATATGTAGTAACTAACTGATCCTGGAACAAAAGATGATATATTGGAAAATCTGGTGAAATCTAAACCAAGTCTGAATTTTGACTATTGGTAATGCAATGTAACAGTGCTTTCTTAGTTTCAACAAATATGAAAATGATAATGTAAAAAGATAACAACGGAGAAAACTCGATGTGAGATATATGGAGAACTCTACTGTTTTTGCAATGGTTCTGTAACTGTAATTCAAAACTTTTAAAAGTTTATTTAAAAATTAAGCTGTAAATGATAATTGAGTGGAAAGTTTTTGTGTGCAGAAAGGCACAATTATAGAGAAATGGAGTGTTAATTTGATGCTATGAAGCAGAGATTCATCACTGAAAGAATGATGGCAATTCCCTATTTTGTTATAAAGCAAAAATTAAGTGATTTGAAGAGAACTAACAATGGCCAGTGGATAGACAGAGATGTGTCATATGGTTCAACTCTGTGTCCTCATCCAATCTCATCTTAAATTGTACTCCCATAATTCCCATATGTTGTGGGAGGGACCCTGGTGGAAGATAATTGAATCATGGGGCAGTTTCCTCTATACTGTTCTCATGGTAGTAGATAAGTCTCACGAGATCTGATGGCTTTATCAGGGGTTTCCGCTTTTGTAGCTTCCTCATTCTCTCTTTGCCTGCTGCCGTCCATGTAAGACGGGACATGCTGTTCCTTGCCTTGCACCATGATTATGAAGCTTACCCAGCCACGCAGAACTGTCCATCCAATGAAACCTCTTTCTTTTGTAAATTGTCTAGTCTCAGGCATGTCTTTATCAGCATCATGAAAACGGACTAATACAATGTGTTTTGCTCATGTGCTGATAAAACACCTGTTTTACAAAGTCATACAACAGCAGGTTGAAGAAATTGACCAGTCTCATGTTAAAGCCCAAGTAAGAGCTGGTATAACCAACACGTGCATTGCACAGAATACTTGAATACCATTTTGTCTGAAATTTGTTGCTAAATTTTTGAGAAGTTATAACATGTATTCAATTAAAGAAAAAGAGAAACTAGACATTTTGTGAAATATAACAGAGAATATCAACATTTTTAGAATGACTATCAAATTTTAAAGTTTAAGTAATATCCTGAGTCATTAAAACTCCTGGAATAAAAAAAAATGTGAAAAACATGAATGTCAACAATTCCAAGTCAAAAAAATAACTCAGATGTGTAAAATTCCAAATTTGTAGACATTTTAGGATTTTGTAAAATAAAATGTTTGAATCTCATTTTAATTATATGTATTTGCATAAATTATATATGACTACACGTAAGTCTAAATGAGTAAAAATGAACTCTTGCAATCTCTATAAAATAAAAATCCTAACTAATAAGAAGGCATTCTGCATTAGTTTAATCATCACTGTGTTAACTTTCCTTTTGGTACATGATACATCATATCTTACAATTTCTGGCATAGACAAAGCAAAGAAGATGATAGGTAGATTATACATACATACACACAAACATACATACATACATATGGACAGGTGTCCCCAATCCCTGGGCCATGGAAAATTAGCGGTCTGTGGCCTGTTAGGAACCTGGCCACAAAGCAACAAGTGAGACGTGGGTGAGCAAATGAAACTTCATCTGTATTTACAGCCACTCCCCATCGCCCACATTACTGTCTGAGCTCCACCTCCTGTCCAGTTAGCAGTGGCATTAGATTCCCATAGGAGCACAAACCTTATTGTGAACTGTGAATATGAGGGATCTATTAAGTTCTCCTTATGAGAATCTAATGCCTGATTGTCACTGACTTCCATCACTCCCAGATTCAGCTGTCTAGTTGCAGGAAAGCAAGCTCAGGGCTCCCACTGATTCCACATTATGGTGAATTGTATAATTATTTCATCATATATCACAATATGATGATAATAGAAATTAAGTGCACAATAAATGTAATGCACTTGAATCATCCTGAAACCATCCACTCCTGCTCAGTCTGTGGAAAAATTGTCTTCCACAAAACCAGTCCCTGGTACCAAAAAGGTTGGGGACTGCTGCATAGATATACATAACTAGCTAGGTAGCTAGATAGACAAACACACTTATATATACACATAGATTTATATACACATACATTTATAATATGAATGTATTTGTGTACGTGTATATATGTGTGTATATATATGAATGTATGTATGTGTATATAATATATTTTGCTTTTTTGAAAGATTACTATTTATTGATTTTTTGTTCTTTGATGAGCAAATTCTATTTATTTGTTTGTAGTATACATAAATATAAAATTTGGTATACAGTGATATTACTACAATCGCCAAAATATTATCATGATTTTTACAGGTAAAATGTGTCATAAAAATAACTTTTTTTGGTAATCTTTGTATATTTTGTCTTTGTATTGTTTTACTGCAGTAATTTGGAGATGAAATAAAATGCTGGACAGAAATGGTTTTCAAACACATAGCTAAAACATTTAATTTTTTACCAATAACTAATATTTTAATAATCAACAAATGTTGATTTTGATACAATATATTTCTGCATCTACTGATAACTCTGTAAAATCTCTAATTAGTTGTTAGTATTATGAATTAAATTAATTGATCTACTGTTAACGTGCATACCTCAGAATGCACAGCTCAATCTTATTAGGCATACTATTCTATTTATACTACTGTATAAATTACTGTATTAGTTCATTAATACCTTTGGATTTATATTCCAGGATAAGATTAATATGCAATTTTCTTGTCTCATTATCTTCTTATTGGGTTTTACTAGCTCCTTATTTGGTTATGTCATTTTATGAAAACATAAAGTCTAATTTGTGTAATGTTAAATTAGGCCTATAATTTACAGAAGGTGATCTCTTTGCCTCTAATAACATGTTTTACTTTAAGCAGCCTCGACTTTCTTCTAGCTAATAATTGCATGGTATATTTTTTAACCCGTTTTACTTTTAAAAGAAAGTATTGCACCTCATATAGGTCATTTATAAAAATCTTATTATTAAGTTAAGTTATACAATCCAAAAATATTTTATTTTTATCTGAAACACTTATTCTATTTAAATTTATTGAAGTTACTCTTTATCAAGTCATATTTATCATTTATTTGAGCACTTTCTAAATATGCTGCCTATTTTTTTTGGCTTGCCTTTGTTTTATTTATTTATTTATTTTTAAATTATACTTTAAGTTCTAGGGTACATGTGCACAACGTGCAGGTTTGTTACATATGTATACATGTGCCATGTTGGTGTGCTGCACCCATTAACTCGTCATTAACATTAGGTATATCTCCTAATGCTATCCCTCCCCCCTCCCCCGACCCCACAACAGGCCCCAGTGTGTGATGGTCCCCTTCCTGTGTCCAAGTGTTCTCATTGTTCAATCCCCACCTGTGAGTGAGAACATGTGGTGTTTGGTTTTTTGTCCTTGCGATAGTTTGCTGCGAATGATGGTTTCCAGCTTCATCCATGTCCCTACAAAGGACATGAACTCATCATTTTTTATGGCTGCATAGTATTCCATGGTGTATATGTGCCACATTTTCTTAATCCAGTCTATCATTGTTGGACATTTAGGTTGGTTCCAAGTGTTTACTATTGTGAATAGTGCCGCAATAAACATATGTGTGCATGTGTCTTTATAGCAGCATGATTTATAGTCCTTCTGGTATATACCCAGTAATGGGATTGCTGGGTCAAATGGTATTTCTCGTTCTAGATCCTTGAGGAATCGCCACACTGTCTTCCACAATGGTTGAACTAGTTTACAGTCCCATCAACAGTGTAAAAGTGTTCCTATTTCTCCACATCCTCTCCAGCACCTGTTGTTTCCTGACTTTTTAATGATCACCATTCTAACTGGTGTGAGATGGTATCTCATTGTGGTTTTGATTTGCATTTCTCTGATGGCCAGTGATGATGAGCATTTTATCATGTGTCTTGGCTACATAAATGTCTTCTTTTGAGAAGTGTCTGTTCATATCGTTCCCCCACTTTTTGATGGGGTTGTTTGTTTTTTTCCTGTAATTTGTTGAGTTCTTTGTAGATTCTGGATATCAGCCCTTTGTCAGATGAGTAGATTGCAAAAATTTTCTCCCATTCTGTAGGTTGCCTGTTCACTCTGATCGTAGTTTCTTTTGCTGTGCAGAAGCTCTTTAGCTTAATTAGATCCCATTTGTCAATTTTGGCTTTTGTTGCCATTGCCTTTGGTGTTTTAGACATGAAGTCCTTGCCCATGCCTATGTCCCGAATGGTATTACCTAGGTTTTCTTCCAGAGCTTTTATGGTTTTAGGTCTAACATTTAAGTCTTTAATCCATTTTTTGTTCCTTTTCTCTTTTATTTTTTACCTTCTTTTAGAAGGATGGAATACTCATTTTTATCATCACTCTGTATATAAACGTATAAACATTATAATCTCTATGTCTGTTCTTTTACTCACTATTCATTTGTGGTATCCAATAGGCTGTTCAAAGAAGGACCAGGGGCATTTAAGATGATTCGTTCTGTCAGCCTGGCCTCTGGAGTGGAGCATGTAAGTTAGACCACCCAGTTCAACTTCAATGAGTATATTTTATGTAAGGCAGATTTTGTTTATTATAAACTACTAAGATTTTGCTTTTTGTTGTTACTGCAATATAATTTAATATATTTTGTCTAATGCACAAATTTTATTATCATACAAAAGTGAAGACCTAGGAAGTGTGTTCTGTATAGAAATTGTTATAACAGGAAATATGATGACACTATTTACACAGTGGCAAATTATTTGACAAACATTTGTCTTTGGGAGCTTTGAAAGCACATTAGGTACGTAATATATTGTAGCTCTAGAGGAAGAGTTTGGGAATGGAAATCTCATTCTGTGACATGATCTCTGTGGCCACAGTTGGCAAAATAATATAAGGTAATGCAAGAAATAAATGTGTTCAGGAAATAATTGGCTAGTTCAAAAAAAAAAATAAATGAGGACTAAAAATAGCCCACAATTTTGTCAACTTGTGGGTTTGAAAATGCCATTGATTCTAATCCCCAAATAGTCAAAGTCAAATTTCAGAAATGCCTTCAGCAATAAATACCAACTAAATTCAGTGTCATACCATGGACCAAATTAAGTATACTATGGTCACACCCATTAGTTATAATAATCATTAAATCTATAAAAATTTCTCAGAATTAACGTCCAATTATTTCTGTGTCATGAAATAAACTACTTCACTTAGAACAAAGGACTTAGTGGAAAGGATTAATCATTAGGCTTTGCTATGAAAGCCTAATAAACTTAACCATAATTAATTCTGGAGACAATCATGGAGAAACAATGACAGAAATGTAAGAAGTATGGTTGACATAGGGCTGTCAGAGTGAAAAGAATAAAATTGTTAGAAAAAAAATAGGCTCTTACTTTGGCAAAAGTTACTTAGATATGACACCAAAGGCACAGGTAAAAAAGGTAATAAATATGAGCTGTAAAAAGTAAAAGTTATGCATTTCAAAAAACAGCATTAAGCACAAATAAAGACAATTCACAGATGAAGAGAAAACAGTTTGAAATAATATATCTAATAAAGGACTTACGTCCAGCTTGTATGAAGACCACTAACAACTAAGTAATGAAAAGACAACTCAATTTAAAAATTGGAAAAGGAGAAAGGAGGTGGAGCAAGATGGCCAAATAAAAGCCTCCAACAATCATCTCCCACACAGGAACACCAAATTGAGCAACTATCCACACAAAAACACTCTCATAAAAATAAAAAATTAGGTAGGTGATCACAGTACCTGGTTTTAACATCATATTAAGTAAAGAGATGCAGAAGAGGGTAGAAAGACTGTCTTGAATCACCTATGCAACTCCTCCCCAATATCCCAGCAGCAGCCACATGAACTAGAGAGAAAATCTGTGCCATTGAAAGAGGGAGACCACAGTGATTGTGGAATTTTGCACTGGAAGTCAGTGCTCCCTTCTCACAGTGAAAAGCAACAGCGGGCAGAACTAAGCCGGTGCCCACAGAGGGAGCATTTAGGCCAATCCTAGGCAAAGACAAATCTTATATTCCAGTGGTTGAAACCTGAGTTCCAGCAAGCCTAGCCACCAAGGGCTAAAGGGCTCTTGGATTCCAAAGAAACCTGAAAGACATACTAGGCCAAAAGGACTGGAATTCCTGGGCACATACTGGTCTTGTGCTGGGCTCAGAGGTAGTTGATTTGGGTTGCCCATGACCTAGTGAGACACCAGCTGGGATGACCAAGGGAGTGCTTGCATCACTCCTCCCCCAACCCCAGGCAGTGAAGCTTGCAGCTCCAAGAGAGACTCTTACCTTCCACTTGAGGAGAAGAGAGGGAAGAGTAAAGAGGACTTATTTTGCAACTTTTGGATATCAGCTCAGCCACAGTAAAATAGAGAACCAGGCAGAGTTGTGAATCCCCTATTCTGGGTTCTCAGATGACCAAAAACGGATACTGAAAATAGCCCCCTATGTCTGGCCATATATAAAAACAAATAAAAAATGGATTCAAGGCTTAAACTTAATATCTCAAATTGTGAAAAAATTAGACACACCCTGGGCCAGAAGGGAACCTGCTGCCTTGAAGGGAAGGACCCAGTCTTGGCAGGATTCATCACCCGCTGACTAAATAGCCCCCGGACCCTGAATAATCAGCAGTGGTAGCCAGGCAGTACTTACCACAGGCCTTGGGTGAGACCCAGGGCTTTGATAGCTTCACTTGTGACCCATCACATGTCCAACTGTTGGCTATGGGGAGGAACTTCTGCTTGGGGAAGGGAGAGAAAAGACTAAAGGAAACTTTTTCTTGCAGGTTGGGTACTCACTCAGCCACGGTGGGGTGGAGAACCAAGAAGACTCCTAGGGTTCCTGATTCCAGGTCTTGCCTCTTAGATGGCATTTCTGAATCTGCCCTGGGGCAGAAGAGAGCCCATTGCCCTGAGAGGAGAGACCCAGGCCTGGAAGCATTCACCACACACTGACTGAAGAGTCCTTGAGCCTTGAGTGAGCATCAGCAGTGAGGAGGAAGTATTTGTCATGAATCTGGGGTGGTAATGGCCATGGGGAGAGACTCCTCTGCTTGAGGAAATAGGAGGTAAAAGTGGGAATGACTAGGCCTTGCAGCTTGGGTGCCAGCTCAGCCACAGTAGAATACAGTATTAGGTAGATTCTCAAGGTTCCCAAATCTAGGTCTTGCTCCCAGAATGCATCTCTGAACATATCCGAGATTAGGAGGAACTAGCTGACCTGAAAGGAATGATAGAAGCCAGGCTGGATTGACCACCTGCTGATTGTAGAGTTCTTGTGCCTTAGTGAACATAGGTGGTAGTTAGGCAGTGTTTACTATAGGCCTTGGGCAAGACCTAGTGCTGTTTTCACCATGAGTCTGATGCAGCACAGTCCTAGTGGTGGCCACAGGTGTGCTTATGTCACTTCTCCCCAAACACCATATGGCTCAGCAAAAAGAGACTCAATTTTCTTGGAAGAAAGTAAGGGAACAGAACAAGGGTTTCTCCCTCATAATTCAGGAAATTCTTCTGGACCTTGCCCAAGACCACCGAGGTGGTACTTCTTTGAGGCTGCAAAAGTAACAGCATTACTGGGCTTAGACTGCCCACTAATGAAAACATGATTGCAGTGACCAAAACCTTGGATTACAACACTCAAGACCCTTTGAATACTTGGAAAGAATTCTCAAGAAGATGGGTACAAAAAACCCCAGACTGTGAAGACAACAGTAAATATCTAACTCTTTAATGTCCACATACAAACAACCATTCAAAAGCATCTAGACCGTGCACAGTGGCTTATGCCTGTAATCCCAGCACTTTGGGAGGCCGAGGCAGGCAGATCATGAGGTTGGGAGATTGAGACCATCCTGACCAACATGGTGAAACCCTGTCTCTACTAAAAATACAAAAATTAGCTGGGTGTGGTGGTGTGTGCCTGTAATCCCAGCTACTCGAGAGGCTGAGACAGAAGAATCACTTGAACCTGGGAGGCAGAGGTTGCAGTAAGCATACCACTGCACTCAAGCCTGGCAACAGGGTGAGACTCTGTCTAAAAAAAAAAAACAAAAAAAAAGCATCAAGACCATTCAGGACAACGATCTTTCACTCATCATGACCAAATCCTGTTTATCCCCAAGAATCAAGAATTATTCAATATATGCAAATCAATCAAAGTGATACATCATATCAACAGAATAAAAAACAAAAAACATATGATCCTTTCAACTGATACTGAAAGAGTATTTTATAAAATTCAACATCCATTCATGATAAATGCCCTCAAAAATCTGGGTATGGAAGGAATATACTTCAACATAATAAAAGCCAGATACAACAGACCCACAGCTAGTATCATATTGATTGGGAAATAACTGAAAGCCTTTCCTCTAAGATCTGAAACAAGACAAGGGTTTTCCCTTTCACCACTGTTATTCAACATAGTACTAGAAGTCACAGCTAGAGCAATAAGACAAGAGAAGGAAATAAAAGGCATTCAAATCGAAAAGGAAGAAGCCGTATTGTCCTTTTTGCACATCATATGAGCTTATATTTGGAATAAAACCTAAAGATTTCACCAAAAAAATTATTAGAACTGATTAACAAATTCAGCAAAGTGGCAGGATACAAAATCAACATACAAAAATCAGTAGCATTTCTGTATGCCAACAGTGAATAATTTGAAAAAAGAAATTAAGAAAGTAATCTCATTTACAATAGTGAAAAAATAAAATATTTGAAATTGAAGCAAAAAATTAAAAGATATCCACAATGAAAAATATAAAACACTGATGCAAGAAAATGAGGAGAACCATGAAAAATTGAAAGTTATTTTATATTCATGTATTGGAATAATCAATATTGTAAAAATGTTTGTATTAGTTTGTTTTCATGCTGCTGATAAAGACATACTTGAGGCTGGGCAATTTACAAAAGAAAGAGCTTTATTAGACTTACAGCTTCACATGGCTGCAGAGGCCTTGCAATCATGGTGGGAGTTGAAAGTTACGTCTCACATAGTAGCAGACAAGGAAAGAGAGCTTCTGCAGGAAAACTCCCCTTTTTAAAACCATCAGATCTCATTAGACTTGTTCACTTTCATGAGAAAAGCACAGGAAAGACCTGCCCCCATGATTCGATTACCTCCCATTGGGTCCCTTTCACAACATGTGGAGATTTAAGATGATATTTGAATATGGACACAGCCAAACCACATCATTCTGCACCTGGCCTCTCCCAAGCCTCATGTCCTTGCATTTTGAAACAAATCATGCTGTCCTAACAGTCTGCCAAAGTCTCAACTCATTTCAGCATTAACTCAAAATTCACAGTCAAAAGTCTCATCTGAGACAAGGCAGGTCCCTTTCATCTATGAGCCTGTAAAATCAAAAGAAAGTTAGTTACTTCCCAGATACAATGGTGGTACAGGCATTGGGTAAATACAGCTGTTCCAAATGGGAGGAATTGGCTGATACAAAGGAACTACAGTTCCCATGCAAATCCAAAATCCAGCAGAGCAGTCAAATCTTAAAGCTCCAAAATGAACCCTTTTGACTTCAAGTCTCACATCGAGGTCATGCTAATGCAAGAGGTGGGTTTACATGGTATTGGGCAGCTCTGCCTCTGTGGTTTTGCAGGGTACAGCCTCCCTCCCAGCTGCTTTTATGGGCTGGCATTGAGTGTCTGTGGCTTTTTCAGGTGCATGGTACAAGCTGTAGGTGGATCTACCATTCTGGGGTCTGGAGGATGGTGGCCCTCTTCTCACAGCTCCACTAGGTGGTCCCCCAGTAGGGACTCTGTGTGGGGGTTCCCACCCCACATTACCCTTCTGCACTGGCCTAGCAGAAGTTCTTCATGAGGACCTCCTCCCCCCTGCAGCTAACTTCTGCCTGGGCATCCAGGCATTTCCATACATTCTCTGAAATCTACGTGGAGGTTCCCAAACCCTCATTCTTGACTTCTCTGCACTCACAGGCTCAACACCATGTGGAAGCTGCCAAGGCTTGGAGCTTGCACTCTCTGAAGCCATGGCCTGAGCTTTATGATGGCCCCTTTCAGACATGGCTGGAGTGGCTGAGATTCAGGGCACCAAGTCCCTAGGCTACACACAGCACAGGGACCCTGGGCCCAGCACACACAACCATTTTTTCTTCCTAGGCCTCCAGGCCTATGATTGGAGGGGCTGCCATGAAAACCTCTGACATGCTCTGGAGACATTTTTCCCATTGTTTGGGGGATTAACATTTGGTTCCTCATTACTTATGCAAATTACTGCAGCCAGCTTGAATTTCTTCTCAGAACACAGGATTTTCTTTTCCATTACATTGTAAGGCTGCAAAGCTTCCAAACTTTTATGCTCTACTTCCCTTATAAAACTGAATGCCTTTAACAGCACCCAAGTCCCCGCTTGAATGCTTTGCTGCTTAAAAATTTTTTCTGCCAAATACCCTAAATCATCTCCCTCAAGTTCAAAGTTCCACAGATTTCTAGGGTAGGGCAAAATACTGTCAGTCTCTTTGCTAAAACATAACAGGAGTCAACTTTACTCTAGCTCCAGACAAGTTCCTCATCTCCATCTGAGTCCACCTCAGCCTGGACTATTGTTCTTATCACTATCAATATTTTTGTCAAAGCTATTCAACAAGTCTCTAGGAAGTTCCAAACATTCCCACACTTTTCTGTCTTCTTTTGAGCCCACTAAACTGTTCCAACTTCTGCCTGCTACCCAGTTCCAAAGTCACTTTCACATTTTTGGGTATCTTTTCAGCAGTGCCCCACTCTACTGGTACCAATTTACTCTATTAGTCTGTTTTCACACTGTTGATAAAGACATAACTGAGAAAGGAGAATTTACCAAAAAAAAAAAAAAAAAAAAAAGAGGTTTATTGGACTTACAGTTTCACATGGCTGGGGAGACCTCACGATCATGGTGGAAGGTGAAAGGCACATCTCACATGGCAGCAGACAAGAGAAGACAGCTCGTGCAGGGAAACTCCCCTTTTTAAAACCATCAGATCTCATGAGACTCATTCACTATAACAAGAACATCACAGGAACAACCTGCCTTCATGATTCAACTACCTACCACTGAGTCCCTCCCACAACACATGGAAATTTAAGATGAGATTTGGGTGGGGACATAGCCAAACCATATCAATGTCCATACTACCCAAAGCAATTGACAGATTCAATGAAAGCCTTATAAAAACACTAATGATATTTTTCACAGATAAAAAAATACTTAAAATTTTTATGGAACCACAAAAGACTGAGAATAACCAAAGCTCTCCTAAAAAAAGAATCAAACTGGAGGAATTACATTACCTAATTTCAAATTATAATACAGAGCTATAGCATGGTATTTCATAAAAGCAGACCCATCAACCAATGGAAAAGAATAGATAACCCAAAAATAAACCCATATGTACGCAAGTGGCAATCACCAAAAAGTAAAAACAACATAATTACCCATCAGTTAGTGAGCTGATAACACATGTGGAATATACATACAATGGAATATTATTTGGTGATAAAAAATTAATTACGGACAGATGCTACAATATGAATGAACCTCAAAAATATTATGTTAAATAAATGTGCACAAACACAAAATAACTCATTTTATGATTCCATTTATATGAAATGTTAAGGAAAGGAAATTAAAAGAGACAATTTGATTAGTGGTTGCCTAGTGCTGTGGGTAAAAATGGGAAATGGATGCAAATAGGTAAGAAATTTCTCTCTGGGGTAATAGACATATTGCAGTAACGGTTGTAAAACTGTATTAAAATATTAAAAAGAATTGAAATGAACAATTAGTACCAGTGAAATTTATTACACATAAAATTCATGACCAGGCGTGGTGGCTTGAGCCTGTACTCCCAGCACTTTGGGAGGCCAACGCGGGTGGATCACTTGAGCTCAGGAATTCGAGACCAGCCTGGCCAACATGGTGAAACCCCGTCTCTAGTAAAAATACAAAAATTAGCCAGGCATGGTGGTGGGTGCCTGTAATCCCAGCTACTCAGAAGGCTGAGACAGGAGAAACACTTGAACCCGGGAGGCAGAGGTTTCAGTGAGCTGAGATCATGCCACTGCACTCCAGCCTGGGGAATAGAGTGAGACTCCATCTCAAAAAAATTTAAAAAATTACTCAGATAAAACTATTAATTCAATGAAAGAAATATACTCGATAGTATCTCTGTGGTTATTACTACATATGCCTGACTGGAATCAAATATATACAAAGCTGACTAAATTTTTTAGATTTATATTGGCAAAAAATAAGCTTGGAATATACACTACCATGATTTTCTGTGGCTTAAAACTGTTGGGAAGCAATTATCCATAGGTTTCTTGTGTTGTTGTGTCTTGTGAAGTGGGGCACAGACTGCCCTTTGTTTCAGAGTATCTTTTCAAGAATGTTCGTATAGCAAATGACTTTGAAAGACATAGTGGCTCCTTCTGTATCTACAGGAAGTTTTGCTTATAGTCTTGAAAGATTTAGGACATCTCTCCAGAACAAAAGGAGGCATGTTTACTTCCCATTATAAGAGATAAGGTATACTAAACTGAGGGGTCTTTTTCTGAACCACACTCACTGCACACAAAGTACCATCTTGCCTTTCATGTCACCATGTGAGAATTAGGGATCAGTGTACTGGCAAACACACACAAAATCCTGAAATTATGGCTACTACTACTGCTGTGAAAATAAACTGTCTTTTATCTCTGATCCAGGAGTTTTGTGTCTTCTACCAGCATCCACGATGTTAGCTTTCATGTAGAATAAAATGACACTTCTCATTTCTCAAAAAAATATTGCTTAATTACTATACACGAATGGGTTGAGAAAACTCCTCACTCTTCAGTAGAATATGTTCTTCAGTAGAATATGTTCTTCAGTAGAATATGTCCTCACTCTTCAGTAGAATATGTCCTCACTCTTCAGTAGAATATGTTCTCCAATTTGTATTTCAGGTGCGGTCAAATATTGTAGTGATAAAGGGGAAATATATGTAATGTGAACATACTGAATACTTTGTGAACAGAAGAATAAGACAGGCTACTCATTATGTTCATTCAGAGCATGGTTTGTCATTTTCTTTTTCCCTCAGCATGACAATATGCAATATTTCCGTTGGAACATAGCTTCCAGGTGATTGATGATGATCATGCAGTGTAAGAAAAAAAACTTTTCATTATAAGCCACTAAAATGTATAGCTGTGTGTAAGTTCAGTATAAGCTAGATTATCTTGAATGATGCATGTTAAATTTACCAATCTTCACCTAATCTAGTCTCAATTAATACCTTTATTCATCACGGAAGCAATGAAACACATATAGAACACTTTAATCCATATATATATATATATATATATATATCTTGCTATTGTTTTCAAGTAATTATGGAAAATCACAGTTACTGGTTTAAAGTAAGCATTAATTTAGATTTAACATTCTTTTCCCTTTTTTCTCTTTATTCCTTTTTTCATCTGTGGCATTTTACTTAGATGATTTCTAGTCTATGTGAAATTTTAAAGAGAACAGTCTTTAGAATTTCATTTACTGTGGTTCATCTGTTCCAAATTTTTCAGTTTTCTGCTTAAATTATGTTTAATTTCTCGTCATTCTATAAGGGCATTTTATGTAAGTGTAGATATTATGCTGTCATTTTTCCCTTTTAGTCCACAGAAGATATCATTTCTAGTGTTTGTACAGAAGTCAGCTCTCAGTTTAACTGTTGTCACAATGCAATCTGTCTTTCTTGTCTTTCTCACCCTTATTTGTGTATAAGATATTCTTTTGTGTCTATATTTAAATTTATTTTCTTATTCATTTTTCTTGGCTTTTCTGAGCTTCTTACTCTGCATCTTAAAAATCTTTCATCATATCTATAAAATTATATTTTATATTCTATGTACTGTACATTCTGTGCTGTATTTCTCATCTTTTAGTATCTTATTACAATAAATTATAAAATTTCTTTTGATACTATTTTTTATTTAGCTATATACAATCTGCTGCTATATTGATTTCAATTACTGTATTTTTTAGTCTAGAGTACCTAGTTGGTTAATTTTCTAATATGTTGTGCTAATTTTTATCAATTTTTAGTTTCTCCTAAAATATTCATGCTTAGGTTTTTTCTTCTTGACATGTTGTGCATAGTTACTTTTTATACTGGAACAATTTTATTTTTAGTATCTTGGCTTCCCATTAGTTGTTTTAAATGTTTGTTGTTTTCACTTATTCTTGCTTATTTTACCTAATCTTACATGTGTCAGGTTACCTATGAATTTAATCTGGTCATTTGCTTAAAATATATTAATACTTGTCATGATTTGACGACTAAGATGAATTTACTCTTATTTGCATTTTTATGGCACCTCAAGTCAGCCACAATTTAAGATGCCTTAATGCAGGTGTAGAAGCACTCAGATTATTCATTGGAGGCTGGGCGCAGTGGCTCACTCCTGTATTCCCAGCACTTTGGAAGTCCAAGGTGGGTGGATCATGAGGTCAAGAGATTGAGACCTTCCTGGCCAACATGGTGAAACCCCATCTCTACTAAAAATACAAAAATCAGCTGGGCATGGTGGCACGAGCCTGTAGTCCCAGCTACTCAGGAGGCTGAGGCAGGAGAATTGCTTGAACCCGGGAGGCAGAGGTTGCAGTGAGCCAAGATCACACCACTAGACTTCAGCCTGGGTGACAGAGCGAGACTCCACCAAAAAAAAAAAAAGAATTTTTCATTGGAGTGCCATAGTCTGGGAATGAGCTGGTTAATGAATTCTTTAAGGTCCCATTTCCAAGTTGGGTGATGGAATTATTAGAGTCTTAAATCTTGACAGTCTCTGGATATGTCATTGTTCCTGTGGCCCTTAAAGGTCTCGAAATTATAGCTCATTCTCTCAGCTGTCTTATTTATACCATCAAACTGTTTTTGAAGCACATGTGCTTCTATGCTGGGCTCATATATTCAAGTTTCTGCAGTCTCCTGTGCCATCGCACAATAATTCCTCATCATCTTTGATATCACATTTTAAATCCAATTTTAAAACCTATTTCACCAGTTTTTAAAATTGTCTTCAGAAGCAGGGTTAGTATCAATTATTTAGTTTGTCAACTGTAAACTGAATTTGAGCCTTTTTTTTAGTTCAGTTGGTCAAAATAGAAACTCTCAAGGACAAGAAAAATGACATATTTCTATTTATTTATGTGTTTAGTAACTTTTTTTGAGATAAGAAAGAAGCCAGGCCAGCCAAGATGGCTCACACCTGTAATCCCAGTACTTTGGGAGGCCGAGGCGGGCAGATCATCTGAGGTCAGGAGTTCGAGACCAGCCTGGCTAACATGGTGAAACCCCATCTCTACTAAAATACAAAAATTAACCGGGCATGGTGGCATGCACCTGTAATCCCAGCTACTCAGGAGGCTGAGGCAGGAGAGTTGCTTGAACCTGGGAGACGGGAGTGGCGGTGAGCCGAGTTTGTGCCACTGCACTCCAGCCTGGGTGACACAGCGAGATTCCATCTCCAAAAAAAAAGAAAAGAAAAAAGAAGCCAAAGATTGCATGTAGATAGCTGCTTACATATCTATCAGGAAAAGGAAAAAAAAGAAAAGAAAAATATTTAATTACAGGTGGAATTTAGTAGCCACTGTAAATGATTGTTTCGTCTTGATGTTAAGGAAACCAAAAAGATATTAGAGACAGATAATTATACCCACCACATATTTTATTGGAATATAACATAACACCCTTGTAGAGATCTTTGCTATAGAGTAGGAGTAAAATACATGTGAAGACCACCATGAACAATGAAATGGAGAATGCTCATTCCACTCCTCAGTCTTTTTCTTTGGAGGTTTTGTCTGACCTAGAGATTACACAGTCCATCAGAAGGAAGTATTAAATATTAATAGTGAAAAAAAGAATAGTAGGAAAAAATACTTTGATTTAAATAATAAAATTTTCAGAAAGTGATATTGAAATGGGTAATTTTGGTGACACACCACCTGTGCAGGCTTTGGAGTTAAAAGATGCATTTATCTAACAATATCTGAGGCAACTCGAGAGTGATCTATCTTTAAAATTTTATTTTATTTGTAATTGACAAATAATAATTGCATATATTTAGGTGGCAAAGTATGACGTTATTATATACATGTATGCATAGCGCAATGATCAAGCCACACTAACACATGTATCATCTCACAAATCTATCATTTCTTTGTAATTAAAACATTTACATTTTATTATTTTAGTAACTTTGAAATATGGAATACATGATTATTAGCTATAGTCACAGTGCTGCAATGTATCAACCAGAAATTACTTCTCTTGTCTAACCAAAACTTTTTAGCCTTTGACCAACATATCCACTTTCTTGGTCCACTGGCCCATGCTCACTTTCTGGTAGCCATCATTCCACCCTCTACTTCTATGATTTTGACTTTTTAGATTTTACATTTAAGCAAGATCATGCAGCATTTGTCTTTCTGTACCTGGCTTGTTTCACTTAGCATAATTTCCTCCAGATACATCCATGCTGTCCCAAATGACAAAATTTTCTTTGTAAAGCTGGATACTATTCCAGTGTGTAAGTACATATGCCACAGTTTCTGTATCTATTTACCGTTTGAGACATACTTAGGTTGTTTACATATGTTTACTATCGTGAATAACGTTGCAATGAACATGAACATACAGACATCCTTTCAACATGCTGATTTCACTTTCTTTTGATAAACACACAGAAGCAGGATTGCTGGACCATATGATAATTCTACTTTTAGTTTTTAAGGAACCTCCATACTGTTTTTAAAATGGTTGTACTAATTTACAATCCCACCCACAGTGTATAAGTATTTTACTTTTCCACATTCTCATCAACATTTATCTTTTTTTTTTTTCAGTAATGGTCATTTTAACAGGAGTGAGGAGATGGATTGTTGTTTTAATTTGCATTTCTCTGATGATTATTTATGTTGCTCATTTTTTTTCATATATCTGATGGCTATTTCTATGTCTTTTAAGAAACATCTACTCAGGTCCTTTGCCCATTTTTAATAGGATTATTTGATTTTTGTTGTTGTGTTAGTATTTTGAAGTCCTTGTATGTTTTGGATATTAGTTCCTTATCCAATTTATAATTTGAAAATATAATCTCCCAGTCTATGGGTTGTCTCTTTACTCTGTTAATTGTTTCTTTTGTTGAGCAAAACCTCTTTAGTTTAATGCAATCTCATTTGTCTATATTTGCCTTTGTTGCCTGTGTTTTGGGGTCAAGTATATGAAATTGTTGCCCAATGTCGATACAACTCAAAGTGGTCTGCACATTCACTGAAGTTCCTATCAAAATTTCAATGTCATTTTTCACAGAAATTAAGTAAACAATCCTAAAATTTATATGGAACTACAAAAGCACACAAATAGCCAAAGCACTCCTCAGCAAGAACACAGGTAATGGCATCATGCTAGCTGATTTAAAGACATATTAAAAAGCTATAGTAATCAAAAGAGTATGCTACTGTCAAGGAAAAAAAAAGATGCATTGATCAAAGTAATAGGATGAAGAGCTCAGAAATAAACTTATGTATCCTAGATCAATTAATTTTTTACAAAAATATCAACAGCAGACAATGGGAAAAGGAAAGTCTCTTTAATAAATGCCATTGAGAAAACTGACTATCCAAATGCAGAATAATGAAATTGGACCATTATCTCATATAAGTGTAAACTCAAAATGGAGTAAAGATTTAAATGTAAGTCCCGAAACTGTAAAACCTCTAGAAGAGAAATCCAGTTATTTGGATGTTTGGTAAATGTTCACATAAAATATAACTCATGGGGAAAAGAGATTTACTATTAATGAATGCTTAGTCTTTGGGAAGAACTCATTAGCCACATTCACGAATACTTACTATCATGTGTAAACATAATGGCACATAGGTACTGTTTATTAAATTTATAGAAAATACAATTTGCCTAAAAATAAGAAAATAAAATCATGCAGAAGATAAATGGACACTTTTTAAATACAGAGTTCATATGCTACATTTTTGCACTGTTATTATCCCTTAAATTTATAATAGTGATTTTTGTAATGATTAAATTTATAATAGTGATTTTTGAAATATTAAGAGAGAAACAGCAATCAATGTGTATATCAAAAAAGTGGAAAGATTTCAAATAAACATAAAGATGCATCTGAAGAAACTACAAAGGCAAGAACAAACCAAACCAAAAATTAAGAGTAGGAAAAGAATAAAATCGGAGCAGTACTACACAAAATAAGTATTAAAAATACAAAAAAAAAATCAACAAAATGAAAAAAGTGCATAATGGTGATAACTCATAAACTTCCTTTACTTCTATTTATAGTGGGCTACTCATTCTGCAGGAAGAAAACACTTCATGTAACAGAAGTATTCATATAATGTTAACGACTCACATTTTCATTGAATGAAGAATGTTCATTAATATCACATCTGCAGAGATATTGGCATTTTGTGTAGCTTTTTAGGAAAAAAAATAATTATTATTCTGGAATACATTGAACTAGTGTTTTATTCTGGCTTGTGAATTAATTTTTAGTGTTTAGAATATCAGCTTTTTATTCTAGCATTGTTTTGAGTTTAACCCAGTGCCAAAAGTCATTACTATATTCTTCTTTATGAATTGCTTTTATAAAAGCCCTCTAGGAACAATAAAAAAGGACAAACATTATACATTGATGATTCATATTTCTAAGTAAGTTTCTTTGGGCATTTATGAAGTACAAAAGAGAGATCCCATCATTGCCTGGAACTTTCTCCAGAAAAGACAATACTATTGGACTCAAAACATGTCTCAACAAATTTTTAAAAAATAATATCGTATCAAGTGTCTTCTCAGACAACAATGGGATAAAACCATAAGTAAAAAACAAGAATTTTGGAAATTGTACAAATACATGGAAATTGTACAATGTGCTCCTGAATAACCAGTGAGTCAATTAGGAAATGAAGAAGAAAATTGAAATTTTTCTTAAAATGAGTAAAAATGGACACACAGCATACTAAAACCTATGGAAGGCAGTAAAAGAAATATTGAGGGAAGCTTAAAGCAATAAATTTCTATATCAAAAAAGTTGAATGATTTCAAATAAACATAAAGATGCACCTGAAGGAACTAGAAAGGGAAGAACAAACCAAACCAAAATGTAGGAGAGGAAAAAAATGAAATCAGGGCAGTACTAAACAAAGTAAATAATAAAAATATATTTTAATATTTAAGAATATTAATTGAAAATTAATATTTAAGGATTAATATTAATAAGAAATAAATTATTGATAAAATTAATAATTAATATTAACAAGAAATTATTAAAATTAATAATTAATATTAATAAGAAATTATTAAAATTAATAATTAATATTAATAAGAAATTATTAATATTATAAGAAATATTTAAGAATATTAATTGAAATATATAAGAATCAACAAAATACAATTTTTTTAAAGTAAACAAAATTGATAAACTGTTAGCTAGAGTAACCAAGAATAAATGAAAGCAGACCCAAATAAAGAAAATCAGATATGAAAAGGGAGACTTTACAACGTATACTACAGAAATACAAAGGATCATTAAAGGCTATATGAATACATTAAAATAAACAAATTTAAAAACTTAGAGGAAATGAATAAATTTCTGGATATATAAACACACCAAGATTTAACCAAAAAGAAAAAAAAACCTGAACAGAACAATAATCAATAAATAGATTTAATAAGTAATAAAAAGTTTCCCAACTAAGAAAAGCCCTTCAAGACTGGATGGCTTTATATCTGAATTCCACTAGTTAGAAGAACTAATATCAATTCTTCTCAAACTCTTCCAAAAAAATGGAAGACAAAGGAATTCTTCCTAACTCATTCTACGAGGCCAGCATTACCCTGATACCAAAACCAGACAAGAACGTAACAAAAAAAGAAAACTAAACCTAAATACCCCTGATAAACATGAATGCCAAAATCACCAACAAAATAGCAACCAAATCCAATAACATGGTGCCTCAAAAAGATACACCACGATCAATTAGGATTTGCAGACAACATAATCTTTACATATAGAAAAACCTAAAAACACCACCCAAAAATCTGAGAACTAAAACAAGAATTCAGCAAAGTAGCAGGACACAAAATCATCAAACAAAATCAGTATTGTTTCCATATACCAATAACAAACTAGTTGAAAAAGAAATTGAGGAAGTAATGCAGTTTACAATAACTACAAAAATATTACCTAGAAATAAACTTAACTAAAGAGGTGAGAGACCTCTGCAACAGATGCTACAAAATAATGTTGAAAAGAAATTTAGGAAATGAACAAATGGAGAGATATCTCATGCTCATGAATTTGAAGAATTAATATTGCTAAAATGACTATACTACCCAAAGAAACCTACAGATTCAATGCAATTCCCATCTAAATACCAATGACATTCTTCACAGAAACAGTAAAAAAAAAAAAAGCGAAAACACTAAAACTTGTATAGAACCACAAAAGACTCCACATAGCCGAAGCAATACTGAACAAAAAGAACAAAGCTAGAAGCATCATATTATTTGATTTTAAAATGTAATAAAAAGCTATAATAAACAAAATATCATGGCATTGGTACAAAAGCCAACACATGGACCAATAAAACAGAATAGTGAACCACTAAGTAAGTTCACATATTTATAGCCAATTCATTTGTAACAAAGATGCTAAGACCATAATTGGGAAAATAACACCTTTTTTCATGAATTGTGCTGGGAAAACTGGATTTCCACATGCAGAAGAATGAAGCCAGAACTCTCTCACCCTATACAAAAATAAACTCAAAGTGGATTGATTAAACAAAAGATCTAGAACTATAAATCTACTAAAAGAAAATAGGGAACACACTCCAGTACATTGGTCTAGGTAAAGATTTTACGGCTTCAAAAGACTACAAAAACACAGGCAACAAAAGCAAAGATATACTAATGGGTCTACATTAAACTATAAGGCTTCTACACAAAAAAAGGAAACAATCAATACAGTGAAAAGACAATCCATTGAATGGGAGAATATATTTGCAAACTATTCATCTGATAAGTAATTAATATCCATAATTTACAATGAACTCAAACAACTCAACAGCAATAATAATAATAGTCATCATCATCATCACCTTCTTATTTAAAAATAGGCAAAGGATCTTAGGATATTTCTCAAAAGAAGACATATAAATGGCCAACAAATATATGAAAAAGTACTCAATATGACTAATCATCAGAAAATGTAAATCAAAGCCACAATGAAATATGTTACCATAATAAGAATGGCTATTAGCAAAAAGAGGAAAAATAACTAATGCTCATGAGGATTTGGAGAAAAGGACATTCTTACACACTCTTGGAGGGAATGTAAATTAGTACAGACATTGTGAAAAACAGCATACAAGTTTTTCAAAAAACTAAGAACAGAACTACCATATAATCCAGCAATCCCACTGCTCGGTATTTATCTAAAAGAAAGGAAATCAGTACATTGAAGAGATATCTTTAACCTGTTTATTTAGCACTATTCACCATAGCCAAGATATGGAAGAAAACTTAATGTCTATCAACAGATGATTAGATATATATATCACATTTTCTTTGTTCATCTGTTCATAAAAATATGGTATTATATAATAATTAAACATATTGTAGATATGCAATATGTATTCTATTTGTAATAGGACACTATTCAGTCATAAAAGAAGTGAAATGTTTGCATACTTAAATTATGTTTAATTATCTCTGTCATAGGGGACCTTGTTTACAATGTAGTTTGTTGCTAATAAATAAATATCATACTAGATGAATATTGTAGTCATATAATTTTAGATGAATATTATACTCTGCTATAAGTACACCAATACAATAAATCTGTAGTGATGGAGTGAAATCAGAGGTATTAATGTACCACAGGCAATGTGTTTCCTGATAATAAGGTAACATTTTTATAGAGTAGCTAGTATATGCTAATCATTATAACAGTGCATAAAATAGCTTTCCTGCTTTTACCTTTATAAAATGATTATTTAATAATAATTTCTTGGAATACTTCTAAAATTACACATATAAGGAAGAACTAGTACATTATTTAAAGTCCCTGGCACATTTTTTAAAATTGATATTTAGGCCGGGTGCAGTGGTTCATGCCTGTAATCCCAGCACTTTGGGAGGTCCAGGTGGGCAGATTACTTGAGGTCAGGAGTTTGAGACCTGCTTGGCTAACATGGTGAAATCCTGTCTCTGTCAAAAAATACAAAAATTAGCTGGGTGTGGTCGTGCACACCTGTAGTCCCAGCTACTCGAGAGCCTTAAGTGGAGGAATAGCTTGAAACCAGGAGGAGGTGGAGGTTGCATTGAGCCAAGATTGTGTCACTGCACTCCAGCCTGGATGAAAGAGCAAGATTCAGTCTAAAGAAAAAAAAAAAAAACCAAAAAATAATTTAATATTTAGAACTAGCATACTTCCAATGATGAGTTGACAGCAGCCCCAATTTTAGTGTCATTATAAGTTTATATTGTCACATAGAAAAACAAAAATTCTAACCTGAACTGAAATGAGTTAAGAATGTACTGCAAGAATGTAAGAGGTATAGACATTCATTTAAAAAAAAATGCTTGAAAGAATTACAGCAAAGAAAACAATCAGCAGTATAGATATTCACGTATTTTATAATAGGAAACCCAGGTTTTGATTTACAAAAGAGTCCATCTGGCTGGGCATGGTGGCTCACACCTGCAATCCCAACACTTTAGGAGGCTGAAACGGGTGGATCACCTTAGGTCAGGAGTTCGAGACTAGCCTGACCAACGTGATGAAACCCCGACTCTACCAAAAAAAAAAAAAAAAAAAAAAAAAAAAAAAAAAAAAAAAAAAAAAGCTGGGCATGATTGTGTTGTATTAAGATGGAAGAGAAAGAAAAAAATATAAAACAGGGAGAGAAGTTGAACAGAGAAAAATTCTGCATCTCCCCAGGAAGTGTACCCTCCAGGTTTAGGCTTGTATAAGAGGCAGAGTCACAATTTCCCTCTACTTGGATCATCAAAATTCTTAAGATGAAAAGATGTACCTGGCTGATCTGAATAGCTGGAGCACTGGGACAAGAGTGTGTCTGGGAGGTAGATAGCTTTTCTGCTGACCTGGCAGGGGATCTGAGGTGGCTCCAACCCTTCCCCCTGATAAGACATCAGTGCAGCTCACTGAGCGCTCCCTCAGCCACCTTGGACAAGCCTGGGACCTCTGTCTACCATTGGGTATTGTACTTACCCACCTGCTTTAGCCATAATGTGGGTCCCTGTGTAGGGGACCCCTGTAGAGGTTTCTCCCCTACTATCCTGAAGCCCAGACCATCAAAATTGTAAATAAAATACTGGGTAAAAACAAATAAATAAGGCCAGGTGCGGTGGCTCACGCTTGTAATCCCAGCACTTTGGGAGGCTGAAGCAGGCAGATCACCTGAGATCAGGAGTTCAAGACCAGCCTGGCCAACATGGTGAAACACCATTTCTACTAAAAATACAAAAAAAAAAAAAAAAAATTAGTCTGATGTGGTGGCAGGCACCTGTAATTCCAGCTACCAGGGAGGATAAGGCGGGAGAATTGCTTGAACCCAGAAAGCAGATGTCGCCAGCCGAGATTGCACCCTTGCACTCCAGCCTGGGCGAAAACAGCGAAACTGTCTCAAAAAAACAAACAAAAATTCAAATAAAAAAAGTGCAAACCATGGGGGAATTAGATAAGCTTCAAGAGACGGCTACCCTTCCAACCCCATAGAAGACGGTGAACGTACTCATACACTTTGCTACTACAACCAGCATATGAGAAAACCATTATACAAAGATTCTTTGTAACCAAGAAACACTTACGGAGTCTTTACCCCTGAAAGCACAAAGAACCAATTAGACTATAATTAACCATAACCATTAAAGTCACATCCTTAAGGAGAAAAAAAGAAATTAAAAAAAAACACTCAAATCAAACATAAATTCAAAAATAGTTTGAAGAAATAGTCTAGCAAAATGAGGAGGAACCAGAAAATTTACTCTGGTAATATGACAAAAAAACAGGGTTCTATGACACTTCCAAAAGATCACACTAACTTTCCAGCAATGAATCCAAACCAAGACGACATCTGTGAAATTCCAGATAAATAATTCAAAATGTTAATTATTAAGCTAATTAAAGAGATACCAGAGAAACGTGAAAACTATCATAAAGAAATTTAAAAAGCACCTTAGAATATGAATACAAAATTTTCTAGAAAGATAGATAACATAAAGAAATACCAATCAGAACTTCTGGAAATGAAAGACACACTTAGGGAGTTACAACATACAGTGAACACTTTTAAAAATGCATTAGAACAAGTAGAAGAGAGAATTTCAGAGTTAAACTGGCTAAACCAGAGAATAATTGCTGCTCCCAAGGGAGAAAACAAAGTCTTGAATATTTATTTGAGTGAACAGTTGAAGAAAATTTTTCTGTTCTAGCTATATAATGATCATTTATATATAATGATCATTATACAAAAGTACAATACATTGGTACACACATCACATAGACTGATTGTATATTTTCTCTCTTGCCTAAAGGGAAACATGAAACACTGGATTGTCAAAAAGCCAAAGGATACTTACATTTTACAGTGC
Organism: Homo sapiens; assembly: GCF_000001405.40. Taxonomy (NCBI): domain Eukaryota; kingdom Metazoa; phylum Chordata; class Mammalia; order Primates; family Hominidae; genus Homo; species Homo sapiens. The sequence continues at coordinate 42,809,629 of NC_000014.9, read as the reverse complement.
CTATGTGGTTTTTATCTTTTTGTAGCAATATGTGCAGTTGGAAAAACAACTCTAAAATTTTTATAGAATCAATAAAAATATTATAGCATTTGGAAATATTTGATTTACTTACAAAATTTCCTGACTGAATTCTATGCACAAATGAACTTGACATATACTTATTTAAAAGGAAAACAGAAGGCTAAAGCATTGTAATAGCAAGAACGCCTTACTATTTAGTTGTCCCATAGGTGAAAAAAATCATTGAAAAAATCACCTAGCAAAAAAGATATAGCCTAAAGTCTCAGTTTGTGAAAATGCATTATTTTGTCTCCATCATGAAAAAAATCACATTTTTTTCTGTGATAAAAGTCTTTAAAATAATGTTTTTAGCTTTTAGGATAAAGTATCAAAGTAGCTAAATATTAAATAGTTATTCTTCTGTATTTTATTTTACATTGAATATTGACATATACTCATTAAATGTTTGATTTATAAATCAAGTTTATTATAATCAGTACATAAATCACAAATAGAATTGCTACTTAATTTGATTCAATATTGCCATTTAGTTTGATATTCAAAGTATATTTGACTAATAATTTTGAATATTTCTAAATATAATCATCTCTGGTTTTCCTGAAGCATTTTTAATTTTAAATCTCTCTATAACTAACAGATTGATTGGCTAGGTAAGAATAAAAGTAAATTGAAGTAACCAGTACTGTTTCTGGGTAGTGTGGAAAGTTTATATATTTTTTGATAGAAATGATGTATTATAAATTCTGTTTACATTATTATCAATGAAAACAATGTGATAGAATTATGCTTTTAGTATTTTGCTCAACATAAATGTAGAAATAGTATAAATATTCGGGAGGATTTATTTATTTTCTTCAAAATTATTTACCGATTCTCTATATTTTCTCAGGAACTCAATAAATAATTTTGAATTAATGTTAAATGGTGAAACACAGGAATGACAAACCAGACAAGGCCCTTGTCAAATAAAGGGCCCATAGATAGTAAAACTATAGGCTGCGCTTTACTGTATGAGGAACACAAAACATGAAATAAAATAGAACTAAAGTTGTTGGTGGAGGCACAGTAGGTATTTTTGATAGTGTTCTCTGGTAAGATATCTGAGGAAGTGACATGCCACCAGCAGTGCTTATTGCAAGAATAAGCCAGCCATGTGACAATTTGCAGGATGAACGTTACTGGCAGTTGGAAGAAGTATAACATTTCAATGACATAGATTACGTGGTTTTCCAGGGACACCCTGATCCTGTACTACAGTGAAAGAATATTTGTAGTAGTTTATGAAACAGGCAGGGACCAGTTAATGTATAGCCTGGTGAGCCACATAAATTATTTGAATTTTATTATAAAGATAATGGAGACTTCTCTTACGGCCAACAGACTTAAAGCTCTTGAGAAGAACTCCTCCGATCCAGCTAGACACTCACCATCGCTCCCTTCATCCTCAGCCCTGGCCCTACAAACAGCTCACCACATGTCATGGAGTAGATCTACGGCTGATTCAGAAGGCTAAGCTGACCAAGCAGGCTGAGAGCGCTTCAACATGGCCACATTCAGGAAAGCCGTGGCCAAGCAGGGTGTCCAGTTGCCCAAAGAGGAGTACAATCTGCTCTCAGTGGCCTACAAGACCATGGTCAGGGGCCACAGGTCTGCCTGGAAGGTCATCTGAATGAAGCATTGAGCAGAAAACCAATACCTCCAACAGAAATTTGCAGCTGATGAAGGACTATCTCAAGCAGAAAACTGACAACTCTGACAAGAAGTTGCAGCTGATAAAGGACTAAGCAGAAAGTGAAGTCTGAGCTGAGATCCATCTGCACCAGGGTCTTGGAATTTTTGGATAAGCATTTACTAGCCAATGCAACTAATCCAAAGAGTAAAGTTTTCTTTCTGAAACTGAAGAGAGACTACTTCTTGTACTTTACTAAAGTTGCATATGGCAATGATTGGAAACAAATAAAAGATAATTCCCAAGGAGCTTACTAAAAAGCATTTGATAGAAGCAAGAAAAAGACGCAACCCACACACCCAATCTCCCATGATCTGGCTCTCAGCTTTTCCATATTTTACCATGAGATCCTTAATAAAAAGGCTTTTAATGAGGCCACTGCAAAACTTGATAAACTTAATGAACACTTATGCAAAGACAGCACCCACCTTAGAAGTTGATTAGAAACAACCTAACACTATGGACATCAGACAATGCAGGAGAAAAATGTGACGGAGCAGAAAACTAAACACATACAGGGTCTCATCCTTTTTTAAATGAAACCTTGTCAAACATGTCCATTTCTTATTTCACTTGGATTTTCTATAGCAAAGAAACCCATTCATGTGTGTGGAATTAACTGTTTATAGTATTTTCAGACTGCAGCTTTGGGAGGACTCCATTTCTTGATTTGTGTTTGTCTTGGCCTGCCTCATGTGCAGTTGCTCTAGTAGAAAATTTTTAATAGTTTCTTTTTATATAAACATAAGTAACTTCCAAGCAAAACCACAGGATTACGAGATGAGAACTGAAGGAGTTTGTTGGCAGGAAGGGCATGTTCTATATGGCCTGTGTAATAAGAGAGTGCTATTTGCAGGTTTAGACATAAGGGCAATACTGCTTCAAATCGCTTTTTACTCAAAGGAATTCTAATAACATCAGGGTCATAACCTAGCAATAGATTGCATCATCTGTGGCCTCAATAGATGACTTTACTAACTAGCTGGATATAGGGAGACAGAGTTTTAGTCCCCGTATGTGAGCAAAAAGTACATTCTAGAAAGCACAGCCCTGGGGCCTTCTGTCCTATTAATCCTGTTGGGGAATGTTTAGTGGGAAAAACAAACAACTGAACTGAATGTCATGGATCTATGAGATCTAGCTGCCTCTAGAAATAGCTTGCTCTATTTCATCAAGTTCCCTTTTTGCTGCAGGAGTTAAACACCTGGGAGAATCCAGGGACATATTGCCCTTTAGGATAGAAAACAGGTTTTGTAACTTATCAGTAGTTATGCCCAAGGTAGGGCGAAGTCAATTCATATCACCCAGCAATTTCTGATAATCATTTAAGGTGTGTAAGTTGCTAGTATTGAATTTAACCTTTTGAGGTCTTACTGACTGGGAAGTTAGTATGTATCCAAGATATTTCCAAGGAGAGGACATCTGTACTTTTTCAGGTGCTATGATTAAACCCCTTAACTGTGTATTCTTTACAACAGAGGCATATAAACTTAAAAGTACTGGCTCTGTTGGGGCTGCTAGTAAAATATCATCCATAAAATGAATAATCTTGCAATTAGGAAATTCTTTTCTACTGGGGAACAAAGCCTGATTTACATGATACTGACACATGGCAGGGCTGTTCAGCATTCCTTGAGGAAGTACCTTCCAATGAAATTGGTGAGCTGGCCTTTCATTATTGATAGCTGCTATGGTAAACACAATTTTTTCTCTGTCCTGTAAGGGGAATAGTATAAAAGCAGTCTTTTAAGTCAATAATGACTATAGGCCATTCTTGAGGAATCACCGTGGGGGAAGGGAAACCCTATTGAAGGGGTCCCATAGGTTGCAAATTAGCATTGATAGCACGTAAGTCATGCAAAAGTCTCCATTTACCAGACTTTTTGGGAATGATGAAAATGGCTGAATTCCAAGGGCTGTTTGATGGTTCTATATGGCTGGCTTTTAATTGCTCTTCAACTAATTCAGGGGCTCTTTGTAATTTCTCTCCCTTTAAAGGCCACTGTTCCACCCAAATTGGATCTTGAGAAAGCCACATCAGGGGTAAGGGAGGGATAATAACAGTAGACATTATTAGAAAAGGTTCTGCAGAGTGACCCCCCCGCTCCTCCCGCCGCCCACTTGACTAACAGGTCTCATCCCCGGAGATTAACAGGGATGGACATAATTAGAGGCTGTATAACTGCCTTTCTTCCTTGAAAATCACAACATGTTAGGAGGTGTGTGCTCTTCTGCTTGGTTGTGTGCACTTCCCCGATGCTGACAATTTTTTGTTTCTGAGTGACCCAAGGCCAAGTTTCTGCCCAGTTTTGATCATTAATTATTGAAATATCCACCTGTGTTTCCAATAAGCCAGTAAAATTCTTATTTCCAATCTTTAAGGTGATCATGGGACTCTGATCAGTGATTAGTTGATTCCAATATACCCCTATGGCTCCTGTGTTTCCAAAACTTCCCTTTCCCCTTTCCTCTCCCTGGGCACTGGGGACCCAGTATGGTAACAGTAGTAACTGAGCTGTCTTTGATCCAGGGGGAAGAATATGCAACCTTTACATTCCATCATAACTAATATCTCACCTTGATAGTCATTATCAATTACCCCGGTGAGCACATTAATTTCTTTACTGGATAGGCTTGACCACTCTACAACAAATCCCACTGTTCCCGGAGGCAGTGGGCCCCAGACCTTGGTTGCAACCTTTTTAGGGTCCTCTCCTTCTTTTAGCACTAATTCATTGGCAGAGTAATTCCAGTTCTGCACTCCCAATGGTGGCTGCTCCAAGAGAGAAGACTGTGGGCTTTCTCTCTGACCGAGGAAAGCCACTGGCATTGCCCCAGTTTGGAATGGGGCCTGGGGACAGCCCCTCATGCAGTTTCCCACCTGAGTACTTATGGGATTGCCATTTTTATCAAATTTGGACTTGCATTGATTTGCCCAATGTTTCCCCTTTTTACATTGGGGGCATATAGAAGGGGGTTTTTTCCTGAGTTACCTTAGCCTCTATTATTGGGGCATTCCCGCTTCATATGACCTCGCTCTGCACATAGAAAACAATTTAGATTTCTCTTTCTTTTCACTTTAGGAGGCCTTAATGCCATAGCCAATATTTTGGCTTTGTGTGTTTCAGTCCCCATCAGTTGACATGCTCGTGTAAGTTCTCCAACTGTGGCTGCCTTTCCTCTGATTGTCTGCATTGCTTGCTGGCAGTTGACGTTAGCATTTTCATAAGCCAATTGCAGCAATAAGATATCAGCAGCCTAGGCACTAGGCATGACTAATTTGTCTCTTAATTGCCTGGGTTAACTGATTGATAAATTCAACAAATGGCTTCTGAGGCCCTTGTTGAACATTTATAAAAGATCCCCATTGAACTTCACTTTCAGGAATTCAGTTCCAAGCCCTGAGAGCGCACAAAGACACTTGTGCATAGACCTGGGGATCAAAATTTAGTTGTTGTTGTACATCAGCATGGGGACCCCTCCCCTGGAGCATAGCAGCTGTTATGTCTTGTCCGGCCACTAGATTATGGTTGGCTTGTTTTTCGCATAACTCATCATATTCTGCCCTCCAGAGGAGGTATTGGCTGGGCTCCAAAATTTTTTCTCTAGTGCCTGTTGAAAATGCATATGCTCTACCATCTCCATTAAATTCTCACATTCATTAGAACATGAGATTGATGTTGAAGCCAAGCATTTTATCATCATCATAATTTGTTTTTGCACGAGTCTTTTTATGTTTAAAACACATTGAAAATCTCAAAATTTTCCACATTATACCTTAGAGCAAGGTTTTAGTAATTATATTAATCAGTAATATAGTTCGTGGGAAAATAGACTGCCAATGAGAATTTTAAAATAGAAGTGAGGCAGGAACAATAGGTAATCATAATGGATCTTTCCTTTGCTCAGAAAAATATGCCTATATCCAGATTCATCTGACTGCCACAGAAAGTGTATGAAATAAAAACAAAAATTTAAAGATTAAAATTGAACACCAGAAGCATTTTCATAAATGATTTTTGTGTAATTTAATTTCCTTCCATATTTATTCTGAAAAATAGTTAAATTAAGGTGGCTATCCCAATATAATATTGCTATAATTTGTTTTTATTATTATTTAGTTAATTTAAAAATGTTACTCGCCTGGAGACTACTTGTGTTAAGTCATAGGAACATTGTAATTTTATTGCTGTTTGTCAAAATATTTGAATTAGATAAAATATAATCAACAGAAGGTTTGCCAAACAGGTTTAAAATTTGTAGTTCATATATAATAGGAATGTAAAAACATCTGGTTTACTCTAGTGAACTGGGGAATCTTAAAGACAACACATCTATAGATAATAAAATTTTTCGAGGAATTCAAAAATTTTCTTCATTTTGTATAGCATGTGACACATAATATTGTGTCTGGTATGCTAATAGAGGCTCACAGACACATACTGATTAGACCTTGATGGATATTACAGGCACAATTCAAAATTAGCTTAATGACCTAGTTAACTTATAAATATAGTCCATAAAATAAATTATATTGGAAATTAGATTTAAGCTGTTCTAGGCTGATATCCCTAGTAAAGCAACATATCCAATTGTTTATTTTCTATTTTATTTTTAACTTTTAAGTTCAGGAGTGATTGTGCAGGATGTGCAGGTTTGCTACACAGGTACATGTGCATCATGGGGGTTTGTTGTACAGATTATTTCATCATCCAGTTATTTAGTATCCATTCGTTAAATAATTCCTTCTTTTATTGTTAAATTGTTTGAGAAGTTGGTTAGCATGCCTGGTTAGAAAATATTTTCAATGGTAGGAGAATTGTGGTCTTACAAAAAATATTTAGAATGTTTTAACATTACAATGGTTTAACCTTTAGCAGCAGTCTGAGGAAATCTACTAAATGGAAGGTCTACCTGTCAAAGTGTCTTAATGAGGTAGAGGTAACCGGGACCTTTTGTGATGTGACCTGTGAGGGTGTGTTGCGTGTAATAATAGGGTAGAGAGGGAGGGACTTTTCACCATGAGTGTATATGAAACTTTGGAAAGACTAAGGAAATATTACCCCTCATTTGAATTGATCGGCACCTTCCTATGTGGTCAATCAGACAGTCAATCAGTTTGTTCTTTTCTCCATGTAAAACCCAAGAAAATATTTCAGAAATGTCCTAGTCCTCATCTCACAAAATTTTCCACAGCAAACTTTAAGTATTATATTTCCCGGGAGATGGAAAGTATCATTAGCACATTACAAATGAGGGAAATAAGGTTTGCAGATGTAATGTGACATATCCAAATTGCTTAATTTCTCCAATTTCCTGTAGTCTAGTACTTCTACATTTGAAGAAGTGAAAGTGGTGAATAAAGGATAGTTAGTGAACATCAGGATAAGGGATAAGATGACAAAGCAGTTTGACTAATTTCACTCAATTCTTTGAAATAAATATTAAACTATGTCTTTTATTTATTTATTTATTTAACACCACCTGTCTGCCATTTTAACTAATCCTTCAGCCATACCATACCACCTGGGTAATGGGTTCTTTTAATAATATCACAGTAGACACCTTTAAATTTTCACTTGGTTTTGATTATTAAATTATCTGTACAGTTTTGGTTTTCAAGATTTCTGCAATGCAATATAAAGCACAGGTTCCATATTGGAGTCAAAGCTGCTAGTATAAGTTGGATGAGTGTCTCCACATGTGTCTCGTGTGTCTGAGAGAATAAGAGGCATGCAGGGACAGGTGTAGCTCTTTCAAACTCACCTCTCTTTTCTACTGACTTATTTTCTTGGTGCTGGGAAGAAGGAGAAGGCATTAAATATGTTTATTTATATTAGTATTTGAGTGTTTGTCACTTGGGCATCACCTTTTTTTGCCAGTGATAATAAAAATCATGCAAAGATAGAAGATACTAAGTTGCTTCCCATCTCACTCCCTTTATGCTTATCAAAACTGATCTAAGTTATCGCATTTGATCTTGCTGTAGATAAATACAGGTGAAAGGAGACCTCGCTGACTCAAGCTCAAACACCTCTCCCAAACATCAGTGGACATGGAGAAGAGTGAACTTACTCAGTTTGGCATCTAGAGAGGGGGGCTGGTGGCATGTTCTTAATATGCCTGAAACTCTAAAACACTCACTGGTAGTCCCAGAAAATATATGAGACCAGTTCCATATATCCTTTACAATTCTAACTAGGCAAAAGTAAGATCCATTTTCTGCAACCTTTCAGAAACATATATTTGAGGGTTTTCCCTACCTAATCTCACCCTGACCATACCATCTTTCCTCACTCCTTTGTTGCTCACTCTGATCCCATTTCAACTTAGTCTCATAAGTGGAAGTCATTAAGCCCAATGGCCAAGAAGATATCCGACTGTGGAAGTAAATAATTAGCCTTGCCTCATAGACACCCACAGAAATTACAATCAATTCACCAGTGACCACTTAATGCTGTATTGGTAATGAGAATCAGTCAATAATCCTTTCTTGAAGGAAAAAAGAAATGGGATAACTTACCTTCATGATTTTTCCTTCCTCAGAAGACTACCTGTGTCCCTATATCCCAACTGTAGTTCTCCTAAATTGGAAAAGGCAGGTGTGATATAAATGCAATCACACTCCTGCTAAAATAGTGCTTCTCATCAGGCTCTGATTTCACAGCTTGCTGTTCTCTGAACTCAGAATGTAGGGTACTGATACTGGCTTTTTTTTTTCTCAGTTGTCAGCTATACTAGTTTTAGTAAATTCTATAAAAACTAGTCAATTTATCCAGCTTGGCAAATTAATCTATCATGTTCCAAAAAAAAAAGTAATACATTCTGTCATTAGAATTCTAAGATATTGTAAAGGTAAATTTTGCATCTTTTTTAGGAGTCGAGGCCAGACTTGGTGAAGACCCTTGGATAGGAATAGAAAATATTATGCTTGCCCTTTTTTCTTTAGTACACTCTTCAAACTTCATTGAGCAATAATCTCTTTCATCATATTTTAAACTTTGTCTTATGTTTTCTATAGAGCAATCTTTCTTGTGAGGAATTATCTTGTGGAAAGCTGGGCAAAAAATTGTCAGAGTTTTCTCAAGCTTTAGTGTGTAAAGACTCACTGCAATACTTGTTATAAAGATATTCAAGAGAGCTATTCAAAGGAGTCTGCTTCAGTGAGACTAAGGCAGAGAAGAGGATGGATACAAGAATCTACTTTTAAAAATCAGCTTCACAATTTCTAACAAAGATTAATAGACTATAATTTTAAAAACAAGGTTTTGCTATGTTTTAATGCATTTTAACATAGTTTATAGGATAACGGAAAGCTTCAGCCTAAGTAAATTTAATGACCTTTCTAGAATTATATTGATATGGTTTGGCTGTTTTTTCCACTCTATATCTCATGTTAAAATGTGATCCCCAATGTTGGAGGTGTGGCTTGATGGGAGGTGTTTGGATCATGGGGATATAGGGTAAACATATCTGATAGCAATAACTTAAGCATACTCTTAGAATGACCCTGTAGGGCAGAAACATCTGAATATGTGTTCTGAGGTAGGAAATTGGGGGCTGGCCAATCTGGAAAATTGTTCCTTGTCTATAAGAAACATTTGAGGCCAGGCGCAGTGGCTCACGCCTTTAATCCCAGCACTTTGGGAGGCCAAGATGGGTGGATCACAAGGTCAGGAGATCGAGATCATCCTGGCTAACACGGTGAAACCCTGTCTCTAATAAAAATACAAAAAAATTAGCTGGGCAGGGTGGCGGGCACCTGTAGTCCCAGCTACTCGGGAGGCTGAGGCAGGAGAATGGCGTGAACCTGGGAGGCAGAGCTTGCAGTGAGCCATGATCACACCATTGCATTCCAGCCTGGGCAACAGAGCGAGACTCCATTTCAAAAAAAAAAAAAAAAAAAAAAAGGAAACATTTGATCCCCTGTCCCATCAGTTGGAACACGGGCCATTAAGGATATTGGGGCTGTGAGTTTTGCATTGGATGAAGGTTGCCAGGTGGATGTTGATAAGGGGAGGGTATTAAGTGAAAATGCTATATAAATACATGCTGTGTGCAGGCGGTTGAGATTTTCCTGCTCAGCCTACTGCCACCGGATGGTAGGAAGGTGGATATCTTTTCTGGCCCACCGCCACTGGGCCATTTCTCTTGTCTAGCCTGCCACCACTGGACTCTCTTCCCTGTAAGTCCATAATAAAAACTCATGGCTCATTTGCTGGTTCTGAGTCTCTTCTTTGGCCTCTTGAACCTTTTGCATTTCCTACTGAGGTTCATAGGGGTTTGACACAACAGGGGATGGATCCTCTCATGAATACCTTCCCATGGTAATGAATTCTTGCTCTGTTAGTTTGGGCAAGAACTTGATGTTTAGAGGAGTCTGGCACCTCCTGTTTTCTCTTTTGTACCCTCTCATCTTGCAACCTCCCTGATCTTTGAGGTCGTCAGCCTCAAAGATCAAAGGTAGATAAATCTACAAAGATGAGTAAAAACAAGCACAAACATGCTGAAAATTCCAAAAACCAGAAAGCCTCTTCTTCTCCAAATGATCACAACTCCTCTCCAGCAAGGGCACAAAACTGAACAGAGAATGAGTTTGACAAATTGACAGAAGAAGTAGGCTTCAGAAGGTGGACAATAACAAACTCTTCTGAGCTAAAGGAGCATGTTTTAACCCAATGCAACAAAGCTAAGAACCTTGACAAAAGGTTACGGGAACTGCTAAGTAGAATAACCAGTTTAGAGAAGAACATAAATGACCTGATGGAGCTTAAAAATACAGCATGAGAACTTCGTGAAGCATATACAAGTATCAATAGCCGAATTGATCATGTGGAAAAAATGGTATCAGAAGTTGAAGATCAACTTACTGAAATAAGGCATGAAGATAAGATTAGAAAAAAAAGAATGAACAGGAATGAACAAAGCCTCCAAGAAATATGGGACTATGTGAAAATACCAAATCTACGATAGATTGGGGTCCATGAAAGTGAGGGCAAGAATGGATCCAAGTTGCAAAACACACTTCAGGATATGATCCAGGAGAACTTCCCCAACCTAGCAAGGCAGGCCATCATTAAAATTCAGGAAATACAGAGAACACCACTAAGATACTCCTCAAGAAGAGAAACCCAAAGACACACAATTGTCAGATTCTCCAAGGTTGAAACGATGAAAAAATGTAAGCGTAGCCAGAGAGAAAGGTCAAGTTATATACAAAGGGAAGCCCAACAGACTAACAGTGGATCTCTTTACAGAAACTCTGCAATCCAGAAGAGAGTGGGGGCCAATATTCAACATTCTTAAAGAAAAGAATTTTCAACCCAGAATTTCATATCAGCCAAACTAAGCTTCATAAGTGAAGGAGAAATAAAATCCTTCACAGAGAAGCAAATGCTGAGGGATTTTGACACCACCAAGCCTGCCTTACAAGAGCTTCTGAAGGAAGCACTAAGTATGGAAAGGAAAAATTGGTACCAGCCACTGCAAAAACACACCAAAATAAAAATACCAATGACGCTATGAAGAAACTACATCAACTAATTTGCAAAATAATCAGCTAGCATCATAATGACAGGATCAAATTCACACATACTAATAGTAACCTTAAATGTAAATGGGCTAAATAACCCAATTAAAACACACACACCGGCAAATTGGGTAAAGAGTCAAGACCCATTGGTGTGCTGTATTCAGGAGACTCATCTCATGTGCAAAGACACACATAGGCTCAAAATAAAGGGATGGAGGAAGATTTAAGAAGCAAATGGAAAGCAAAAAAAAAAAAAAAAGAGAGAGAAGGGGTTGCAATCCTAGTCTCTGGTAAAACAGACTTTAAACCAACAAAGATAAAAAGACAAAGAAGGGCATTACATAATGGTAAAGGGATCAATGCAACAAGAAGAGCCAACCATTGTGAATATATATGCACCCCATACAGGCGCACCCATAGTCATAAAACAAGTTCTTAGAGACCTACAAAGAGACTTAGACTCCCACACAATAATAGTGGGAGACTTTAACATCTCACTGTCAATATTAGATCAATGAGACAGAAAATTAACAAGGATATTCAGGAATTGAACTCAGCTCAGGACCAAGCAGACCTTATAGACATTTACAGAACTCTCCACCCCAAATCAATAGAATATACATTCTTCTCAGCACCACATAGCACTTGCTATAAAATCGACCACATAATCGATAGTGAAATACTCCTCAGCAAATGCAAAAGAATGGAAATCATAAGGAACAGTCTCTCAGACCATACTGCAATAAGATTAAAACTCAGGATAAAGAAACTCACTTAAATCTGCACAACTACATGGAAACTGAAAAATCTGCTCCTGAATGGCTACTAGGTAAATAACAAAATTAAGGCAGAAATAACAAAGTTCTTGAAACCAAAGAGAACAAACAGACAATGTACCAGTATCTCTGGGACACAACTAAAGCAGTATTAAGAGGGAAATTTATAGCAATAAATGCCCATATCAGAAAGTGAGAAAGATCTAAAATAGACACCCTTACATCACAATTAAAAGAACTAGAGAAGCAAGGACAAATACAAAAAGTAGCAGAAGACAAGAAATAACTAAGATCAGAGCAGAATTGAAGGAGATAAAGACACGAAAAACCCTTAAAAAAATAAATGAATCCAGGAGCTGGTTCCTTGAAAAGATTAAGAAAATAGATATACTGCAAGCCAGACTACTAAAGGAGAAAAGAGAGAAGACTCAAATAGACACAATAAAAAATGATAAAGGGGATATCAGCATTGATTCCACAGATATACAAAATACCGTCGGAGAATACTATAAACACATCTATGAAAATAAACTAGAAAATATAGAGGAAATGGGTAAATTCCTCAACACATTCACCCTCTCAAGACTAAACCAGGAAGAAGTTGATTCTCTGAATAGATGAATAATAAGTTCTGAAATTGAGGCAGTAATTAATAGCCTACCAATTAAAAAAAAAAGCCCAAGACCAGACAGAATCACAGCCAAATTCTACCACAGGTACAGAGAGGAGCTGGTACCATTCCTTCTGAAAATTTTCCAAACAATAGAAAAAGAGGACTCCTTCCTAACTCATTTTATGAAGCCAGCATCATCCTAATCCCCAAACCTGGCAGAGACACAAGAAAAACAGAAAATTTCAGGCTAATATTCCTGATGAACATCAATGCGAAAATCCTCAATAAAATACTGGATAGCTGAATTCAGCAGCACATCAAAAAGCGTATCTACCACGATCAAGTTGGCTTCATCCCTGGGATGCAAGACTGGTAAACATAAACAGAACTAATGACAAAAACCACATGATTATCTCAATAGATGCAGAAAAGACCTTCAATAAAATTCAACATCCCTTTATGCTAAAAACTCTCAATAAACTAGGTATTGATGGAACATATCCCAAAATAATAGGAGCTATTTATGACAAACCCATAGCCAATACCATAGTGAATGGGCAAAAGCTGAAGCATTTCCTTTGAAAACTGGCACAAAACAAGGATGCCTCCTCTTAGCACTCCTATTCAACACAGTATTGGAAGTTCTGTCCAGGGCAATCAGGCAAGAGAAATAAATAAGTGGTATTCAAATAGGAAGAGAGGAAGTCAAATTGTCTCTGTTTGCAGACGACATGATTGTATATTTAGACAACCCCATCATCTCAGCCCAAAAACTCCTTAAGCTGATAAACAACTTCAGAAAAGTCTCAGAATACAAAATCAGTGTGTAAAAATCACAAGCCTTTCTATACACCAATAATAGGCAAGCAGAGAGCCAAATCATGAGTGAACTCCCATTCACAATTGCTACAAAGAAAATAAAATACCTAGGAATACGACTTGTAAGGGACATGAAGGACCTTTTCAAGGTGAACTACAAACCACTGCTCAAGGAAATAAGAGAGGACACAAACAAATGGAAAAAAACATTCCATGCTCATGCATAAGAAGAATCAATATCATGATAATGACCACACTGCCCAAAGTAATTTATAGATTCTATGCTATTCCCATCAAGCTATCACTGACTTTCTTCACAGAACTAGAAAAATAAACTACTTTAAATTTCATATGGAACCAAAAAAGAGTCCGTATAACCAAGACAATCCTAAGCAAAAAGAACAAAGCTGGAGGTATCACCCTACCTGACTTCAAACTATACTACTAGACTACAGTATCCAAAGCAGCATGGTACTGGTACCAAAACAGATATATAGACCAATGGAACAGAACAGAGGCCTCAGAAATAACACCACACATCTACAACCATCTGACCTTCGACAAACCTGACAAAAACAAGCAATGGGGAAAGGATTCCCTATTTAATAAACGTTGCTGGGAAAACTAGCTAGCCATATGCAGAAAACAGAAACTGGACCCCTTCCTTACACATCTTACACAAAAATTAACTCAAAGTGTATTAAAGACTTAAACGTAAGACCTAAAACCATAAAAACCCTAGAAGAAAACCTAGGCAATATCAGTTAGGACATAGGCATGGGCAAAGACTTCACAACTAAAACACTAAAAGCAATTGCAACAAAAGCTAAAATTGACAAATGGGATCTAATTAAACTAAAAATCTTCTGCTGAACAAAAGAAACTATCATCAGAGTGAAAAGGCAACCTATAGAATGGGAGAAAATTTTTTCAATCTGTCCATCTGACAAAGGTCTAATATCCAGAATCTACAAGGAACTTAAACAGATTTACAAGAAAAAAAAAAAAACATTCAAAAAGTGGGCAAGTGATATAAACAGACACTTCTCAAAAGAGTCCCCTTTCCAGGGGAGTGAACGGTTCTGTCTCGCTGAGGTTCCTGGTGTCACTGGGGTATGAAAAAAAACTGCAGCTAGCTCGGTGTCTCCCCAAACAGCTGCCCAGTTTCATGCTTGAAATCCAGGGCCCAGGTAATGTAGGCACACGAGAGAATCTCCTGATCTGCAGATTGCAAAAAAACATGGGAAAGGCACAGTATCTGGGCCAGATAGCACAGCCCCTCATGGCTTCCCTTGGCCAGGAAAGAGAGGCCTCTTGCTCCTTGCATTTTCTGGGTGAGGTGACACCCCACCCTGCTTCTGCTCACCCTCCGTGGGCTGCACCTACTGCCTAACCTGTTCCAGTGAGATAAACATGGCACCTCAGTTGGAAATGCAGAAATCACCTGCCTTCTGCGTTAGTCTAACTGGGAGCTGCAGACCGGAGCTGTTCCTATCCTGCCATCTTGCCAGATCCCTCCAATCGCACCTACGTTTTAATCTTCAGTTAGTGTTCAATTGTGGAGACAAGCTCTGGGTTCTAGAAAACCATAATATGTAGGATACAGATTATAGTAGAAATTTTCTCTTCCTGAAGATGGAAATCAATTTGTTTTATTTTCTGAGATATTTCACATATGTTTGGAGGACAAACTGAACAGAAAATAATTTTCTTTCCTTCATATATGTGACTTTCCTTTCATTTGGTGCATAGGATGGCATATTATAAGGTTATTTCATCTTTAGAATGCAGGAAATAGCAGGAAGCAGAATAATGAAGTGAGAGTCGAGACATTAAAACAGATCTCTAAGTTTAACTAGAAAGATGGCATAATATTCTGACTTTATCACAGAGGTGGTATTTGCATATTTCTTAAGACCTGATATGTCTAGGGACATTCTCAAATATATGAGTGGTTTTTAATACCACATTTCAGGACTTCTATAAGGATAATTCTCTATATTCTTTTATTTTTTTTCCTTTCAATTGAATAAATCACAATGCCTTCCCAATATTTTCCAACTATTTTACTGTACAATACAAAATATGAAACCCTTGTTTTTTACCATTCCACCAGACAATTCTGGAATGATGGACATTTTTCTTAATCCCTCGTGAGGCATTTAGTTTAACAGAAAGATTTTAATTTTTTCTTATTTATCGCTTAGGATTTGTTTAATAGTGAAGTTTGCAAAATTCACCAATGCAAGCTCAATGTGAGCTGAAGAGTCAATTGATTCTCAATTTAGGGCAATTAGTTCCGAAATAATACAAACAGTCACAGCATCTCATATATAAGTGGATACAAGAAAAAATTACCTCAGATGGTGAAAAACATTTTATTTTTCAGGAACTGACAAAAGAAATCTCCAATGCACACTGTCAAAGAATTCCATAGGTAGATTGAACAACACTCCACTGGAACACTATTGTGAATATAGTATGATAAATAGATTTACCACACAGAGTTGTGATATGTCAATGAAAGAAATGTCCTCTAAAGCATCATTGTACAAAACTTGATTCACAGATCAGAAATATAGGTATCAGTTGGGAGTGTGGTATAAATTCAGAATCTTATGCCTCACCTGAAACCTACTGCATCAGAATCTGGATTTTATTAATGCTCAATCTTCTCCTTTAAAAAAAAAACACATTCCAGTATGCATGATTTCAATCATAGTTTAGATGAAACTCTAACTTAGTACAACTAACTAGCCAGGGATTTTTTTCAGTAATTTTGAAATGAATATCTATTTTGAGTCTCCTGTCAGAAGCCAAAGCTGCATATTATTAATTTCATTAACTGATACCTTGATAATCACATTTATGTTTAATTTTTGTAGAAATGTCATACAGTACATATGTATACATTGTTATATTCAGTTTATAATACATATTATCAAAGATAGTGCCAGTAATAAATATGACCATTTTAAGTTATATTGCAATACTTTTTGACTGACAGAAAAATAATGAAGGAAATACGTTGATGAAAGTTAGACTTGGTCTATCTATGATCAGTGAATACAGCAAAATTTCAAAAGTACAAACAAATACAATGAACAACAGCCAGGAGGGAAGGTAAGAAAATGCCCCTAAAGACATCCAGATGCATTGCAATAGCTTTTCTGAAAGCGTGGTCTAGGAACCAGTTGTTTTAGTTACCTGTGATAAATACGAAGATTCTGTCTTCACCACTAAGCTTACTGAAGCAGCCTTTGAAAGTGGAATCCCTGAATTCTGCATTTTACTTCCCCTGGTGATTTACATGCATATTACATTTGTCAATAATTAATTTCAATAAAATATAGATTCATAAATCTATATCTTATTTTGTGTTATGGAAAACTTAACCTATATCCCCATCATTAATAGTTGATTGAAAAAGAATTAATATTCTCAGGCCAGTAATGATGCAAACATGTCTATAAAAATTCTTAAAATACCACTTCAACAGGCATTATAAGAGACTATCTAATGACTTTTTCCCTGTACATAAACTCTGCTTCTTTCTACTGTTTTCACTTTATGAACTTTATGAGAATATACTGTTCTGTGCGTTCCTACTGGGAGAAGAGAATAAATTGCCTGAGTTCTTTGCTTTTTATAGTAGCTACTCTTTCACAACTCTACTTTCAATTTGGGTGAACACTGCAGGAAAGTTTCAGGGATATGATACTCCTATTAGACCAAATAGTTTTTAGAACTGCCACTTAAAAGGAGGGAGAATAAACCTATGGAAACTTGGTTTTAGTTCCAACATTTTTGTCAATTAATGTAACCTTGGGGAATATCATTTAACTTCTCTCAGCCCATTTGAAACATAAAACAGCTAGACTGGAATATTCCTAATGTTCTTTCCATTTCTAGAAGTTTATAATTCCAAATAAATTATATTTAAATCTTGATTTTAACAAATATTGTTTTAAAGAAACTAATACCAATAGCTCAATATGAATTATTTTCTACAGTTCTTAAACAACTCACTAGAGAAGACTCTTTTATGATAATTTATATTAAAAATTTATGGTGCAGACTTTTGCAGATAACTCTCTTTGAGCAACATATTCACATCCAATTAATTGCTTGGCTACATTACTAGTGGAATTTTTCTGCTACCAAAGATGTCAGATTCTCCCAACAGCAACATCTTCGGCAGTTTATAGGGAGCACAAATTTGCAACCTCACATCTATACACCACTGAGATGTAGATTGTGTTTCTTTATCTTTTAATGGTTATGTATACCTTCAAGTTAAGTATCCCTCCAATAATCTGGATATATAGCTATTCTAAGTATAACATTTTAGCAAACTCCTTTACAAATTCTTTAATTTTAGTTTTCCAAGTATTTTGCATAATATGGTCAGTGGTCAGTAAACTTGAGTTGGAGTCATTGTAACTATAATTAAAGTTAAGTCAGGCTAGAATATGTTGGCTTCACTATTAAGGCCATTCACTAAATATCTTGTAAGAAATAATATTTCAGCGTTTCAGGTGATCTGAAAAGTATTTAGAACACAAAAATATGGTTCCTTAAAGCCCTACAGAATGTGACCTCCTGGCCCTCTGTTGTCTTGTCTCTTACCATAGGCCCCATTGTACATCTGCCCAACCACCACTAACTCCTTGTTTTTCCTTGAAAATGCAGCACTCGGTCTGCCTTAGTCATATTTTCATAGCTTCCATTGTCTGTAACACTCTTTTCCCAGATTGCCTAACTTGCTGTTTAAGACACCATTTTCACTGTGAAAAGGGAACACTTTTATAGTGCTAGTGGGAATGAAAACTAATACAAACACTAGGGACAACAGTGTGGAAATTCCTTAAAGAAACACAAGTAGAACTAGCATTTGATCCAGCTATCCCACTACTGGGTATCTACACAGAGGAAAAGAAGTCATTATAAGAGTGGATAAAGAAATTGTGATAGATACACACAATTGACGACTACTTATATATATCCTTCTCTTGTTTCTGAGAGTCATTCCTCATTCCCCAAAGGTGTTCTAGTTCCTTTTAGTGATCTTTAGACTAAGATCCAGGCTAAATACAAAGACTCATAGTCCCAAAATTATGTGTTTATACACTGATATCTTCAATTTTAATTCATTGTCATTGGTTCTATCTTGCCATTTTATTTTTATATTAATAACTTTTTTCTCTCTTACAGAGAAAACCCTCTCATTCAATATACTTCACTTTCAACATCAATATATTTGCTCATCTTATAATAGTTTAAAAATTGCTTTGCTCATACTAAAATTAAGAAAAAAAAATTAAAAGAATTAAAGATTTGTTTTCTTTTCTCCTGTACTCCAACACCTGTTTATCCCTCCAGTATTGCTATTTATTTATTTATCTTTTGAGACAGAGTCTCGCTGTGATGCCCAGGCTGGAGTGCAATGGCACTATCTCGGCTCACCGCAACCTCCACCTCCTGGGTTGAAGCAATTCTCCTGCCTCAGCCTCCCATGTAGCTGGGATTACAGTCATGTGCCATCATGCCTGGCTAAGTTTTTATTTTTTACTTTTATTTTTTAGTACAGACAAGGTTTCACCATGTTGGCCAGACTGGTCTCAAACTCCTGACCTTGGGTTATCTGCCCGCCTCAGCCACACAAAGTGCTGCGATTACAGGATTGCTATTTATTTAAAATGTTATTGTGATTGATTGGTTTTATTTTATTTCTAGTTTCCTTCTCCTATTTTTCTTAATTATTTAATTTTATTTTTTAAATATGTAGAACATTAACATACTTCCAAAGGCAAAGTTATGCAAATCATTATTCTCAGAAATATGTCACTCTGTCACACTTTTCCTCTATCCCTGTTCACCACTCAATTGTTATAGGTAAGCACATTTATTGTTTTTTGTTTTACCTTAATTTTTTGATGAAGACTACCAAGTAACTTAAACAAATGTACAAGAAACAAACAAAACACAATCACCTTAAAAAGTGGGCAAAGAACTTGAACACTCACTTCTCAAAAGAAGACATACATGAGGGCAAAATATGAAAGAAAGCTCAACATCACTAATCATTAGAGGAATGCAAATTAAAATCACAATGAAATACCGTCTCACGCCAGTAAGAATGACTATTATAAAAAAGTCAAAAAACAACAGATGCTGATGAGATTGCCGAGAAAATGAAATGCTTTTACACTGTTGATGGGTGTGTAAATTAGTTTAACCATTGTGGAAGACGGTGTGACAATACCTCAAAGTTCTAGAGACAGAAATGCCATTTTACCCAGCAATCTACTTACTGGGTACACACCCAAAGGAATATAAATCATTATATTATAAAGATACATGAATGCCTATGTTCATTGCAGTACTATTCACAGTAGCAAATACCTAGAATCAACCTAAATGCCCATCAATGATAGACTGGATAAAGAAAATGTGGTACATATACTTTCCATATATGTGGTACATACATCAATATGTGGTACATATTGATGTTGAAGTGAAGTATATTGAACATGAGGGTTCTCACTGTGAGAGAGAAAGAAGATATTGATATGAAAATGAAAACGGTAAGATAGAACTGATGATAATGAATTAGAATGGAATGGAATAATATGCAGTCATAAAAAAGATCATGTTCTTTGCAGCGATATGCATGGAGCTGGAAGACATGATTCTCAGCAAACTAGCACAAGAACAGAAAACCAAACACCACATGTTCTCACTTATAAGTGGAAGCTGAATGATGAGAACACATGGACACATGTGGGGGGCAACACACTCTGGAGCCTGCCAGAGGGTGTTGGTGGGATGGAGAACATCAGGAAGAATAGCTAATGGATGCTGAGCTCAACACGTACGTGATGGGATGAGCTGTGCAACAAACCACCATGACACAAGTTTACCTATGTAACAAACTTGCACATCCTGCACATGTACCCCTGAAGTTAATATAAAAGTTGAAAAAAAAAAAAAGAATAGCAAGATACACCAGAAAGCCCACCCTGTCCCCATAGTCGCTGTTACCCTCATTCTCTCTCGCTGGCACTGGAGTCTCTAGGCATAGATACCATGTTAGCCATAGGTACATGCATTGTTTAGAGGACTGATTTGCAACTGGTCTTGGAGAAGCAACAGTTAAGCCTCATAAATGTGTCCTGTTCTTTCCCCATGTGCCTGCCTTTTGCCAAACCCTGAATGGAGCAAAGTTCCCTAAAGTGAGCTACACTAGCAACTTCTTCCAAAAGCAACTTGAGAGATTCTTAAAAATGTCTATTTCTACACCTCATTAAGCAATTAGAATCCCTTGGAGTTGGACATAAAATCTGCACTTTTTAAAGTTTTTCAATGGTATACTGATATTGAGAAGCCCTGCAAGAACACTAGACAAGTCTTCCTTAAACTGAACTAGTCATCTAACTAGCTTGGGAAACTTTTAAAAAATAGCTCTCAAGGCCCTATCGCTTTAGAGATCTGAAGGCCTAGGGTTGAGCAGGGAGTCCTGACACAACAAGAGCACACCTGGGGTTGGACCCTTAGTCTGATTTAGAACCATTGCTGCTTGAATCAATAAAATAATTAGTTCACAAGACTTTCCTGGTGTAATTACAAAGGGGTAGCTGAGTTGCAGTTTTATTGAATTACCACAGAAAGATTTTGAAAAACAAAAAGGCAAGAAAAAAAACAAAATAAACTGCTACATGTAGGTTTTTATTATTCTTTTTTTGGTGATACACAAAAAGTCACATACTGTAATTTTCTTCCTTTGAATTTTGCATTTCTCACTTAACAAAATATCCTAGAAGTCACTTCAAAACAGGTTATAGAATTCTTTCTCACTCTTTTGTACAGTTACCTAGTATTCAATTGTTTGGATGTATTATAGTTTACGCAATCAGTCATCTAAAGTTGGACATTTAGTTTCCAATTTTTTTATTATTATACTTTAAGTTCTAGGGTACAAGTGCAGAACATGCAGGTTTGTTACATAGGTATATGCTTGCCATGGTGGTTTGCTGCAGCCATCAACCTGTCATCTGGAGAACTTTCCCAATGTAGCAAGGCAGGCCAACATTCAAATTCAGGAAATACAGAGATCACCACAAAGATACTACTCGAGAAGAGCAACCCCAAGACACATAATCATCAGATTCACAAAGGTTGAAATGAAGGAAAAAATGTTAAGGGCAGCCAGAGAGAAAGGTTGGGTTACCCACAAATGGAAGCCCATCAGACTAACAGCGGATCTCTCTGCAGAAACCCTACAAGCTGGAAGAGAGTGGGGGCCAATATTCAACATTCTTAAAGAAAAGAATTTTCAACCCAGAATTTCATATCCAGCCAAACTAACATTCATAAGCGAAAGAGAAATAAAATCCTTTACAGACAAGCAAATGCTGAGAGATTTTGTCACCACCAGGCCTGCTTTACAAGAGCTCCTAAAGGAAGCACTAAGCATGGAAAGGAACAACCTGTACCAGCCACTACAAAAACATACCAAATTGTAAAGTCCAATAATATTTTATTGCAAATAGTTCTTCATTTAGTAATCTTGTGCATATATACTTCTGCATTTTTAGGAGCCTACCAATAAGGTAAGGTCTAAGTCATATAGCTTTATCAAAGGGAAAATGAATAGGCAATTTTGTTAGTTATCAATGAATTTTTTTCATTCGTGATATAATCACTTTTTACTCTATAGCAATGTATGATGGTGCATATTTCCCTGCAGTCTCACCAACAAACTCTGTTTGAATTTTTGCAAATGTTTGACAAATTGTATATAATTGCTATTTTAAAGAATTTCTCATACTCTGTTGACATCAAAATTTTTCGTATGTTTAGGAGCCACTTTTAAACATCTCAATTATCTGTGTGCATTAGTCCATTCTCACACCACTATGAAGAAATACCCGAGACTGGGTAATTTATAAAGAAAAGAGGTTTTATTGACTCACAGTTCCACATGACTGGGGAGGCCTTAGGAAACTTACAATCATGGTGGAAGGTACCTCTTCACAAGGTGGCAAGAAGAAAATGAGTGCTAGCAGGGGAAATGTCAGTTGCTTATAAAACCATCAGATCTCATAAGACTCACTTATTATCATGAGAACCGGATGGGGGAAGCTGCCCCCATGATTTCATTACCTCCACCTGGTTCTGCCCTTGGTATGTGGATATTATGAAGATCATAACTTAACTAATTCCAGCATTAACCCAAGTGCAAAAGTGCAAAGTCTCGTCTGAGACAAGGCAAGTCCCTTCCACCTATGAGCTTGTAAAATCAAAAACAAGTTAGTTCTTTCCTAGATACAATGGAGGAACTGGCATTGGGTAAATACACCTATTCTAAATGGGAAAAACTGGCCAAAACAAAGGGGCTACAGGTCCCACAATGTCCAAAATCCAATAAGGCAGTCACTTTGTAACCTTAAAGTTACAAAATGTTTTGTTTTGACTCCATGTCTCCCATCCAGGTCACACTGATACAAGAGGTAGGCTCCCATGGTCTTGGGCAGCTCTGCCTCTGTGGCTTTATAGGGTAAATCTCCCCTCCTGGCTGCTTTCATGGGCTGGCATTGTCTGTAGCTTTTCTAGATACATGGTACAAGCTGTCAGTGGATGTATTTTTCTGGGATGTGGAGGACAGTGGTCCTCTTCTCACAGCTCTACTAGGGAGTACCCCAAAGGTGACTCTGTGTGAGGGCTCCAACCCCATATTTCCCTTCTGCACTGCTCTAGCAGAGGTTCTCCACGAGAGCCCCATACCACAGCAAACTTCTGCCTGGACATCCAGGTATTTCTATACATCCTTTGAAATCTAGGTGGAGGTTCCCTAACCTCAATTATAGACTTCTGTACACCTGCAGGCCCAACACCATGTGTAAGCTGCCAAGGCTTGAGACTTGCCCCCTCTGAATCAATGGCATGAGCTGTACCTTGGCCCGTTTCTGCTATGGCTGGAGCTGAAGCAGCTGGGACTCACAGCACCATTTTTTAAGGCTGCATAGAGCAAGCAGGTTCTGTGCCTTGCCCACAAAACTATTTTTCCCTCCTAGGCCTCTGGGCCTGTGATAGGAGGTGTTGCCATGAAGGTCTCTGACATGCCCTGGAGACATTTTTCCCATTTTCTTGGTGATTAACATTCATTTCCTTGTTACTTATGCAAATTTCTGCAACTGCCTTGAATTTCTCCCCGGAAAATGGGTTTTCCTTTTCTATCACATCATCAGGCTGCAAATTTTCCAAATTTTTATGCTCTACTTCCTCTTGAATGCTTTGCCACTTAGAAATTTCTTCTGCCAGATACCCTAAATCATCTCTCTCAGATTCCACGTTCCACAGATCTCTAGGGCAGGGACAAAATGCCACCAGTCTCTTTAGAGTGACCCTTATACCAGTTCCAAACAAGTTCGAGACAACCTCATCCTGGACTTCATTGTTCATATCACTATCAGTATTTTGGTCAAAGCCATTTAACAAGTCTTTAGGAAGTTTCAAACTTTCCCACATCTTCCTGTCTTCTGAGCCCTCCAAGTCTCTAGGAAGTTCCAAGCTTTCCTACATTTTCCTGTCTTCTTTGAGCCACATAAACTGTTCCATCCTCTGCCTGTTACCCAGTTCCAATGTTGGTTCTACTTTTTAGGGTATCTTTATAGCAGCACCCCACTCTTGGTACTAATTTAATGTATTAGTTTATTCTTATGCTGCTGTGAAGAAGTACCCCAGACTGGGTAATTTATAAAGATAAGAGATTTAATTGACTCCCAGTTCTGAATGGTGGAATGGCCTCAGGAAACTTACAATCATGACAGAATTCAACTCTTCACAGGGCAGCAGGAGAGAGAATGAGTGCCAGTAGGGGAAATGCCAGACACTTATAAAACCATCAGATCTCATGATACTCACTCATTATCACAAGAACAGCAATGAGAGAACCATCTCCATGATTCTGTTACTCCCACCTGGTTCTGCCTTGGACATGTGGGGATTATGGGGATTACAATTTAAGGTGAGATTTGGGTGGGGACACAGAGCCAAACCATATCATTGTGTATAAATTTTTGCCTACATTTCTATGACATTTTTTCTATTATTTCAACTATTAATATTTCTTCATATATTAGTAACATTAGACTTGATTTTTGTTTATGGTGTTTTTGGTATGCAAGTTTTTATGTAGTCTTATATGTCATTTGCTTTGTTTTTTTTCTATGTCTATACTTTCAAAATCATGGTTAGAAAGTGTTCTCCAACATAGGTTTATAAAAGTATTTGTCTATATTTTCCTTCAGAATGTGTATTGATTGCTTTTTTATATTTAGACATTTCATACATTTGCAATTAATATTTGTGTATTGAAAGATAAATTGTTTTAAATATTTTGTTAATTAGTTCATTTCTGAATGACGGCCCAGTTGATCCAACATTATTATTTGAAATGACATGTTTGCCTAAGGAATTTGAGATTTCTATATGGAGATGAAACATTTTTTTCTGAAGTTACACTTCTGCTGCATTGGTCTTGTTGTCTTCATATGTTCCAGAACCATATTGATATAATTATAGCTCCTTTTATATTTTCATATTTGCCACAACACATCTTCCATCATAGTCATCTTTTTCAGGGTTTTACTAGATATTTTTGTAAATTTATACATTTATATGAATGCTATTGTCAACTTGTAAGGCACCATTTAAAAAACTGGTATTTTAATTGAGATCATATTAATTTTACCAATTAACCTAGAGGGATAATTCAAATATTTCTTAATTGATTTCTATAGTGACTTTTGATTAATAAAATGTCTTAATTTTGATACAATTCAACAAATCTTTGCTAAAGATTAGTGAAATTTTCATTCTGTTAAAGCACCTTTAACTACTTCAAGATCATAAAGATATTCTTATGTTTTCCCTTAAAATTATTATTGTTTTAATTTTATGTTCACATCTGTAAACCATCTGAAATTAATTTTTTTCTCCATGTATGAAATGAAGAATCAAATACGTTATTTCTGTGTAGGTATCAACTTTATCAGAAATAATTTATTAAAAGTTATTTTATTTTCCTGTATATTGTGCTGCCTAGTCAGGTGATTATATATGTGTGAATAAGTATCTGGATTCTACTATACATTCCATTTGGCAACTTTTTTGTGTGTGCTAATATGACACTGTCTTACTGATTGTTGCCTTGTATTATTTTCTACAATCTAGTTGTGTGGAGAGTTTTTTGTTTTGTGTTTTTGTACTTGCAGTGAATCTAGGGATCAGTTTAGGAAGAAATAACATGTAAGTATTGATGCTTCTTATTAATAAACATGGTATGTCTCCCAAGAATTTGTCTTCTTTGATTTCTCTCAGAAATATCTGCAGTTTTCAGTGTAGTAACCTTGTAGACATTTCTTTAGGTTTTAGATATTTGATGTTTTTTGATGCTTCTGTAAAATAATCATTTGTTTAGTTTTTACTACTCGTGTAAAATTGTAGCTATTATTTTACATTTAACATTAGTAACAATGTTAAATACATTTACTATCCTAATATTTTTTTCTGTAGATTCTTCTGAGTTTTGCACATATAAAATTATATTGTCTATAAAGAATGAAAAGTTAATTTATTCTTTTCAGTTCAACCATTTTGCTATGTTTTCAAGGGACTCTAGCCTATCGCTTCCTTGTTTATAAACAATTTTTCATCTTTATTATTATTGCAATTCTGACTTCATAGTTCAACTTGGGAAATATTTCATTGTTTTTCAATTCTCTGAAGAATAATTGTAAAATTGTTGTAATTTTGTTGTTTAAATTTCAGAAGAATTGGTTTTGAAGATATCTATTCCTGACAGAGAGATCTTAATAACAATTTATTTTTTTAATTCATATGACCATTCAGATTTCTTATTTCTTCTTGCCAATATTTTGTGTTTTTTTATAAATATTGTAAAGCAGCTATTAACATTTTTATCATAGTTAATTGGTCATTTTACTCTTGGGACTTACACAAATTTGCTCTAAAATAGATAATTATGGCTCTCGACTAACCTAACTCTTTTGGTACAAGAGTTGCGTTTTTGTACAGATTTCAGTTGCAACTTTTTGCTTCAGGTGTGCAGTCTTCATCTTCCATCTTTGTATGTGTGGTAAATCCCTTTGGTGAGTTTCCTCCTTTCACCTCTCATGGCTGCACCTGCTTTAGCTTAGCATTCTCGTTTTCAGTGCTTTCTTTGTTACTGACACTGAGTCTTCTCCTATTTTTCTTGTAATCCTAGAACATTGTTCTAAACATTGTGCATGTTACCCACTATTTTCAGCTTTTTGAAAAATACATTTTATGTTATCTTTATATAAAGTATTTATATAAAATTTTATGTATCTTTATACAAATGATACATTTATATGCACATTAAAATAGAGAATGATACACAAAAAAGACTTAACTGTAAGAATTTGTAAGTAAATATGAAGATTAGCATGAAATGGTTACTCTCCTTATTTGATGTTATACTGCTACAGTATTTAAATTGCTTTATAAACAGAAGTACTTATTGACATTGTAAAATCTAAATTTAAATTTTTAATGATTTAAAGTTCTAAAATTAAATTTTCTCAAATTATTCAAACACAATAAAAAATTAATAACACTTTAAGTTTTAAATACAATTTATAGGAATACAATTTTATATGACTAAATTATAAACACTTTGAAGATGAAATTTGTGAACACTCCAATTTGAAGAAAACATTTTAATCATGTTTCATAAAATAATGATATTGGAAAGGAATATAAAGCTCACCAATTGTACTACATTCAAAGCTATGATTTACAGCATTTCAGAAGTCATCACAGAGATTAGAAAAGGACAGGTCTATGGTTATTTGTCTCTCTCTTTCAATTAGCACAGCCCCACTTAATCCTTTTCTTCCTAGACCTTATATTATATTCCAGTTGAAGAATATA
This sequence comes from Homo sapiens, assembly GCF_000001405.40. NCBI lineage: Eukaryota > Metazoa > Chordata > Mammalia > Primates > Hominidae > Homo > Homo sapiens. The sequence goes on along the minus strand of NC_000014.9, from coordinate 42,782,159 downwards.
ATAATATAATCTACAAGATTATGGCTAAACTAGAAAAACATTTATTTGGAACATTGTTAGAACATCTTTTTTCTCCTTGAATTTATGCTTCAATTCCACTTTGACCATAGGATCTGTCCTGATGCGATACTTACACCTGAAAGAGTGACTATCTTCTCGTATTTCTCTGAAACAAAACTATGGATATACATAAATATTTCATGTATTTTATATTGTTGAGCTTATAAATCTAATTTTTTAAAGTTTTATGTAAATATAAAGTATTGTATTTTAACATTTTATGTAGGTTTAAAGTATTTTGAGACTTTACCATGAAAAGTTACTTTATTTAAATGTAGTTTATTTATGTGAAAAGTTTTTCTATTTTTAAAAGTTTTCTAAATTTTGTAAAGTTTTCTAATTTTTAAATTTTTAAGTTTTCAAATTTTTAAAAGTTTTCTAATTTATGTGAAAATTTTTCTAATTTCTAAAATTTTATGAAAGTTTAAACTATTGTATTTTAAATTTTTATATAAGTTTAAAGTATTGTGAGACTTTGCTAATACTTATCAGTTGACAATTGATCAAAATATAATAAGTACAACTAATTTAGATAGTTTATAAATGTCTACATTTCATACTGGAATTTCCTCACTTATTGAAATAGATACAGTAATTTGTTCTCATGGCTTATATATTGAGATGACAATTTCTAAGTGCTATAATGTGGAAGCACTGAAGAACTTTTCACATAAGTAAACTACATTTAAATAAAGTAACTTTTCAGAAAAGTCTCACAATACTTTAAATTTCTGATTTATATTCCAAAGTCACAAGGTGATTAGTCATCAGAAATTATTTTAACAATCCATCAACTGACAACTAGATTAAATCTTCTTCAATTATATTGAAAACAATGAACTAGAAAAATCCTGTCCTGCATATTGATTTGTTTAATGTCACTAAACAGGCATTAAAGTAAAATTAAACACCAAGATTTGGACTTGCCTTTTTATTGCATTCCAGTGGTGCTTAAGCTGAGAGAAGTAATCCCCATCAAGCTAGCACTTACTTTCTTCACAGAATTGGAAAAACTATTTTAAAGTTCATATGGAACCAAAAAAGAGCCCGCATAGCCAGGAAAATCCTAAGCAAAAAGACCAAAGCTGGAGGCATCATACTACCGGACTTCAAACTATACTATGAGGCTACAGTAACCAAAACAGCATGGTGTGGGTATCAAAACAGATATATAGACAAACGTAACAGAACAGAGGCCTCAGAAATTACACCACACGTCTACGACCATCTGATCTTTGACAAACCTGACAAAAACAAGCAATGGGGAAACGATTCCCTATTTAATAAATGGTGTTGGGAAAACTGGCTAGCCATATGTAGAAAGCTGAAACTGGAGCCTTTCCTTACACCTTATACACAAATTAACTCAAGATGGATTAAGGACTTAAATGTAAGACCTAAAACCATAAAAACCCTAGAAGAAAACCTAGGCAATACCATTCAGGACATAGGCATGGGCAAAGACTTCATGACTAAAACACCAAAAGCAATGGCAACAAATGACAAAATAGACAAATGGAATCTAATTAAACTAAAGAGCTCCTGCACAGCAAAAGACACTATCATCAGAGTGAACAGGCAACCTACAGAATGGGAGAAAATTTTTGCAATCTACCCATCTGGCAAAGGGCTAATATCCAGAATCTACAAAGAACTTAAACAAATTTATAAGAAAAAAACAACCCCATCAAAAAGTGGGTAAAGGATATGAATAGACACTTCTCAAAAGAAGACATTTATGCAGCCAACAGACACATGAAAAAATGCTCATCATCACTGGTCATCAGAGAAATGCAAATCAAAACCACAATGAGATACCATCTCATGCCAGTTAGAATGGTGATCATTAAAAAGTGAGGAAAAAACAGATGCTGGAGAGGATGCAGAGAAATAGGAACGCTTTTGCACTGTAGGTGGGAGTGTAAATTAGACCAATCATTGTGGAAGAGAGTGTGGCGATTCCTCAATGATCTAGAACTAGAAATACCGTTTGACCAGTGATCCCATTACTGGGTATATACCCAAGGATTATAAATCATGCTACTATAAAGACACATACACACATACGTTTACTGAGGCACTATTCACAATAGCAAAGACTTGGAACCAATCCAAATGTCCATCAATGATAGACTGGATTAAGAAAATGTGGCACATATACACCATGGAATACTAAGCAGCCATAAAAAAAAATCATGTCCTTTGCAGGGACATGGATGAAGCTGGAAACCATTATTCTTAGCAAACTATCACAAGGACAGAAAACCAAACACCGCATGTTCTCACTCATAGGTGGGAGGTGAACAATGAGAACACATGGACACAGGGCGGGGAACATCACACACCGGAGCCTGTCAGTGGGTGTCTGGGGAAGGGATAGCATTAGGAGAAATACCTAATGTAAATGATGAGTTGATGGGTGCAGCAAACCAACAAGGCACATCTATACCTATGTAACAAACCTGTATGTTGTGCACATGTGCCCTAGAACTTAAAGTAAAATAAAGAAAAAGAAAGAATAATTTTATTTTATTCTTGGCATCAAAGATGGAATTATATTAGTTTTTTTCTCTAAATGCGTATGTATGCATTTAGACACAAACTCAAATTTATGGAATATAAATTAACTTCAAAGTTTATTGCAGCCAATGATGTTCCAAATATTTCCTAGAGAGAAATTTGGAGTGTGGTTGGATGCATCTGGTGGCAATGTTGGGATGTGGGAACAGGGACAGGGGACATAGTCTAAAGGGATTTTTAAGTATATAGCTTTTCACCGTCTCAGAATGCACTTAGTATTTAGTAGTTGCAGAGGTAGAAACAGTCATTTCCAAAACCTATGACTCATCAACAAAATGTGCTTATTTACTGTTGGCTGAAAAAAAAAAATATGCTCCTTCAGCAAGTTCCAGTGTATGTAGTAACCAAATGTGAATACTATTAGCGTTCCAGTGTATGTAGTAACCAAATGTGAATACTATTAGCATTTTTTTTTTTTTTTGGCAAGCTGCATGTAGTCACATAAATACCTGGAGGGTGGCCAGGTATTTAGTTGCCCCACTGATTAATCAAACTAAATTATACAGGCATTTAGCTGTTGAACTGTCTAAGAGCTAGTGATTCAGTAATGTGTTTCAAACATATGGGAAAGCTCAAATCAACATTTATATATCAAACAAGTAGTAGTGTTAAATTAAAACCTCCAAATTATAATCAATTTTTTCTGGTTATTTTGAAATGAAATTCTATATGACTCAAATACTTTAAATTACATATGAGAAAATAAATGAAAAAAAAATTTCAAAATGAAATCTACTATAGCTCCTTATGACTGAGATATGGTTAAATTATTTGTAAAAATAACTGCAATTATCCTTGTACCTTCATGTGCAGTTTCTCCCATCAAAAAGTGTTGTCTAATTCCCAATTATTTGAACTGGGATTCAGCCTTCTTTAGAATATGGCAACTACCATATGAGTAAGATGACGCTAGCCTGTTGGAGAAAAAATAAGTTGTAAATGATAAAGCAATTTTAGACACTTTAGTGAACCCCAACTAACCTAGCAGCTGACTACAGATGCATGATAGCCCGGTTGAAATCAGGCAGGTCAAACTGAGCTGAACACAAATTGTCAAACTATGTAATAGTAGGATAAATAAATGTTTGTTGTTTTAATACAGTAAGTTTTCACCAGGCTTATTATGCAGTATTATCAATGGCAATAGACACCTGAAAGAGAGGAGACTGTTTGTTCCACTGACCTTGTTTCAACACATAGGCCTTGCTAAATGGAGGTCAGAGAAAAAAATTCACACACACTATTACTGTGCATGTAGAAGAACTAAATATGACCTTTTTCAGGCAAAGATTCATTTTTCACAATAAAAAACTTAATTTAAATTAATAATTTAACTACTAAATTGAATTAAAGCTAATTAATTTGATATAATGAACAAGAGTTTTTAAAGACACAGAAGCTACGTAAAAAAATTACAGCAAGGAATGACAAGAAATAAAGTGTAGTAAAATCTAAAGAGGGAGAAAGAACAGATGCAGATACCAAGACGAAAAGGCAGGAGGCCTTCTGGAAGAAGACCATAACAACACTTCATACAACAGTAATTTTATTTCTGAAAACAGAAATTTTATATTCTAAAACATATAAAAGAAAACTGACAATTTATTAAAAACGTGATAAAAATGAGCTCACTAGATAATAAATTAGGCTTTGCAAAAAAGATTGCAGTATATCATCAGTGTCTTTTCACAGAGTAATAGCAGAGTTGAAATAGGTGAGACAGTGCTTCAATTAGGTACCCTTGTAACATAATACTTATAATATTGTTCTGAAAATTCTAGTTAATTTTACTAGACAAGATAAAGGTAAGAAATATAAATACTGGAAAGAAATGGATAATATGATTATTTTCAGACAATATGGAAATATTTAGAAACACTATAGTGTCAACAAACATTATGTAAGCAGTACACATTTCAATAAGGCAATTACACAAAAATTTGTATAATAAGATTTTTAATACGTATAAAAATACATACAAATTTAAAAATATATTAAAATCGCATGACACTATCAAGTGACTTTAGACAGACCCTCTTCTAGATGCTTAAAACTCATAGGTGTTGTGATAGCCACTCTTAAAATCCCCACTTTGCAGGTGAGAAAACTGAGGCTCATGAAATTTAAATGAGCTGTCACTGCATAACTATTAGTAGCTACAAGATTCCAACCCCAAGCAGATTAATTCTAGAATCTGTTCTTTAAACTTTTTCCTATACTCTCCTCTGATCCCAATCACAGGAGTAACACAAAATATGAAACACTAAGGCCAAACTAGTTTTCCAGGATTCATTAAGAAAAATATAAAATTATGAAAATAAAATAAGAAACATGGAAGTCATGGACCATATCGTTTTTAATTTCCCATTGATATAATTAGCACAGTGCCAGGCACCTGGTAAGAACTTAATAAAGTATAGTGAATACATAAACTATGTTATTTTGTATTGGAGAGATGTTGCAAGAAAACAAGCATTTCCATTTCCTGTTGGTAGGGTGTTAAGTTTGAGTAACTCTTTGTAGGAAAATTGGTGTTAATAATTACAGTTAAATATATATATGTATGTACTTTTTGACCAGAAAATTCTCTGCTACCATTTATTCTACACACATAATGTAGACATGTTTTTGGCAGCAAAGAATTGAAAACTTGATAAATCATGCCTAAAAAACTAGGGATTTATGTTTTCCTCAGATAATTGGACATAGCTATTATTTAGTGTTGGTAAATTAGTTCAAACTCTGACCAGTTTCAAGATTTTCTCTCATTCTTTTCTGCCATCAATAGTGTCTTGTATTTTTCTCCTTGTACTTGTTTCTTCATGATTTCAGTATGCCCATCTAATCTGCAGATGTAAAATGTGCATTCCAGGAAGGAAGAAGGAGGATGGAACAGCAGCACACCTATGACATCTCTCAGAAAGTAAAGTATCTTACTGAAAATCTGCCCAACAGATTTTATGTTAAGTCTGATGTTTAGAATGGAGTTATCCTAATTGCAAGAGAGGATAGAAAAGTACTTATCTGATGTTAAGCATTTATTCAATAATGTTTGCCACACTCTCATCATTACTGCAATATATACATGCAAACCAGCTAGCCATGTACTATCAATATGACAATAAAAGAAAAGCTGGGAAAACATCTAAATAACTATCAATAAGACATTAATCAATTATCATATCACATGTACTGGAAAAGAAAGATAAGGAATAAGATCTGCCCCTCATCAAGCACTTTAGATTTTGGGTGAAATGTCAAAGTAGCTGAACATATCTTTAGTTATCATGGTGGTAGAAAAGTCTAAAAATAGGTGAAAATTATAAAATATTAAAATATATAAAAGAAAATATCATATTAGTTATGTTTTGAAACGTACTCCTTTTAGCAAAACTGAAGACATTCACATTTTAGCTCTTAAGAGTGCAGACATTACAATGATCTAATAATTTGTGTGCTAGTGTGGTGTAGGCTTTGGTGTACTACCAGAGACCTGAGTGTTACTAGCTGCTAAACATAGGGCACTGATGTGATTAGTGAAGCAATAATACACATACTTTTTTTTCTGTCTTCATCTTCCTCATCCCCAGAACTTTTTCTTTCTTCATTTTTTGTTAGCTAAGTTTTCTAGGTTAACATGCTCTCCTGTCTGCATATTTTCATTTCCCAGTTTTGATCAGCAGTGTTTGTTATATCAATATTTATGAACCAAACAGAAGAAAGAGACACGTAACATTGTATTGCTGTTGTTTTAAAAAATTAAAACTTTTCTTCTCATCTATAAATATTTCAACCCATATTTAACTAGTCATAGAAATATAGATGCCTAAGTCCGTATCTTAGCATCATAAATTCATGGTAATCTGAGTCATAGTCCATTAGTTGTGATTTATGGATCTCATTAAATATAGCTATAGCAAATTTTTTCTGCAAAGAACGGTTAATAGTAAACGAATTTACTTTGAAGAAATTTAAATTCTCTATAAATAACACATCTATGATATTTCAGCACTTCTGCTTCTATAATGCTAATTAGCAGACCAAATCACAGTATGTGTTGAAATCTCAAACAACTTGTTTAACATTCTTCGTCACAAGTTAAAACAATGCAAATAAGTTATAAAGCAATGCAAATAAGTTATAAAAAGCTGTTAAAATCTCATTAAAATTCTGAAATCAAATAAGCCTAAGTTTGGGAAAAATATAATACAAATATATCTGAAATCTAACTTTTCCCTAATTTTTAAGTGAATAATATGATCCTAACTAGAGTCATACAAATAATATTGCAGGATTTTTGTTATTATTATACTTTAAGTTCTGGGATAAATGTGCAGAACGTGCAGGTTTGTTACATAGGTATACATGTGCCATGATGGTTTGCTGCATCCATCAACCCATCATCTACTTTAGGGTATTTCTCCTAATGCTATCCCTCCCCTTGCTCCCGCAACAGGCCCGGTGTGTGATGTTTCTCTCCCTGTGCCATATATTTTCATTGTTCAACTCCCACTTATGAGTGAGAATATGCAGTGTTTGGTTTTCTGTTCCTGTGTTAGTTTGCTGAGAATGATAGTTTCCAGCTTCATCCGTGTCCCTGGAAAGGACATGAACTCATTCTTTTTTTATGGCTGCATAGTATCCCATGGTGTATATGTGTCACATTTTCTTTATCCAGTCTATCACTGATGGGTATTTCAGTTGGTTCCAAATCTTTGCTATTGTTACTAGTGCTGCAATAAACATACATTTGCATGTGTCTTTATAGTAAAATGATTTATAATCCTTTGGGTATATACCCAGTAATGAGATTGCTGGGTCAATAGATATTTCTAGTTCTAGATCCTTGAGGAATTGCCACACTGTCTTCCACAATGGTTGAACTAATTTAATAACTAATTTAATTTACACTCCCACTAACAGTGTAAAAGTGTTCCTATTTCTCCACATCCTCTCCAGCATCTATTGTTTCCTGACTTTTTAATGAATGCCATTCTAACTGGCATGAGATGGTATCCCATTGTGGTTTTGATTTGCATTTCTCTAATGACCAGTGATGATGAGCTTTTTTTCATATGTTTGTTTGCCACATAAATGTCTTCTTTTGAGAACTGTCTGTTCATATCCTTTGCCCTTTTTTTTTGATGGGGTTATTTGGTTTTTCTTCTTGTAAATTTGTTTATGCTCTTCATAGATTATGAATATGAGTCTTTGTTAGATGGATAGATTGTAAAATTTTCTCCCATTCTGTAGTTGCCTGTTCACTCTGATGATAGTTTCTTTTGCTGTGCAGAAGCTCTTCAGTTTAATTAGATACCATCTGTCAATTTTGACTTTTGTTGCCAACTGCCTTTGGTGTTTTAGTCATGAAGTCTTTGCCCATGCCTATGTCCTGAATGGTATTGCCTAGGTTTTCCTCTAGGGTTTTTATGGTTTTAGGTCATATAGTTAAATCTTTAATCCATCTTGAGTTAATTTTTGTATAAGGTGTAAGGAAGGGGCCCAGTTTATGCTTTCTGCATATGGCTAGCCAGTTTTCCGAACACCATTTATTAAATAAGGAATGTTTTCCCCATTGCTTGTTTTTTTCAGGTTTTTCAAAGATCAGATGGTTGTAGATGTGTGGTATAATTTCTGAGGCCTCTGTTCTGTTCCATTGGTCTATATATGTGTTTTGGTACCAGTACCATACTGTTTAGGTTACCGTAACTTTGTAGTATAGTTTGAAGTCAAGCACCATGATGCCTTCAGTGTTATTCTCTTTGCTTAGGATTGTCTTGGCTATATGGGCTCTTTTTGGTTTCATATGAAATTTAGAGTAGTTTTTTCTAATTCTGTGAAGAAAGTCAATGGTAGCTTATTGGGAATAGCATTGAATCTATGAAATACTTCGGGCTTATGGCCATTTTTACAATATTGATTCTTCCTATCCATGAGCATGGAATGTTCTTTCATTCATTTGTGTCTTCTCTTATTTTCTTAAGCAATGGTTTGTAGTTCTCCTTGAAGATATCCTTCACATCCCTTATAAGTTGTATTCCTAGGTATTTTATTCTCTTTGTAACAATTGTGAATGGGATTTCACTCATGATTTGGCTCTCTGTTTGTCTGTTCTTACTGTATAGGAATGCTTGCGATGTTTGCACATTGATTTTGTATCCTGAGATTTTGCTGAAGTTGCTTATCAGCTTAAGGAGTTTTTGGGCTGAGAAAATGGGGGTATTCTAAATATAAAATCATGTCATCTGCAAGCAGCAATAATTTGATTTCCTCTCTTCCTAATTGAATACTCTTTGTTTCTTTTTCTTGCCTGATTGCCCTGGCCAGAACTTCCAATACTATGTTGAATAGGAGTGGTGAAAGAGGGTATCCTTGTCTTGTGCCATTTTCAAGGAGAATGCTTCCAGCTTTTGCCCATTCAGTATGATATTGGCTGTGGGTTTGTCATAAATAGCTCATTATTTTGAGATACATTCCATCAATTTCTAGTGTATTTAGCATGAAGCAGCGTTGAATTTTATCAAAGGCCTTTTCTGCATCAATTGAGATAATCATTTGGTTTTTGTCATTGATTCTGTTTATGTGATGGATTAAGTTTATTGATTTGCGTACGTCGAACCAGCCTTGCATCCAGGGATTAAGCAAACTTGATTGTGGTGGATAAGATTTTAATATGCTGCTGGATTCAGTTTGCCATTATTTTACTGAGAATTTTCATATCAATGTTCATCAGGGATATTGGCCTGAAATTTTCTTTTTTTGTTGTGTCTCTGCCAGGTTTTGCAAACAGGATGATGCTGGCCTCATAAAATGAGTTAGGAAAGAGTCTCTCTTTTTCTAGTGTTTGGAATAGTTTTAGAAGAAATGTTACCAGCTACTCTTTGTACCTCTAATAGAATTCAGCCATAAATCCATCTGGTTCTCTTTTTTTCTTGTTGTTGTTGTTAGGCTATTAATTACTGCCTCAATTTCAGAACTTGTTATTGGTCTATTCAGGAATTCGACTTCTTCCTAGTTTAGTCTTGCGAGGGTGCATTTGTCCAGGAATGTATCCATTTCTTCTAAAATGTCTAGTTTATTTGCATAGAGGTTTTTATAATATTCTCTGATGGTAGTTTGTATTTCTGTGGAATCAGTGGTGAAATCCCCTTTATCGTTTTTTATTGTGCCTATTTGATACTTTTCTCTTTTCTTCTTTATTAGTCTGGCTAGAGGTATACCTATTTTGTTAATGTTTTCAAAAAACAAGCTCCTCGATTCATTGATTTTTTTAAGGATTTTTTGTGTGTCTCTTTCAGTTCTGCTCTGATCTTAGTTCTTGTCTTTCACTAGATTTCGAATTTGTTTGCTCTTGTTATGATTTCTGTTATTTTTCATTTGCTGAGGAGTGTTTTTCTACTGATGATGTGGTCAATTATAGAATAAATGCTATGTGGTGCTGAGAAGAATGTATATACTGTTGATTTGGGGTGGAGAATTCTGCAGATGTCTATTACATCTGCTTGGTCCAGAGCTGAGTCCAAATCTTCAATATCCTTGTTAATTTTCTGTCGCGTTGATCTGTCTAATATTGACAGTGGGGAATTAAAGTTTCCAACTCTCATTGTGTGGCAGTCTCAGTCTCTGTAGGTCTCTAAGAACTTGCTTTATGGATCTAGGTGCTCTTGTATTGGGCGCATATATATTTAGGATAGTTAGCTATTCTTGTTGCATTGATCCCTTTACCATTATGTAATGCTCTTCTTCATTTTTTTTTTTTATCTTTGTTGGTTTAAAGTTTATTTTATCAGAGACTAGATTGCAACCCTTGCTTTTTTTGGTTTCCTTTTGCTTGGTAAGTCTTTCTCCATCCCTTTATTTTGAGCTTATGTGTGTCTTTGCATGTGCGATTTCACAAGGAAATTTCAGTTGCAATGAAATCATACTTACCTAGTGTGATAGCTGTTGTTTTATGATTCAAAAACATTGATTGTCTTTAGTTTTTTCTTTGGGAGTACTTTATTTCACTACTCTTTGGAGGTTGAATTTCTCAATATGACTCACTTTGCCTAAAATAGTGTTAGGGAATATGACACATGAACATATCCAAGCAGAGGCTATATGTTCTTGCATTGATCAGTTTGTTTTCCCTTGTGCTACTGTACACAGATATAAAAGTTTCATGCCAAAGATAGAGTGTGGCTTTTTTTTGCTTGAGCCCTGAAACGTTAAGACACATGGAACATATTTAGGGCGAACCCATGGCTTGGGTATAAGTCTAACTGATCACCTTAGAACATACCAGAGTCAAGCAGAGATGCAGCTGAACCATATATCTATGAACACAAAGTAAGTGGTTGTGCTTAAGATAACTATTTTCCAGGTCGTTTGTTATGCATCATTGCTAAAGCAAAAAGATAACATATACAAATGGTTTGCATCCCAAGTTGGTGAATAAGGAAAACATTATGCATAATCAAAATAATTCTTGGAATTCCTTCTGTCACTATTAAAACACATTGAAGTTAGCTTTGTGTAAACATCCTTGTAATGTATTTACATATATATACACATACATATGTATATTTATTTATTTATATAAATGAATATTCCCAAAGTACATAAAAGTATTTATTTGTAAACTATAAATTCATAGTGCTTCATTTTAAACATTAGTGGTGTTCAGCCTATGGAAGAGACTAGAATAATAAACACTGAAAGAAGAGCATGGCTTTTGTCTCATGATAACTCTTAGGCATAATTTCGTTTGGTAGGACTGCCTCCCTAGTACAATGGTTATATTCCTCTTTTTCTTCATCCTATGATTTGGGTTGAATATGCATATTAGAACTTCCCTGAATAACTCTGCAACTAATATAAGATCACTACATATGTACCTAGTTTTTCATCGTGTGTTGAAATTTTTAACTGAACAAAAATATGTGCACACTCAATAATGTAATAATAGTTTTATAACTGGTATAACTGCCACAAATTATATATCCAATTACAGTGAAATTTTAGATTTTTTTAATTTTGTTTGTTTCTTTTCTGATATGAATGATCTATTTTCTGGTAATTGCCTTTCCTGCTTCACATAATTCCAATGTCTTGTTTATTCATTGGTTTGTTCATTCATTTATTCAGTTAGGAAATAGAGAATTTGTGTAATCTAGAGATACAACCACTACAGTTAAGAACACTAAGGACATCTGAATTTAAAAATATGTATATAGCTGAAGAATAATAGTTAGTGATACTGAACATACATATGAAAAACAGAATGTAGCAAGCATAAAATAATTAAGTGACATGGGGGATTATATTAAATGGTTAGAACATCTATTCATTGAAGTTTAGGTGTAAAGAAGACAGAGAATGAAAATAATGCAATACCTAAAGAAATAATAACTAATTTTAAGACTATGAAAAATATAAATCCAAATACATTGTGCAAAAGTACAGCAGGATAAGTAAACATACATTTATATACATATTATTGAATGCTAAAGAAAGTGAGAACATCTTTATAACACAGAGAACAACAACAAAACAGATAACCAAAAACTATGGTCAAATATATACTATGGAATCTCCAACAATAAAAATGGACATTAAATGACATAGGATAATGTCTAGCTTCCACTTTAGAATAGTTTACTCAGAAAAAAATATTAAGAATGAGAGTAAAATAAGGATATTCAAGTTTAATACAATGAGGGAGTTAAGTATCTGAATTTTAAATTTATTGAAATTGACAAATATATGCAATCACCCCGTGCTGATCTATAAACATAATATAATTTTTATCAAAATAATGATATAGCATGTTATGGAACAAACAAGATGTTTATAATATGCCATGAGGATCAAGAGTAGGAAGACAACTAGTCTGAACATTAAAATAGCACTTAAAATGAGCAAGTTGTTAGTGGAGGGAATCTTTGCAGAATATAAAGATATTATGAAGTTCTAGTAATTAACACAGTGTGGTATTGACACAAAGAAATGAAATAGTAAACAGTCCAAAATTAGACTTTTTTGTATATGTAAATTTGATTTGACATAAGTAGGAAAAGATGGTTTATTTGATTATTTTGGTGAGAAATTGGTTGTTAATAAAGAAAAAATGAAACTGAATCTCTGTACATTTTATCATATAATCTTAGATGAATGTAAGAAGTGAATATGAAAGGCATAGTTTTTAACATTTAGATGAAAATGTAATGTTTACATAATATCTTAATGACACAAAATAATTAAGTAAAAATCAGTAAGAGGGATGTATGGAATAAATTTCTAGGGCTCAGAGATTGTCTGGAGACATTTGATCTCCAAGCAGCCAAAATTGCGAGTGAAGATCCTTGGTGTTCACAGGAAGCATTCAGTGAAGAATGCAGGCTTTGATATTGTGTGTTTGAGATGACCTGAAAGTTGATATATAACAGAGATATATTAAAGTAGAATTATAATAGTAAAAGTTTTGGGTAAAGTATTAATTTAGAAGTATCTGTGCATATATGTAATTTAAATATAAACCACTAGCTAAAATCACTTAAACACAGAGATAATTAGAGGAGAAAATATCTGTAGCCAAAGCTCTTGTGCACTAAAATACACAGAGAGATTTTCTGTAGGGTGAGGAGTTAAGGAAAGAAAACTGAGGCAGAGCAAAAGTTCTTACAGCTAAAAACTAAAAGAATGTGGTGGATTGGAATCCTGAAGAGAAATAAAAGGGTGACAAGCAATCATCTCAAAAAACAGTAAGAAAAAAATAGAAAACTAACAGTTCCTCCACCCTATGCCAGTCAATTTGAATTTGACCTTCAAAAAAATATAAGAAAACAAGGCTGCACAAGACATTTGACTTAAGTGTCAAGGGTCAAACCTATTTATATTTGGTGATAAATACAGCAAGGAAGGCAAGACAATAATTGAGCATGTTGGAAGCTACATAATTTATTACATATATATATACCTACTAGAGTTTAATTTTGTAAACATAATACTTTATCACTGATGGCACTTAACCGTATTTATCATCTGGAACTTTGTAAAGAAGCCAATTACTCACAGAGGCAGGTTCTGTGTATTATTATATAATTTGTCTCTTGTAATGTAACTTTATAAAATGGAGCAGGTGATTTAGATTGACAACTTACTAGCGTAAAATTTGTTGGTGCTAATAATAACACAACGACTCTCCTAAGAAGATAGATTGTACAAAGTTGTTTATTTCTACTACTATAAAGGATGCTACAGAAACTATTATCTCTTACCTGAAAGATCCTTTAGAAAAAGTCATCTGGAGATAAATATTTTAATTTTACAGTCTAAAGAACCATTTTTTCACTTTTCTCTACATGCAGATATTGTTCAGTCTCTCAAGGTTCCCTTTATCTTGGTTTATTGGAACAATAACCAAAACAGATGAAATAAGATATAACCTTCAGTTTTCTTGGTGGTCACCTACATACCTACTTGAAATGTTCATCACATTCAGAGACCCATGAGAGGGTTTTGATCTAAGCATGAAGAAAGTTACTTTGTTTCATTCATTTTAGTGTTTTATCCACTGTAACTAAGATGTTAGCTTTATAGCATTTATGAGATTTTCCCTGTTTTAAAACCTGCTTAGAAATATTATCTAACACTTAAAACATCAAAAGGGAACAGTATTATATATAGGCAACTTAAAGTAAAATGAAAACAATCTATTTTCAGGCTTCTTGCATATGTAAAAGTAAAATGTAAGACAGTATGTGCACACAATCTTTTTGGGAAAAAGGATACCTCTAAACAATTTCTGCAACAAAGAATAATAATAATAAGATGTCAAATTGATAGGGCATATATAAAATGGGAGCTTAGAGGGACATTTAAGACTTTAGATATTGTATTAGAAAGAAAAAGCTATAATGTTAATGACATGAATTTCTATAAATCTGAAAATGGTGAAGTCCATATAAAAAGAAGTAAATAAAGAAAACAATAAAAGTTAAGTAAATAATAGACAACTGTAAATACTCACTAAAGTAAAAATTTGTTTTTGAAACAATTACTAAAAATAGTAAAGCTCTACCAGGATTGCTCAGTTAAAAAGATATACTTGTTACCAATATCAGAAATGAAACAAAGTAAATATGTACTGATTCTATGTAATACATGAGATTATAAGAAGTTTTTATAGAAAACTTTCTAGCAATAAATATGATAATTTAAATAAAATAGATCATTTTTGAAAGACAAACAATAAAGTAAGAATAAAAACAGAACTTAAATAGCTCAATATACCTGAAAGAAATTGAAATTTAAAACCTTTTTATAATAAAAATTCCATATGTAGACAACCTTGCTGGTGGATTTTGTCAAAGATGTGAGAAAGAAATGATACAGATCCAATACAAAAACCTCTCCAAAAAAGAGAAGGGGGAAACTTGTATGAGATTCACAGGAATCTTATTTCAAGTCCTGACAAGCATCCTTAATATAATATTAGCTGATTGAATTCATTTATATATAAATAATAATACACTGTAAAAAGAATACTTTCACAATGATTGCCATATTTGTAACATTCTAAAAATTTTCAATGAATACAACACATTATTATGGAATAAAGGAGGAAAAACAAATGACTGGATCATGATACATAGAATAAAAG
Organism: Homo sapiens; assembly: GCF_000001405.40. Taxonomy (NCBI): domain Eukaryota; kingdom Metazoa; phylum Chordata; class Mammalia; order Primates; family Hominidae; genus Homo; species Homo sapiens. The sequence continues at coordinate 42,766,876 of NC_000014.9, read as the reverse complement.
TTAATAAAATTTTAACATCCACTTACGATCAAACTAATCAAATGAGTTTATGAAAACATAAAAATATCATATATAGAAGTGAAATTGGGGGTATCACTGGTAAATTCTACAAAACATTTAAAGAAGTATTAATATCAATATTTAATGGAGTCTTCCAGACAAAAGGGGAGGAAAGCACCCAAACTCAGGGTCTATATTATTCTTTTAGTCAAGCCTGACAGAGATATCATGAGACAGAAAAACACATTAAAAAAAAAACTACACAACAATAATCCTCATGAATATAGACAAAAAAAAAAAAACTTAACAAAAAACTAACAACACAAGTCCAGTAACATAAAAAAGGATTATACATCAAAAGTCATTAGGTTTTATTATAATTAAACAAGGTTGGTTTAACATCCTAAAATAAATTAATGTAATACATCATCCTAATAGAATAAAACATCATAACCTGTTTTAAAAAGTGCATCTTTTCTATATACCAAAAATGTCCAATCTGAGAGCCAAATCAAGAATGCAGTGGTAGCCACAAAAAGAATAAAATACCTAGGAATACAGCTAATCAGGAAGGTGAAAGATCTCTACAAAAAGAACTACAAAACACTGCTGAAAGAAATCAGAGATGATAGATGATCCAAACAAATGCAAAAGCATTTTGTGCTCATGGATAGAAAGAATCAATATTGTTTTAATGACCTTACTGCTGGAAGCAATTTACAGATTCAGTGCTATTTCTATCAAACTACCAATGATATTCTACACAGAATTTTTAAAAAATTATTTTAAAATTTATATGAAACAAAAAATATAGAAAAACAAACAAGGAAAGCATTCCTAAGCAAAAAGAAGAAAGCTAGAGGCATCACATCACCTGACTTCAAACTATACTACAGGGCTACAGTAACTAAAAGAGTATGGTACTAGGATAAAACAGACACATCGACCAATGGAACAGAATAGAGAGCCCACTTACAACCATTTGTTTTTTGACAAAAATAAACAATGGAGAAAGGACTCCCTATTAAAAGTGGTGTTGGAATAGCTGCTAGCTATATGCAGAAGATTGAAACTGGAGCCCTTTTTTAAACCACATACAAAATTCAAATCAAGATGGATTGAAGACTTAAATGTAAAACCTACAACTATAAAACCCCTGGAAGATAACCTAGGAATTACCATTCTGAACATAGACCCTGGCAAAGATTTCATGAAGATGCCAAAAGCAATTGCAACAAAAACAAACATTGACAAATGGGACCTAATTTAATTTTAAAAGCTTCTTCAAAGTTAAAAAAAAAAAAAAAACTATCAACAGAGTAAACAAACTACAGAATGGGAGAAAATATTTGAATATTTGCAAACTATGTATCTTACAAAGTGTAATATCCAGAATCTATAAGGAACACAAATAAATTAACAAACATAAAAACAAACAGCCCCATTAAAAAGTGGCCAATGAGGCAGGTGCTGTGGCTCATTCCTGTAATCCCAGCACTTTGGAAGGCTGAGGCAGGTGGATCACCTGAGGTCAGGAGTTCAAGACCAGTGTGGCCAACGTGGTGAAACCCCGTATCTACTAAAAAATACAAAAATTAGCCGGACGTGGTGCCAGGCACCTATGATCTCAGCTACTTGGGCAGCTGAGGCAGGAGAATCGCTTGAACCCAGGAGGCGGAGGTTTCAGTGAGCCAAGATCATGCCAATGCACTCCAGCAAGGGCAACAAGAACAAAACTCCATCTCAAAAAAAAAAAAAAAAAAAAGTGGACAAAACAAATCAAAGGACATGAACAGGCACTTTTCAAAAGAAGACATACACATGGCCAATAAGCATATGAAAAAGTGCTCGACATCACAATCATTACAAAAATGCAAATCAAAACCACAATAAGATACCATCTCACACCAGTCAGAATGGCTACTATTAAAAAGTCAAAAAATGACAGATGTTGGTGAGGTTGCTGAGAAAAGGGAACACTTACACACTGCTGGTGAGAATGTAAATTAGCTCAACCATTATGGAAAACAATTGGTGATTTCTCAGAGAACTTAGAACTATCATTTGACCAAGCAATCCCATTATTGAGCATATACCCAAAGGAATATAAATCATTCTACTATAGAGACACGTGCATTTGGATGCTCTTTACAAAACTATTTAAAATGGCAATTAAATGGAATCAACCTACATGCACATAAACAGTAGACTGGATTAAGAAAAATATGGTACATACACATCATGGAGTACTATACAGCCATAAAAATGAATGTGGTCATGTCCTTTGCAGCAACATGAATGGAGCTAGAGGTCATTATCCTAAGTGAATTAATGCTGGAAGAGAAAATCAAATATTGCATGTTCTCACTTATAAATGGGAGCTAAACATTGAGTTCACATGGACATAAATAAGGAAACTACAGACACCAGTACCTATTCATGGGTGGAGAATGAAATGTGCGTGAGGATCAAAAAATTACCTAGCAAGTACTATGCTTATTGCCTGGGTGGAGAAATAATTGGAACAACAAAACCCCATGACATGCAATTTTCACATAAAATAAATGTGCACATGTACTCCTGAATCTAAAGTAAGTTTTTTAAAAACCTGCATCTAACATCATATATAATAGTGAAAAAAAAATCTTGCAAGAGAGCGAGACTCCATCTCAAAGAAAAAAAAAAAATCTTTCCCCGCTTCCATTGAAAATAAGACAATGATGTCTGCTTTGAACACTTCTATTTAAGATTGGGCTAGATATTTTAGCTAGTAAAATTATGCCAAAAAAAAAAAAAGAATTCAGTTTGGAAAAGAAAAAAATAACACTGCGTTTATTTACAGATGGCATAATCTTATATGTAGAAAATCCCAGGAAATCAACAAAAACAAAAATAAAAACCTATTAGAACTAAGAAACAAGCTCAATAAGGATGCAGAATACAACATCAACATAAAAAATAATTTACTATGCTGGCAATGGGCAATAAAAAAAATTTTTTAAATCAAATTTATTTAAGTGTAATGTAAGATTGAAACTGGAAACTACTGATTTCATTTTATTTGAATACATACCTAGAAGTGAGATTGTTGGATTGTATAGTTTAAAAAAATATTATTTTGAGGGATCTCCATGCTGTATTTTGTAATGCTGTACCAACTTACATTCTCACCAACAGTGTACAAGGGTTGCCTGTTCTTCACACCCTTGCCCACATTTATTTCCATTTGACTTTTTGGTAAGCCACCCTAAAATGCACAAAGTGATATCTCATCTACATTGCATTTGCTTTTTTCTAATATCTAGTTTATTAAGCACCTTTTTTCATATAATTGTTGATAATCTGTATGTTTTCTTTGGAGAAATATGTATTCAGATTCTATGCCCATTTTTAAGCCATCATTTAAAATAATTTAAAAAAAAATAGTTAAATGGAAAGACATTTGTGGAATGGAAATCTTATCATTAAAATGGCAAAATTCCCCAAATTGATTTCCTGACTCAACAGAATCCCTATCAAAACTCTACTTTCTAAAAGATATTTAAGAGACAACCCTGAAATTTATATTCATATGTAAAAAAATAGCAAAAACAAAACAATCTTTAAAAATATATAAATTTGGAGCACTCACACTTGCCAATTTTAGAATTTACAATAAAGCTGTAGTGATTGAAACAATGTAATACTGATATAACATTAGATATAAAGATCAATGTAATATAACTGAGGATAAAGAAATAAACTCTTATCTATAGGGTCAATTGATTTTCAGTAAGGCTGCCAATTTGGTTGGGCATAGTAGCTTAATCAAAGAGCTAAATAAATATCCACATTCAAATTGACAAATTTTGACCCCAACCTCACACCATATTAAACATAAAGACTCAAAAAGAATCTATGGACCTAAATAAAACAGTTAAAACTATTAAACTCGTAGAAGATAGTATAAGAGTAAATCTTTGTGACCCTGGTTTAGAAAATGATTGCATAGACATCAAAGCAAAGACATAAGTGATAAAAGACAAAATAAATAGTGTACTAATCAAAATTTAAAATGTTTTTATCGCAAAGTAAACTATCAGTTAAAAAGACAACACCAAACAATTGTAGAAAATCTTTAAAACTATAGATCTGATAGAAAGCTTGCACACACGCAGAATATTTAAAGAACTCATAACTAAAGAAAAATGATAATGCAATTAAGGAAAAGGGTATAGAATATGAGTAGACATGTATTCAAAGAAGGTCAATAATCTCATCAAAAAGGTAGTCACCATAATCAGTCAGAGCAATAAATAAAAATATGGTGAAATACTACTTCACAGTCACTAAAACTGCTATTATCAAAAAGACAAACAATAAGTATTGACAAAGACATAAGAAAAGAGGAATACTTATGCATTGCTCTTGGAAATGTAAAATTGCACAGGCACTTTGAAAATCAGTTACGTACAGAGTTCCCATATGACCAAGCAACACACTCCTGGTATTTACCAAAGAAAAATAAAAACATGGCCAGACGCAGGGGCTCATGCCTATAATCTCAACATTTTGGGAGGCAGAGGCAGGTGGCTCACCTGAGGTCAGGAGTTTGAGACCAGCCTGGCCAACATGGTGAAACCCCGCCTCTACTGAAAATACAAAAATTAGCTGGGCGTAGTGGCACATGCCTGCAATCTCAGCTACTCAGGAGGCTGAGGCAGGAAAATTGCTTGAACCTAGGAGGTGGAGGTTGCAGTGAGACAGGATTGTGCCATTGCATTCCAGCCTGGGCGACAGAGCAGGACTCCATCTCAAAAAACAAAACAAAACAAAACAAAACAAAACAGAAAAAAAAGAAAAATGAAACCATATGTCTACACAAACACTTGTCCATAAATGTCAGGACAGCAATATTCATAATAATCTAACAGTAGAAACCATGCAGATATTCATTAGCTAATAAATGGATAAAGTAACTTTACAATAGAATAAACTGTAGCAATAAAAAAGAGTAAATACCATTACATGCTACAATATAATGAACCTCAAAAACATTATTCTGCTTAGGAGAAGGCAGACAAGAGACCAGTTTTATATAATTCCAACAATGTAATATGTTCAGAATGGGCTAGGCAATAAAGACATACGTAGATAGTGGTTGCTTGATAAAGGAGGGAGGATAAGGCATTAATGGGCAGGAAATTTGTTTTCTAGAGGAGGATAAATATGTTCTAAAATTAGATAGAGATTATAGCTGCACAATTCTCTATTAGGTTGATGCAAAATTGTGGTTTTTGCTATTAAAAGTAATGGCAAAAACCAAAATCACTTTTACACCAACCTAATATGTATCTAATCAATGAATGATACAGTTTGCATGGTGTTTATAAATTTTATATGACTAAAATTGTTCTAAAAAACCTTAATAAAGACTATTAATTGTATCACTTCTGAGACTGAGAATTATAACTGGGAAACAATATATGTTTCTGTCTTATCCATAGACGACTCTACTGAGATGACCTATGCACTTGAATCCAGTTTCACAAAAAAGTAGGTAACAAATATCTTCCTTGGAAATGGGAGTTTGTGATATGTAGAATAAAGAACCCACAAACACACACACAAATGTGTGTCAAGTTGATTGAATTGAACAATGCAAATTATTGATTCTGGTGTGTCTGTGAGGGTGTTGCCAAAGGAGATTAAGATTTGAGTGAGTGGGCTGCGAAAGGCAGACCCACCCTTAATCTGAGTGGGCACCATCTCATCAGCAGCCATCTCAGCTAGAATATAAAGCAGGTAGAAAATCATGAAAAGGCTAGACTGGCTTAACCTCCCAGCCTATGTCTTTCTCCTATGCTGGACGCTTCCTGCCCCCAAACATCGGACTCCAAGTTCTTCAGCTATGTGACTTGGACTAGCTTCCTTGCTCTTCAGCTTGCAGACCGCCTATGGTGGGACATTGCGATCCTGTGAGTTAATACTACTTAATAAACTCCCATGTATATATATATACACATATATGTATATATACTAGTTCTGTCCCTCTGGAGAACCATGGCTAATACAGATTTTGGTAATAGGAGTGATTCTAGATGAACATAATATTAAGGATGAAGTTTTTTCATTTGTTTTAAGTTGTCTGGAGTTGGCTGCTTAATATGATTAGACCGAATAATGATAAGGACTCTACTTTTAATAGTATGGAGAATGCTGACAGTCCTTGTCATAAACTTCTTAGAGAGTTATGCAAAATAAATGCATATGACATTGCTAATTCACCACTTGTGAGAGTCAAGAAGTTTAGTGACTCTAAACATAATACCTTTGACTATACGTGGAGAACCAAGAAATGTAATGAACTTGGTTGGTTGCTCCTAAGTTCACTGGACAAAGTAATAAAAGAAAATGATGAACTCAGGGCTTCTAACTCCCAGCTTCAGAAAGATACTGAGCCTCAAATCTCCTAAGATTGCCCTGAGTGAGAATCTGACCTCTTGTCGAAAAAGAGCTGAAATTGTAGAAAAATAGACACAAGCTCTTACCATGCAAGTGGCTGTCCTGTAATGAAAGATGCATGCACAGCCTCACTAGATGTCTACTGTTAAAGTGAGGACATTAATTGGAAAAGAATGAGACCCTAAATTGGAATAAGGATGTGGTAAGGACCCTCATGAAGCTGGAGACACTGAGCTAATAAACTCTGATTAACCTATTTTTTTTTGTCAGAAGAAACAGGTTCGCCATCCCCAGTAGTGGCAACCAACATCCCCTACCTGACCCACACTGCCATCAGCCTTTCAATTTTTTTTTTTTTGAGACTGAGTCTTGCCTGTTCATTTGAGTTCCTACTGAATCAAACCTACAATAAATCCTCATTTTCTGAAAGATAAGCATATGATAAAAATGACAGGAAATGTGATATACTTTGGAAAGTAAATAACATCTAAATAATTTAAACATTCTTCTCCTCAAAATTATTCTCTTAAATCTCCTGTAACTATTAGAGTATGATATTCATAGTGTCTATGCACCACAGGGAGAGGAATGTGGGGAGCAAAAGGATATATGTGGGGGAGTGTACAAAGGTCAGATATAGCCTATGTCCTCCATCAACTCATGTTAACAATAATGGTTTATAATCATTATGCAGATAACAATTATACAAGTTAAAGAGGAATACTTGTAGTAAGAGAGCTCTAGTATGTCAAACACGTAGAGAAAAGAGAAAGTTCGCCTGCACAACAGGTGCCTCACTCATACATGTGGACATTCACATGGGTAACGTCTATCCAAGCTTCAGGGACAGCTGCTCCTTAGCCGCTGTTCGAACTTAGGTGTGTCTATACCAGCAACAATTATAGGCTGTGGGAAAACAGACCTGCGGAGAAAACTGAGCAGGTACTCGTACTGAGCTCAGGACTATGAAGGTCAGAAAGTGGTCCCTGTGATCTAGCTTAAAGCAGGCATGTCCTCTTGACCCTGTTGACTCCTTGGCCCCTAGTGAGGGTGATACTGGAGGGAAGCATCAAAGTACAGATGCAGCTCTGAGACAGCACTGGGAAGAGAACTCAAGCAAGGTATGAATTTCAGATAGAGAAGTTAGGTGGCTACTAGGCACCACATGATTCCAGACCAATGCCTTTGAAAGAAATGTCAAATGATATGAACATTATGTAAACAGCTGGAAAGTAATGCTACACACTGAGCTGACATAAAATAAGAATACTGGGAATATTTTATTTCCCTTATCAAAACATGAGTACATAGACTAGAAATGATAGAGGAGGAAGTTTATATATTTTATAAAGATAAAGCTTTACTAAAATTTTGGCTTTGGAGGGGACGTGCAAATGTCAGCATATTTAATATAATTCTGTCAGAATCAAGAGTTTGTGGTTTTAATATAAAAGTAACTTTATAACACATATGAGGGGTCACTGATTATAAGCCATTTTTCTTATATTTTTATCAGCCATCATTCCTCTTTCTTCATATACAACAGTTATTTTGAATTAAACATAAATATGAGTATTAAAATACAGCTAATTATCTTATGAAACAATGAATATATCTGGAGTAGAAATAAAATCATCTTTAATGTCCATAAATTTTCAGTTGGCACATTATTTTTTGTTTTATTCAAATATCTTTAAAATGGTTAATTAAAAAGCCATGGATGTATTAAATAATGGATTAAATGTTTTTCATTTTTATAAGAGCATGAATAACTTCAAAATCATAGAAATACATATTTAATTAAATTTTGTTGACAGGAAAGCCTCTGGTTTGAAGTGCCTCCATGAGAAAATATGTTTAAGTGCAGCCAGGTGCAGTAGCTCACGCCTGCAATCCCAGCACTTTGGGAGGCCAAGGCGGGCGAATTGCATGAGTCCAGGAGTTGGAGACCAGCCTGGGAAACATGGCAAAAACCATCTCTACTAAAAATTCAAAACATTAGCCAGGTGTGGCAGCATGTGCCTGTAGTCCCCGCTACTTGGGAGGCTGAAGGGGAAGGATTACCTGAGCCCAGGGAGGTTGAGGCTGCAGTAAGCTGAAATCATGCTACTTACTGTACTTCATCTGGCAATAAGAGTGAGACCCTGCCTAAACAACAACAACAAAAAAAAAAAAAAAAAAAAAAGAAAGAAAGAAAGAAAAGAAAAGAAAAACGAATACTTTTAACTTATACGTTCAAATACAAAACTTGAACTTGTAAGTTAAAAATATTTGACATCTGATATCTACATAATCTGTGCAGTTGAAAACAGCATAAGTGAAAATAATGCAGAAGAGTATTATAACAAAAAAGAGATGTAGACATAAACAAAGAATGAATCTTTATAGACATAAATATTTTAATGTAAACATTTAATAAACAGGATAATAGATTCAGAATAAAAGGAGTGGGCCAGGTAAATAGGACTTCAAACAAGAGTAATTCACTCAGAAACAGTTAAAGTTTAGCTTATGTTTTAAGTCATTAAGCATGTTAAATTAATTAAACATTTAAATGAATGAATAGGCTAAATAAATTAAAATTTGTTTATTTAAACAACCTAGTAAATATTCATCTAATAATAGTTTACATGAAATCCTTAGAAAACTTAATTTAATAAATAAACACGAGTAATTTTTAATTATAACATCAATTAATTATGCGAAATTAAGTCTTTGGATGTCCTCCAAGAGGCTTTCAGCTTTTGTTCCATAATATTCAGTAAATAGTCTCTTACAATCTTGTTTGTTCCAAATAGTTAGGTTGTGCTTGATTAGGGAGTAACCAAGAAAAGATAAGCTTCAGTCCAAATGTCAGAACTCCAAATTCCAGATAACTGGAGTATAAAATAACATAATTTTTTATATTATAAAAAATGTGATAAATACTACTCATATGTGATTTCTTGGATAGTTTTTCTATCCATTTGTGTAGCTAGGTATAATATACAAAGGATCAGGTATCATTGAATTTCTGTGTACTATTAGGCACATTCTAGCTATGTGCTATTGGGCAAGTTACACAGTCTTTACGTGACAGACTGTTAGCTACTCTTTACAGTCCATTCTCTTCTCTTCTAATATGTGTATGTTAATAGACACAGCTAAGCTAGACTTTTTTCATTACAGTCATTATATATAGCCATGCAGGTAGTTATTACCACAGAACTGTGAAATGGAAGGGTGTTGCCATTCATTGTTCCAAGGCTTTTAAAAGAGCAATATCCCTTCCAATCTTTAAAAGAGCAATATCCCTTCCACTCTCTTAATTCTGCCAACAGGTTTTCTACAAAAATAAGGCCCTAGGATATGACACAAACACAAGGTGGAAGGCATCTGGGTGCTAAATATGGTATAAGAATTGACCCTCCAAGATAAAGAATTATTTAGAACTTTTATGTAAGCAATTAATTAATTGCTATTTTGATAAGTCATTATAATTTGGCTTCTGTTCATTATACTAGTGGGTCTAAGTGATACACAGTATGTATGTTTCAAATTTCTTAACTCAAAATATCAATTATGGTATGTAAATAGGATTTCTATTGAGATTAAAATAAATGTTCACAAATATTTATCACTCATTGGATATTAATACTACTATCATTTTATGATTATAATTTTACCACTATCCATTTCAGCAAACTTCCCATTACCATTTCAGCAAAAAGGACAAAAAATTATATATAATTATTTTAGTTTGGATATAGTAATAGATTATAACTTTTATTTTGTTTTAGGAAATTGCTCTTATGATACATAAAAGAAAAAAAATATAATGTAACCCACTAAAACAAACAAACAAAAAAACAGCTTCCATGCATTGGAAGACAGTTTTGTCCTATTGTTCACAAATCAGTCTAAAGAATCTAAGCCAAAATTATATCTGCAGTCATGCACTGAATAGCAAGGTTTTAGTCAAGGATGGATCACATATTTATGATGGTGGTTCCATTAGATTGTAATACTGTAATTTTACTGTAACTTTTCTGTATTTAGATATGTTTAGATATGTGAATACTAACCATCATGTTAAAATTGCCTACATTAAATACTGTACAAGTTTACAGTCTAGGAGAAATAGGCTATACCATATAGCCTAAATGCGTAGGAGGCTACACCACCTAGGTGTGTGTACATTCAGTCTGTGCTGTTCACACAACAATGAAATTGCCTAAGGACACATTTCTCAGAACATATCCCTTTCAGTAAAAAATAGATAAATGTATTTCATTTAAGAGTGTCCTTATTTAAATAAGGTATGCTGTTATACATTAACAAAAAAGCCATGGGAATCTACATAAGCCCTACCAGATTTAATAAGTTTGTTGAATTAATGGTCGAAAAGAAAATATTAATTAAATTTCTATGTACATAGCAATTATCAGTGAAAACTTTTTTTTTTTGAGACAGAATCTTGCTCTGTCACCCAGTCTAGAGTGCAATGGCACGGTCTTGGCTCACTGCAACCTCTGCCTCCCGGGTTCAAGCGATTCTCCTGCCTCAGCCTCTGGAGTAGCTGGGACTACAGGAGCATGCTGCCACAACCGGCTAATTTTTGTATTATTAGTAGAGATGGGGTTTCACTATGTTGACCACGCTGGTCTTGAACTCCTGACCTCATCATCCACCCGCCTCGGCCTCCCAAAGTGCTGGGATTACAGGTGTGAGCCACTGCGTCCAGCCCGAAAACTAATTTTTAAAAGTGTCACAGTAACATTGAGAAACAGCAAATACCTGGAAAAAAATCTAATAAAAAATAACACTTTTATAAATAAATCTAAAAAAAAACTCTTGAGAGAGATGAGTAAGAAACCTAAGAAGATGGATAGAACATATTAATAAATTAGAAAATCCAATGTCACAATGAATTATTTTTTCACAAATTGATTGGGCTAATTACATTTCAATGTAAGGTCAAAATTCTACAAAAAATTCGGTTTTGCTTTTGCTAGTTTATGCATTGCGTGTGTGTGTACTTTTACACACAGATCTCAACTTCACCTTTAAATGTTATGAACAAAATGTAGCCAAGATATTCTTAGAAAAAAAAGGGAGAAATGTGGAAGACTACCCAATCAGATGATAATTATCACACAAATAAACTATTTAACATAGTGTAGGTTGAAAACTATACCAAAGAAAATGAAAAGAGATTTCAGAAATGGACTGATATATTTTGGGATACTTGATTTTTTTATAAATTGTTACTACACATAATATATGTATTTATCATGTACAACATGTAAAATAATGAAAAATAAAAATAAAAAGCTGTGCATGGTGGTACAAACCTCTAGCTCCTGCTACTTTGGAGGCCAAGGTGGGAGAACTGCTTGAGCCCAGGCATTTGAGGCTGTAACACGCTATAACTGGGCCTGTAAATAGCTGCTGCATGTCAGCCTGGGCAACATAGTGAGACACCATCTATAAACAAACAAACCAAATAAAATAAATAATTTTCCAGATTAAAAAAAATTGTCACTGCAGAACAGTGCAGAAAGGACAGACCTCTAAAATGGTATCAGAACTAACGGATATTCACGTGAAAAATAATACCAACAGTGTTTCTTCCTTTCTCTCTTTCTTCCTTTCTCTCTCTTTTCTCTCTTTCTTTCTTTCTCTCTCTCTTTCTTTCTTTCTTTGTTTCTTTCTTTCTTTTTTCTTTTTTTTGAGACAGTCTCACTCTATAGCCCCGGCTGGAGTGCAATGGCATGAAATCAGTTCACTGCAACCTCCGCCTCCCAGGCCCCAGTTCAAGCAATTCTCCTGCCTCAGCCTCCAGAGTAGCTGGGATTACAGGAACTCACCACCATGCCCAGCTAATTTTTGCATTTTTAGTAGAGACAGGTTTTCACCATGTTGGCCAGGCTGGTCTTGAACTCCTGACCTCGTGATCTGCCCACCTCGGCCTCTCAAAGTGCTGGGATTACAGGCGTGAGCCACTGCGCCTGGCCTTCTTTCTTTATACAAATAAATTACTTGGAGGTGGATTTCATATATAAATAAAAAAGACAATAAAGCATATGTAACATAATTAGAAAATAACCTTTTTAGCCTTGCAGAAAATAAGAATTTCTTGAGCAGAACACAGAATTCAAGTAAGAGAATAATACATTGAATAACTGTGTTGAAACTGGGAAGTTCTATTCATCAGTACACAGACCAAAAGAGTGAAAAGACAAGTGACAGTGGGAAAAGATGTTTCCAGTATCATGAGTTCAAAAACAGACTCTTATTGATATGTATATAAAGAAGTTCTACAAATCAATATTTTGAAAAGATAAAGATATGAGCCAAACTTGTATGAACATATATATAACATGTATTTACATATATGTTATATACATATTTTGCATATATGTTTTACATATATTAATAAACACACATAGAGCTGCTGTAGTTGTACTAACAGAAAATGAAAACATACATCAATTAATAGTATGATGGATGAATTTACTGCAGTACATTCACATAATAGAATATTATTTTTAACAAAAATGAAAGAACTGCTATATGATAGATCAATGTATAATTTTTTAATATGCACAAATATTGGGGAAAATAAGCACAAAAACATACATATGCTATGGTTTCATTTACACAGCATAAATATAGGCAAAATTATGTTGATATTATCAGAAGTCACAATTGTATTTACCTCTGAGAAAGTTGAGAGTAGTAACAAAGAGGAATCATACACTGGGAGTGCTAGAGTTAATAGTCAAACATGTCTCTTCACTATGTAACATTTATTTGAAACCTAATTAATTTTACATTTATGCATGTATTATATTTCCCTAAAATATACTTAAGTATTTTAATGAGATATTCATTCCAGTAGGCCCTAATATCCAACTGTTAACCTATATTTCACTTTTTCCTATTAGGTGGGTCTTTCAAAATTTGGGTCTAGAAAGACCCTCTGCAATGTGTTAAAAAAAAAAATACTGAATTGTGTCATGTTTTCTTTATGTCAATATGATTATGTTAATTAAGGTGCAGATGCCTGTGAGTTATTTGCAAACAGCTCTGTTCTCCCTATTGGTAAAGCATTACATGCTATGAAAATTATAACATTAAGAGTGACCCCTGACCTTTGTAACTTCTGGATTTTTTTTCCCATTTATCCTTTCCATTCTTATTTTTACGGTATTTTATTATTTTCTTATGAAGAGACATTTGAAATAATGATTTTAATTTATAACCACTACACACTATGACTTTTTGGGCTTTTAAATTTGCTTTTGTTTATTTTTTAATTTTTGTGGCAACATAGCAGGTGTATATATTTATCAGGTAAGTGAGATGTTTTGATACAGGCATGTATGTGAAATAAGTACATCATGGAGAATGAGATATTCATTGTCTTAAGTACTTACCCTTTGAGTTACAAACAAGCCAGTTACAAGATATTTTAAATTTTATTTTAAATATCTTATATATCTAAGATATTTTAAATTGTACAATTAAGTTATTATTGATGATAATCACCCTGTTGTGCTGTCAAATTGTAAGTCTAATTCACTCTTCCTATTGTTTGTACCCATTAACCATCTGCAACTCTCCATCAACCCCACACTAGGTTTCCTAGCCTCTGGTAACCTTACTTCTACTCTCTCTGTCTGAGTTCAATTATTCTGATTTTTAGATCCCACAAATAAGGGAGAACATGCAATGTTTGTCTTTCTGTGCCTGGATAATTTCACTTAACATAATGATCTTCAGTCCCATCCTTGTTGTTGCAAATAACTGGATTTCATTCTTTTTTTACGGCTGAATAGTACTCCATTGTGTGTATGTACCAAATTTTCTTTATCCATTCATCTATTGATGGACACTTAGGCTGCTTCCAAATCTTAGCTATTGTAAACAATGGTGACTTTTTGCTTTCTCCAATGTTTTCCATTACTTTTTTTTACTCTTTTTTTCATTCATTCTCCACCTTTCTTTGTTTTTACTTTTTTTGTTGTTTTTTCTACTATTTGTTTGTTTGTCTGCATTGTCATCTGTCCATGCTTCTCATTGCCAGTGATTCTTTGTAGCAGATATTGTTATTCCATTGGGAATTCACAAAGCTAAAGAAAATGCTGACAGCCATTGTTTCATATTAACATAGGTTTGAATGTACGAGAGAAACATCAATCAATTAAATATTTTGAAAAATAGGAATATTGGGAAAGTTCTTACACATAAGAAAATCAACTATCTCATGCTACAGCTGTGAAACCCCAGAGATGCTTGATACTTTCTATGTTTTGTGTTGTCATAACAAAATACCACAGACTAGGTAATTTATAAATAAAATACATTTATTTCTTACAGTTCTGAAGCCTGGGAATTCCAAGGTTGAGGGACCCACACCTGGACAGGACCTTCATACTGTGTCATTCCATGGCATGAGGCAAAAGGGCAAAAGAGCATCCATGAGAGCAAGAGAGGAAGGCAACAAAATTATCCTCTTATCAGGCACGCACTCTGGCAATAAAGCCATTAATGCATCCACGAGACAGAGCCCTCACAACTTACTGACCTCTTAGAAGTCCCACCTCTCAACACTCTTGCATTGGGGATTAAATTTCTAACACATGAACTTCAGAGGAGACATTAAAACCTAGCATAAAGGTTCTGTCTATGAACTATACACTAAAGTCATATAATTTAAACCAATTATGTGGTTTATACTTTCTTGACTCTTATTATGAAAATTATTTGAAAATGAGGAGAAGAAGAGAGAGACAGAGAGATTGAGACCACAAGGAAATTGCAAACTTGGCAGCAACGTACTCTGTATTCCCTGAAACAGCCCTTTTCAGCATGAGGCACACCCCTGCAGTTGGATTAGTGCATAGATGCAGCATCAAGTCCAATCAGATTATCCTAATTAAGCACTAGCTCATTCTCTAGACTAATGTCACAATCATTTATTCACATATTAAAAATTTTCCCCAGTCTGAAATTTTCACACTGATAACATTAAACAAGCTTTAGTCAATTAAGCTACAATTTCACAAATCTTAATATCGGTAATAGAAAAAAGTTTTCTGCTAATTTAAGAATAATCCATCTACCTTTAATCACTTATGAGTTTATGATTGTTATTATTTGAAAATGGCTTGGCATTTACTATTGTTTCCGATTGTATCATTTCATTTCTTTTTTTAGAATTAACCTTAAGTACAAGAGGAAACTAACAGAAAAGGATATCTCAAAAATAAATGGAAAAAAGAGAAAAACCTAAGAAATACATGCATTTATAAAATTACATTGCCACATTTACAAACAAGATTGCTTCAGATTCCCCACTGGTCTGCAACAGTGCCTGCAATTGAAGTTAAATTCCTGAAGATTTATTTGTTTTAGATGAACAGATTTTGTTTTAAGAATCCATGTGAATATAACTCTTTGAAAAGTCAGACTGATATTTTAAAACTCAGCTTAGCCCTTAGCCTAGCTCTGTCTGATAGGAAGCATATAAGATAACAAGGTCAAGACATAATTTACATTTTTTAAAGTTTTGAATTCCCAGAGATAAACCAGGAATTACAATTCAAAGATCAACATCAAGATATAGGATCCTACTGGTCATTTCTCTTTGTTTGTTTGCTTATTTTAATAAAAACTGTCCCAATCTTATCTGAATGAAATGTATTACGACCACGTATATATAAATGCAAATTATAAATGTAGCCTTTTATATTTTGCTTGTGAGCCCAGTTATCAAGGAACTTGAATTTCCTTCCATTAATCCAGAAAATTTATTTCATATAACTTTTTACTGGATACCTAGATTTGTATATAACTTCCAATGTCTTATTATCAGCACATAACTTATTGTTCTACATTTTCTTTTTTCTTCAGGATGTGAGTATGAAATCTCCAAAAATCAGTTTCATCTATGGGTAAGATCTGATGGTTTATAGATGTGCAAAGAAAAAAATTATGGACTCTACCAAGACAGATGTATCTTAAGATATGTTTTCTTTCTATAGTTACAAAGAAATAAAATGACACTAGGTGCCTGTAGTCCATTATTTTTAAAAATCCAAAATTTTGAAATAATAGATAATTGTCATGTTTTATTAAAGCATTGCCCAACAAGCTTGCCAAGGAAATATTCAACTCTCCAAGAGAATATAACATTGCCTGCTAAACTACTTGCCAATGAAGGACCTGGCTAATGACTCGGCGCGGTAGCTCACGCCTATAATCCCAGCATTTTGGGAGGCCAAGGTGGGTGGATCACCTGAGGTAAGGAGTTCGAGACCAGCCTGGCCAACATGGTGAAACCCTGTCTCTACTAAAAATACAAATATCAGCCTGGCATGGTCGTGGGCGCCTGCAATCCCAGCTACTTGGGAGGCTGAGTAATGAGAATCGCTTGAACCTGGGAGGTGGAGGTTGCAGTGAGCTGAGATTGTGCCACCGCACTCCTGCCTGGGCAACAAGAGTGAGACTTCATCTAAAAAAAAAAAAAAAGAAAAGAAAAAAAAAGGTCCAGGCTATTTAAAGTTAGAAGTTAAATTGTAGAAAACTAACAAGATGTAAATAACTTTTGTCGAAGGTTTCAGTAATATTTGTCAAGCAGAATTTATAACGTAAAGGATTATATATTTATCATGCATTAGGCTATTAAGTAGTCTTCCGTATAACTTAGCAATAATATTCCAGCATTACTCCTTTTCATTGAAAATATGTATTTCCCATCACTTCCTTTGAACTAGTTTTGTTATCCTGCTGATTTCCTTACTAAAATAAAATTTTTACCTCTGCTCATATATTTGTGAAAAAAGTTATGTTATTAAATGTCAAAAATTATACTTCGACACTGACATTATATTAGACAAAATAATTTTAAAGAAAGACCTTGAGGGTCAAACAAATCCTCTTGAATGCCATACTTTTGATTCTACCACAGGCTGTGTGTCATGAACACCATGAATACACGTAATATATGTATTATGGATATATGCCACTGAAAATATTTTCTGATTATTAGTTACATTTTTTGTTTTCTTTATGCAATAAGATATTTTTACCATAGACTGTTTCTCTCTCTCTCTCTCTCTCTCTCTCTCTCTCTCTCTCATATCCTCTCTCATCAATCAGTGGGGTCTGAGTCTGGGAATGGGAGGCCAAAATAAAACAAATGAATGATAGATAATTAGGCTCTATCAGAGAAAGCACTTCAATTATAAAAGGTATATAATTTAGTCAGTAAAGATAATGCTGACATGGTTTGTGGAAAGCAAATTATGCTAATTAGTAGAATTTTTCTAATTCTCAATAATTTATCTCAGGTATTCATTAGAGTATGTAGTTTGAAGATCATCAGTACACTCCATAATCTTTCAGACTAAGAAGAAATTCCAGTTTGAAGACCAGAACTTCATCCCATGCCCAAGGAATCCCAGAAGCCTCCATGATTGTATAAACCAATTAATTTTAATACATCTCTTGATAGATGAATACATGTTAGATATAGATATATACATATACTGTGACATATAGATATAAATATAAATAAAGATAAAATTATAACCTACAGGTTCTGTTTCTGTGTTTGAACCTGGACATACAGAGGTTGGTACCAAAAGTGGTGCCAGAAAAACAGAATGGTAAACGGTTTTCTGAATTAATTCTGGATTTTCTGGAATGCATTAGCTAATCTAATTAGATTTAAAGACACTATTTGCCCAATTTGCAGTGGGAAATAAAACACTGGTGTTTCATGGTAACACACTGAAAAGAGTTACTAAATTTATCACATTTTATACTTGTAGTTATTAGAAGTATCCATAGAAGACAAGGTTTAGATGACCAATATTTGTGAACATAGAATGTTTCATTCAAAATAAGGAGTATAATGGAGTTTGTTGCTTGCTTTTAACTGCACTGGAGAAAGTGAGAAAACAATAGTGCAATATTAAATTTATCATATTTTCTTTCTTTGTAAGGTAAAAACCTATAGTGGTACTACAAAATATAAATGTGTGAAGTTGTATATTTTATGAATACAAACTGTCAATAAAAGGTTTATTTCTATCAAGAATGTCAATAGCAGTACTAAATTATTTTTCTATAGTCTACATAAAATATATATGTTTTGAAATCTTTGTCTTATCAAGAGGTGATTAAAAATAGAAAGTAAAACCTTCTAGGCAAGTATATGTCAAGTGGTTATTTAATTGACTGTATTATTCTGAATTTTGTTTTGGTATTTTTGTCTTTAATATATTTTAGTGATTTTCTCTTCTAATTTTCATTGTTTATTTCATGATTAATTTAATATTTCTAATTTTACATTTCTTTTATTAAAGTGAACCACACCCTCACCCCCACCAGCCAAATTTTGTCACCTTCAGGCCTCCACAAAATCTAGATTCACTTCTTTCTCTTGTTGTATAGGGAAGAATGAGAACTAGAGAAACAACATATGGTAAAGTTGAAGATCATGCATTAGTTACCTGAGTTTGAAACTAGTTTCTGTCACTTCTTGGCTATGTGATGCTGAGAAGTCATCTAATTTCTCTTTGCTTGAATTTTCTTATCTTCAAGTTGAAGATAAAAATAAAATTCATCTTGTCAAACTATTACAAGAATTATATGGAGCACTTGGGACAAAAGTGCTTGACATGTAAATGCTATGCATATATTTGCTGGAATTCATGGCCAGCTGATGTTAAATTTCAGCAGAAATCCTCTACAGAATAGTTTATTGCTGTGAACTAAAAAAAAAAAAAAAAAAAAAAAAAAAATTATAGATCTATGCCTAAGGTTTAACAATAATCTAGAGACATTAGAGACATAGAAAAAATAGAATTCAGAAAATAAAAATAATGTTATATTTTTATTCAGGAATTCTGAGATATCTGGAAAGAGGTATTTATTGGTTATTTTCTACATTTTCTGGCACTTTTTTTAAGTCTCTGGAAATCTTAACAAGTTAGGGTAGAATTTCAAATATTTTGATAAAACAAATTTAAAAATTTTACTTCAAACTATAAAATAGTGGATCAGCACATCAACACCACTTTCTACTAGTCCATGAAATACAATTTATACTATGTATTGTTTCACTTTAGTTGTGTGCTATGCATGAGACATCATTTAATGCTCATTTCTCTGTTCTGTTATAATATACTTGTTTGGTTTTTAAAGTACTTATAGGAAATGAAATTAAGGCTGAACAGTAAAAAAGAACTACTGTAAAGACATTGGTATGTACATAATACATTAAGATAGAAGACATCTTGTTTTGAATAATTACAAGAAAATTACATGTTCCTTTGTAGAGTATAAAAAAAAAAGCTTGAGGGAAAATAAGCATTAAAACTACACAGATGAATAATTCAAATGATCTTTATGCTTCTAGCTTCTGGATATGTAAGCTACTTTTGAAAATTTATTTCAAATTAATTGAAAGTTATCTGAAACTAGATTACAAGCAAAATAACATTAATCTAGCAAATTAAAGCAATTAGAAAATGTCAATTCATGTAAAAATATTGCATTTACAATTCAGAAAATTGTTATTTCCAAAACTAGTTTTTTCCTGGATGATTATAAAAATAGAATGCATGGAAATATTAAATATTACAACATTAACATTAAATATAAATAGAAAGATAAAAATTTTGTTCACAAGATATAAACTATAAGGTCAGTTCATATTATAATTAGATATATGTCTTTTTTTTTTTTTTTTTTGTAGAAGCCTTCTGTTTTTGGAGAATAGAACTTCTAATGTACAGGACTCCCTAATTTGGTATGATACAAATATCCTCAGGAATGTAATTACACTCATCTGTTGTCCTGGTCCTATTCCTATCCACTTCATTCCCTCTCTTAAACTAGAATGTAATTACTTGAGAAACCTGCCAATATTGATAACACATAATTTTACAGTATACAAATTAATTCTGACATTTTCCCCTGAAACAGATTTATTTGTAATACAGTAATTTTCAAAATTTGGCCTCCTCTCAAAGTTCCTCCACTGTATGCATATGACTCTGTACTATATTACATGTGAATGAAAATCATTTTTAAATTTCTAAAAAGTCATAATGATATATTTACATTTAATGTAACTTGAACTATTTTTAATTTTTTTCTAAATTAGAAAAGAATGGTCATTGAAGATTAAATATTTTTTCTTTTTTACACAAAAATAATGAAAATATATTGCTCCTTTTAATGTACTTAGAAAAGATTAAATGGTCTTTAGAAGCATAGGTAGATTCTTACACTGTGCTTTTCAGTAAAAGAAAAACTATCATCAAGTTTACAAACCTCATTACCATTTCTTTAATTACAGTTTGGATTAATGTTATGAATATTGTGGAAGATGGGGTTTAAAGACAACTTTGCAGTTGTTAATTATCACACAATTTCCAAATAATTATCTAAAAAATCTTAAATTACTCTGTACTTAAAATTCTTAACATGATAGTTATGCTATAGTGTTTGTTTTTCATTCTTTTATTATTTTTAAAATTTTTGTGGGTACATAGTAGGTGTGTATATTATACAGTACATAAGATGTTTTGATACAGTCATGCAATGTGAAATAAGCTGATGATGGATAATAGAGTATCCACCCTTTGAGCATTTATGTTTTTAGTTACAAACAATCCAATAAAATTAAAATAATTTTAAAATTATTTTAAAATGTACAATTTGGTTATTATTGACTATAGTTACCCTATTGTGCTACAAAATACTAGGTCTTATTTATTCTATTTTTTTTAAACACATTAACCGTCTCCACCTCTCCACCAGCCCCTCACTAGCCTTCCCAGCCTCTGGTATCCATCCTTCTACTCTCTATGTTCATGAGTTCAATTGTTTTAATTTCTAGTTCCCACAAATAAGGGAGAATATGTAATGTCGGTCCTTTTGTTTCTGGTCAATTTCATTTAACATAATGATCTCCACTTCCATCCATGTTGTTGCAAATGACCAGATCTCATTTTTTTAATGGCTGAATAGTACCCCATTGTGTATATGGGTACTACATTTTATTTATCCATTCATCTGTTGGTGGACACTTAGGTTGATTTCAAGTCTTAGCTGTTGTAAACTGTGCTGCAACAAACATTAAGAGCACAGATACAATTTCCATATAGTGATTTCTTTTCTTTTGGGTATATACCTAGCAGTGGGATTGCTGGATCATGTAGTTGCTCACTATTTAGCATTTTGAGGAACCTCCAAACCTTTCTCCATAGTGGTTGTACTAATTTACATTCCCACCAACAGTGTACAAGGGTTTCCTTTTCTCCAAATTCTCTCCAGCATTTGTTACTGCTTCTCTTTTGAATAAAAGCCATTTTAACTGGGGTGAAGTATCTCATTGTAGTTTTGATTTGCATTTCTCTAATGATCAGTGATATTAAGTACCTTTTCATATGCCTGTTTGCGATTTGTATGTCTTCTTTTGAGAAATGTCTACTCAAATATTTTGCCCATTTTTTAAATTGGATTATTAGATTTTTTTCCTATGGCTTCTTTTCAGCTCCTTATATATTCTGGTTTTTTATCCCTTGTCAGAGGGGTAGTTTGCAAATATTTTCTGCCATTCTGTGGGTTGTCTCTTCATTTCGTTGATTGTATCCTTTGCTGTGTAGAATCTTTTTAACTTAATGTGATTCCATTTGTCCATTTTTGCTTTGGTTACCTGTGCTTGCAGGGTATTGCTCAAAAAGTCTTTGCTCAGACCAGCGTCCTGGAGACTTTTGTCAATGTTTTCATGTAGTTTTTTCATAGTTTGAGGGTTTAGACTTAAGTCTTTAATCCATTTTAATTTTATTTTTGCATATGGCAAGAGATAAAAGTCTAGTTTCATACTTTGGCATGTAGATTTCCAGTTTTCCCAGAACCATTTAAAGAAGAGACTGTCTTTTCTCCAGTTTATCTTCTTGACACCTTTGTCAAAAATGAGGTCACTGTAGGTGTGTAGATTTGTTTCTGGGTTCTCTATTGTGTTCCATTGGTCTACGTGTCTGTTTTTATGCCATTGCCTGGCTGTTTTGGTTACTATAGCTCTTCAGTATAATTTGAAGTCAAGTAATGTGATTCCTCCAGTTTTGTTCTTCTTGTGTAGGATAGCTTTGGCTATCCTGGGTCTTCTGTGGTTCCATATAAATTTTAGGATTTTTTTTTGTTTCTGTGAAGAATGTCATTGGTATTTTGATATGAATTGCATTGAATATGTAGATTGCTTTGGAGAGTATGGAAATTTTAACAACATTGATCCTTCCAATCCATTAACATAGAATATTTTTTCCATTTTTTGATGTCCTTTTGAATTTTTTCATCAGTTTTTTTTAAAAGTTATTATGATAGAGATTTTTCACTTATTTGGTTAAGTTAATTTCTAGGTATTTAGTTTTATGTGTAGATATTATAAATCAGATTTGCTTTTTTATTTCTTGCTCACATTGTTCACTGTTGACATATAGAAATGCTACTAATTTTTGTATGCTAATTTTGTATCCTGCAACTTTATTGAATGTGCTTATCAGTTATAATAGTTTTAATGTGGAGTCTGTATGTTTTTCTGATATAACATCATCTCATCAGCAAACAAGAATAATTTGGCTTTTTTCTTTCTAATTTGGGTGACCTTTATATTATTTTTCTTGTCTGACTGCTCCCTATGCAGTATGATACTTGCTCTGAGTCTGTCGTATATGGCTTTTATTATGTTGAGGTTTGTTCTTTCTATACACAGTGTTTTGAGGGTTTTTATCATGAAGAGATGTTGAATTTTATCAAATGCTTTTTAGCATCAATTGAAATGATCATATAGTTTTATCCTTCATTCTGTTGATATTATGTGTCACATTGATTGATTTACACATGTTGAATTATCTTTGCATCACTTTCATAAATCCCACGTGATCATGAATAATGATCTTTTTAATATACTGTTCAATTCGGTTTGTTTGTATTTCGTTGAGGATTTTTGCATCAATATTCATCAGAGATATTGGCCATAGGTTTTTTTTTTTTTTTTGATGTGTCTTTGTCTGATTTTTGTATCAGGTTAATACTGGCTGCATAGAATGAGTTTGGAAGTTTTCCCTCCTCCGCTACTTTTCAGAATAGTTTGAATAGGATTGGTATCAGTTCTTGAAATGTTTCGTAGAATTCAGTAGTTAAGCCATCAGTTCGTGGACTTTACTGAAGTGTGATGATTAATACTGAACGTCAACTTGATTGGATTGAAGAATGCAAAGTATTGTTCCTGGGTGTGTCTGTGAGGGTGTTGCCAAAGGAGATTAACATGTGAGTCAATGGACTGGTAGAGGCAGACCCAACCTCAGTCTGGGTGGGCACCATTTAATCAGCTGCCAGCATGGCTAGGATAACAGGAAGAAGAGGAACGTGGAAGAACTAGACTTGCTCAGTCTTCTGGCCTCCATCTTTCCCCCGTGCTGGATGTTTTCTGCCCTCAAACATCAGTCTCCAAGTTCTTCAGCTTTTGGACTTTTGGACTTAAACCAGTGATTTGCCAGAGGCACTCAGGCCTTCAACCACAGACTGAAAGCTTCACTGACAGCTTCCCTACTTTCGAGGTTTTGGGACTCAGACTCAGACTGGCTTCCTTGCTCCTCAGCTTGCAGACAGCCTATTATGGGACTTTACCTTGTGATCGTGTGAGTTAATACTCCTTAAGGAACTCCCCTTTATGTATACATCTATCCTATTAGTACTGTTCCTAATACACTGAGAGCCCTAATACACTGAGAGAATTTTTATTATGGCTTTGATCTTGTTACTTGTTATTGGTCTATTCAGGTTTTGGTTTTCTTCAGGGTTCAATCTTGTAGGTAATATGTATGCAGAAATTTTCCCATTTCTTCTAGATTTTTCAATTTATTGGCATATAGTTGCTCATAGTAGCTACTAGTAATCCTTTAAATTTCTGCAGTATCAGTTGTAATGTCTCCTTTTTAAAATTCTGATTTTATTTATTCGGATCTTCACTCTTTTTTTCTTAGTGTGGCTAAAGGTTATATGCTGAGTCTCACCGGAAGCCAGTAAGTTTCAGAAGTTCATCAAGGCCCTCAATATAGTAACTGGGTATTGCTGCTGGTTATTCAAGGCCCATGGGCTCTTTAGTTAGGGGGTGATAAATGCTGGCTGGACTGTGTCCTTTCCTTCAAGGCAGCTGATTCCCTTCTGGCCCAGGGTGTGTCTAGAAATGTCATCTGGGAGCTGGAGCCTGGATCAGGGTCCTCTTGACTCTCACAAGTACCCTATCCTATTGTGGCTAAGCTGGTATCCAAGATGCAAGACAATATCCTCCCCACTCTTCCCTCTCCTCTATTCACAAGAAGGAAGGGGTCTTTTTTGCAGCCACGAGCTGTGCAGCCTGGAGTTAGGGCAGGGGTGATGCCAGCACTCTCTTGGCTGCTCCAGCTAGTTTCTCAGTATTTCATATGCCCACCAGTTTACTGCCTCTGCGTTTTGCTTGCCCCTAATACTCACCTATGAACTGTAGTCCTTATGACCTAGACTGCTTTTCAAATTTACTTAAAGACCAAGAGCACTTTGGCCCTCAGTGATGAGGTTTGTGGGCACTCAAGTTCAGACCACCGGTATCTGTGATTCTCTTCTGGCCAGGACTGGTTTAAATGTTCCCTCTCTCAGTGAGCCTCAGCTGAGTTTGGTCTGCTTTTCCTTTCCGCTCTAACAGAACAGCCCTTAGTTTATTTCCCCATATTCTTTCTCTCTTCGTTTCCAGAGAAGTTCTCCAGACCACACTGCCACTGTTGGGGGCAGGCAAGGAGTGGCGTTGGCGGTTCTGAATGTCTTTTTTCTACCTCTTCTGTGTCTCAGCAATGTAAAGTTAAAATGGTTCTGTGAGTGCTCACCGGAGTTTTGGTTCTTATGAAGGTGTTCTTCTGTGTAGCTCATTAACTTGTTAACTTGTTGTCCTTGCAGGCAGGGGGTGGGGGGCACAATCGGGGGAGCTTTCTGTTCGGACATCTTGTTCCTCTTCCACCTATGTCAGTGTGTGCTTTTCCCAAGAATCCCTCATAAGTTCAAATTTTTGATTTTCCTTTACATGCTTTAATTTGCAGTGATAGAGATGTAATTGATATGCCAAAATTTACAATGTGTGTACTTCATGTTTTTCTAAAATTATTTATTACAAATTACCTCAATGATGCATACACTAAAATGGGCATAATTATAAATATTGTCAATGTTCTCTATACCAGAAAAGAAATAAATAAATATTTATGAAAGGTTAATGATGTTAGTAAATCAATCGTTTTATTTGGAAATGCTACTGAAATATTTTTTATTTAGAACTTATAACCATCAAATTATAAATGTATAAATTTTCTTTTTATTTGTCTTCTTTCTTCTTCTCTTAACTTTCTCTTCCTTTCATTAAGACCATTAGTACAGTGCCTGCAACGTGATTAGCACTCTGGCCTAGGCATTCTCTGCCCTTGATTTGCTCATATTAGCAGGACGGACAAATGTATAATATAATGTAGAGGTACACAGGACTCCACTAAAGCATAATTACAAAGGAATCAAATTATAAACCTATCAAATATATTTCCTTTGTTTCTATATATAAAGACACAAGGAGCATGAATAATATTACTATAATGGAGCTGGACAGACAAACAATATTTTATGCATGGAGAATGGTGTCTAGAACTAGGTATATATGCAAAGATCATAATCTTCATATGGAAATCGTGAAGATCAGATTGCTAAATTAGTGAAAAAATGTTATATTTCTATTCATTATCATAATAGGATCAAGAGAAATCATGGAGATTCAGGCTAATCACTGTGTTATTCACCTCCTGAATCTTCCGCTTCTCGTTTTGCTCATTAGACATCTGTCTCCAGTCATTTACTAAATCTTGTCATTCCCAAAACTACGTCCACACTGGCACATTTTGGTCAACTTCATGATATGTATACACCATAATGTTATTGGCTATGTAAAAGGAGAAACAGTCTGTATATATCATATAACATTTAAGTATTTGGTAATACCTAATGAATTTAATCTTTTTCTGAACACTGAAGTGAAACTGAAGAAAGGAGTATTTTATTAAAAGGAGATATCAAGCATTGGCATTAAAGAGTCCTGAATTCACATCCAGGCTTTTTCACTTTCCACTTTGGTAAATTTTTAAATGGAAAGATTGTTTTTCATTTTATTTTTTCTTTTATTTCAATAGCTTTAAGGGTACATGTAGTTTGGGCTACAGGGATGAATTGTAAAGTCTAGTCTTTTAGTGTAACCATCACCCTAATAGTGTACATTGTACTGAATAGGCTATTTTTCATTTCTTACCCCTGTCCCATCCTCCTGCCTTCTGAGTTTTCCAGTGTCCCTTATACCACTCTGTACGCCATTTCGTACTCATAGCTTAAGTCCCAATTATAAGTGAGGACATGCATTATTTGGTTTTCTGTTCCTGAGTTGCTCTACTTAAGATAATGGCCTCCAATTCCACCAAGTTACTGCAAAATACATTTTTTTTTATTTTTTATGGCTGACTACTATCCCATTTCAAGAAATTTTCCTTATATTCTCATCAACTGGTAGGCACTAAAGTTGATTACATATCTTTGCAATTGTAAATTGTGCTGCCATAAACATGTGTATGGAGGTTTTTTTTTTTAATATAGCAATTTATTTTCCTTTGTGCAGATAGCCAGTAGTGGGATTGCTGGATCAAATGGTGGATCTACTTATAGACCTTTGAGAAAGCTCGATATTGTTTTCTACAG
The DNA here is from genome assembly GCF_000001405.40 of Homo sapiens. Taxonomy (NCBI): domain Eukaryota; kingdom Metazoa; phylum Chordata; class Mammalia; order Primates; family Hominidae; genus Homo; species Homo sapiens. Next base: position 42,739,609 of record NC_000014.9, on the reverse strand, counting down.
TGGTTGTAATAATTTATTTTTTCACCAGGAGTGTATAAGTGTTCCCTTTTCATGATATTGTGCCAACATCTAGTGTTTTGTGACTTTTTAATAAGGGCCACTCTGTCTAGGATAAGGTGGTATCTCATTGTGGTTTTAATTTACATTTCTTTATAATTGTAATTACATTTTCTTTATAGAATTAAGAAACCAACTCACACAGTTGTTGAGAGTATTACATTAGATATTATATGTAATTTCTAATACTGACATGAAAAGTAAGTGAATTAAAAACTGTGTAATGCCAAATACATTGTATGACACATACTATGTGTCCAATGAATTTTATCTTCCTTTATCTCTTGAAATGTTTTGGAAATAAAAACTATCAATTTTAAAAATAAGAAAAACACTGAATGATGTATTTAGTTCATCATCCTCTTTTTATCATATAGGCAGTATATCTCCATTGTCTGTGTGTGATCTTTGGTATTATTTGAATTTATAACCTGCTTAAGTTAAACAACACATTTAAACATATTGAAAATATCTAAGAATCTGAACGTCTTTTTTGGTGTTCATCCTAAAACTTAATGACAGATTTGTCACAAAAATATTTGTACATTAAATACCAACATCTTAATAATTTAAATTAAGCCTAAAAAATGAAATTTTTTCCTTATTTATTTATTTATTTATTTATTTTAGACAGAGTCTAGTTCTTGTTGCCCAGGCTGAAGTGCAGTAGCGTGATCTCAGCTCACCGCAACCTCCACCTCCCAGGTTTAAGCTATTCTCCTGCCTCAGCCTCCTGAGTAGCTGGGATTACAGGTGCCTGCTACCACGCCTGGCTGATTTTATACATTAGAAAATTGAGGCTTAATCATTCCAAATGATCTGGCTAATAAGCTGAGGACTTCAAGTTTGGAATAAGGCAGTATAAAAGAGCTTAATTGAAAAATTACTGTATCTTTGTTTTGCCAAGGCAGGTAAATTAAATTTGGACCTTATATGTAAAAGAAAAATAAGTAACCAGTTCTGTAGACAAACACATGAATGTAGTTCTATTTACACTGTGATTTATTTATTCTACAATATCCCAATCTTGTTTTCAAGACCTGCCATGATTTTATAAAACCAACTTGGAAATAATCATATTCTTTTTCTGTTCATTTTATGTATTAAATGATTTGCAGCATAGAGTCATTAAATCACTTAGAAGTATTTACTGTATACTTTAAATGAAATACTGAGAGAAAATCCCTTCCTCCATGAGAGCATTGTGCTACTTGAAGTGGGCTACATGAAGTGGTGCTAATTAAACATCCGGCATCCAACCTCACTTAACTCTTTTCCCTTATCCAAATAACGTTTTGTAAAGGGAACTGAGTACTTTAAAAGATTGATGAGTAAAAGAAACACCCCAAAACTTGAACATTTCAGTATAATGCAACTTCACTATAAACTTAAAGTTATCATCATTAATCAGGTTAATTTGCAAGGTTTTACCCTTTCTCTTGCAAAAATAAAAATACAGTTCAAATACAGCAATATATCATTAAGCTGATATTGCCTTTGTAAGAAGCAAACGTTATCTATGAAACAATAAATTATGGTATTTCTTTTAGGAATCCATAATATAATAAATAGTACCCTATGAGGTTACTTATCCATGTATATGTGCATATAATTAACATATACACATGACGAGCACAGAGATACTATAAACTATTTAACCACTGAGTATTATGACCAAAAAATGCATGACTATGATTGAGCACATGAAAGATGTTTATAGACTGTGACAAAATTATTTTATATAGAATCATTATCTCTAGAATAATGACATGGTGCTGAAAATTAAGTTTCCCTTGGATTTATTTTCTGATGTGGGATTTTAAATCAGCTAACTAATGAGATCTCTTAATGATGAGTTCTGAACCAAATGAATATAGACAAAGGAGTCTAGAATAGGGGATTAAACACAGAGATGCACATGCCCTATCTTTGTATGAAACAGCATAAGGCATCCCATTGGCCTTTATCCTGTACGGCACAGAATTTGAAAAGTCAAGTGTGGAGTGTATTTCAGCACTCAGTGGCACCTAGGGAGGATATTTTTGTGTAGGGCAAATAGCGGAGTCATATGCAGCTGCCTGCTTTGTCCCGAGGCCAACATGGGCTTTCTAGTACTCCCTAACTCCTGATAAACTTGTAGTATTGAGTTCTACTACTAAACCTATCACAAAGTGGAGAGTTAGGAAAATCCAAGCTTTTCCCATAGTATGAAGAAGTCAGTCTCACTGATAGCAAAAGTGGGAATAATAACACATGTTGCTTTCGGAAAGCAGGCCCGTATAAATGCAACGCAGAAAGAGTCTGAACCCAAGATGTCAATGTGTTTCAGGATCACTCCATATAAGCACCTTTCAATTATGGAGAAAAAAATTAGGATGTAGAGAAAAATCAAAGCAGGTAATAATTTTCTAATATTTCCCCTAAAGAGGGACGCAACTAATCATCCCACTCTGGAAAGAAAAATAAAAAAGATGCATAAGCATTTATCTTCCTTGTTAAAGGGCACACAGATACAGAAAACTAGTTAAGATTTGCTCAAAAAAGAACATATTTTAAGTAAATAATATGTCCTCTAATTAAACAGCAAAATCATAATCAGTGCCAAATACAGATATTAGTTTTACCAGTAAAAACAAAAACAAAAACAAAACACAATGCAGAAACGTCTCCTTAAGTTTATCTTTACTGGTAAAATAATTTTACTACAAGGAGAATGATCTTTCATTGGTACACTTAACCATCATAAATTCTTTCTAAAAATTCATTACAAAATGCAAACCCATTATTCTGGCATTCATTCAATAGATGTTTATTGTGCACAAATGCTGCACTGTGCTTT